>NC_000008.11:140547467-140849545 GCF_000001405.40 Homo sapiens | reverse complement strand
GACATGGTGCTAGGTATATATACTTTATAGAAACCTAAATGCTTGATCAGTTTGGTTTCACAAATGATAGCAATTCTGCTGGGAGTTAGTGGAAGACAGGTGGTCAAGAAGTGTTTTATAAGGGATATGAACAAAGTGTGTACATAATTCTGAGTCTTGAAGCCCAGCCTCAGGATGTGGCCGTGCCCAGTGGCTTGAGAGAACACTCTCTAGAGCCTAGATGACAGGGAGCATTGAGACACTGAATAGAGTTTGCTTTCTCTCTGGCAGCAGAGGGGAAGCTGCTTTGGGGCTTGAGGGGAGGACACGGGTCTGTGGTGATGCCTTATTCTATCTCAGATCTATACTCTTTGCAGAATACTTTGATCACATCGGGCCACAAATAGATTTCAGTGTGTGATCATGCAGCTCTGATAATCGAGATTAAAGCTATAGGAAAAACAACTCTCAGAACTTTGAACTCATTCTCATAAATGAGATTTTTTAAATGAAGATTATTATAATTTCCCCCTTTTTCATTTTTACAATGCGAATTTGGTTTTGATGATGAAATATAGCATTTGATTATTTTTTCTACCTGTGAATAGTGTTTAAAAATTGTGGCAATTAATCTTCAAGATTAATTGAATTTGGTAATGGTGCATTTTCCTCATCATGTAATTGGTGGTCTGCAGTAGTTCCTCTGAAATCTGCATCAGACAACTAAAAGCCACTGAATGTTTCCATCAGAGTAACGGTGGTATTTTTCTGCCTATCTAAATACCTATCTTGGTTTAATTCTTGCGCCTTTATTTTTGTGCTCGATAATAAACCTACTTATGATGCAAAACAGGTTTTAAATTGAGACTTATTTTTTGTTTTGTAGAAACAAGAGCTTCTACTATTTGTAGAAGTTAAACGAATAGTTCTAGACCTAAAGCTTTTTACTTAACTGAATGAATTAATTCAGTTCCGGTTGGTCAGTCTTGAGTGCCTGCTTTGTGGAAGGAGTAGAAACTCTTGTTCCTTGTAAAGGAGGGAAAATATATATGGAAAATAACATTTATGTACCCACCCTCCAGTTTGATGACTGTTTGTTCATTCGTTTATGCATTCATTCAATAAATATTTATTGAGCACCCAGCCTTAGATGCTAATGCAGAAAATAAAGAAAGGTTTTGAGACGAATAGTCCTTAGATCAGTAATAGCACATAGTTGTCCACTGCTGGTTGAGGGAATGTTTCTCCTACTTTAAGAGAAAATAATGAGTAAATGTTCATACTTTTTTAGTGCATATTAGGTTATAAATTCCTGGTAGGTTAAAGAGAGTATGCTCATCTGATGTGTTTTATCTTCTCTGTAACAAAGAGATATGGCAGGCTTACTGGAGGAAGTATGAAATCAGTGAATTGTAGCGCTTCCTAGGCATGCATTGTTCAATTTCCAGATAGTTTTAACTGGCCATTTGAGATTTGTCTTCATGAGTTGAAAGTGGAGTTTATACTATGATTTCTCCAGCTGCTCATCTAAACATGAAGAGGATGAGTGGGTAGGTTCAACGTGGCTTGGGTTTACCAAGCAATTCAGACAGAGGGATAATGGGAGACAGGGGAGCTGGTTGTCTTTGCAAGGGACGGTCATAATGAGGAACCATCCAGTATGAAGTAGACAAAGATTGGTGTGGAGTGAGAGATGAGTTAACTGGGGGTGGGACTCTTTGAACAAATGGGCTAGCAGGCTAGGAGGCAGTCATTGAAGAACAGGATGTTTGAAAATTTTTTTAGGGTAGAAGTCAAGACACTTTTTATATAAAGGGTCAGAGTAAATAGTTTAGACTTTCAGGAACGAGGCAAAATGCAGGGTATTATGAAAGTACAGAACAAGAAAGAAGACAAATTTCCACAAATTTTTGTGTTGATAAAATTCATAATATAATAATTGAGCATGGTTTTCTTGTAACACAGGTGTACTGCTGAAGAGAATGGGATGCGTCTTGGAGGAGGGGTGGATAACATTTCATGTGAAGTTCAAAATGGGTACTCTCATCAAAATCAATTGCAGATTTTAATCTTTTCAGGCTAATCTACAAGGAAATTGTACACATTTCGTCTTTGAAAATGTGTTCACAGTGACAGTTACTTGCACGTATTGATATCACTCTTATCGGCTTTTAAAATTGAGTTGATTCATTGTTTAGAAGGCATTTCAAGAATTCCATTAGATTCTTCTCTTTACTTTAGACTTTAAGCTTGTATTACTTTGCAGATTAATCACTTAAAATTGATGGTTAGATGAAAACATCTGAGCTGCACAGTTAAATGGATTTTGAAGTACGTAAATCCTTTGCCTTTTCACTGGAGTCCAAAATATGCTGCTGGAACTGTAGTTTGAGGTCAGAAAATACATCTGCAAATTTTTGTAGAAATGGAAATTTCCCTTCTTGTTTTTACTTTTGACAGCATGGGAAAGGTGTGGAGCATCTGAAGGTTATTATGATTCAGACCCTATTCGTTGTTTCTTAATGTCCCATTTAAGTGGTCATATATGAGCTTTTCTTAATAGGAGACCATTTTATTTCTTTAATTATTTTTTGGTATAACTCACGTTTATATCTTTAACATCAGGCATAATTACCGACACAATGTAAACTATATGAAAGGTACTGAAGAAACATTTATTTATATCTTTAACATCAAGCATAATTACCGACACAATGTAAACTATATGAAAGGTACTCAGGAAACATTTATTTATATCTTTAACATCAAGCGTAATTACCGACATAATGTAAACTATATGAAAGGTACTCAGGAAACATTTATTGAATGCATATATCTAATATTTTTCTTTTAAAACAGTGTTGTTTTTCCCATTCCTTTTGTTGTAGGTGAAGAGCGATTATATGTTAGAGATAGCTGATCAAGTGGACCAGGAAATTGCTTTGAAGTTGGGTTGTCTAGAAATACGGTAAGATGATAACTATACATTGCGGCCTTTATTTATCAATTTTTTAATTATTTTTGAATATTTTCCAGGTATTTTCCTTTTCTTCATAAGGATTATCAGTGAAATACTGAATAAAATTTGAGTAAATTATGAACTATTGGTTTGGTGCAAAAGTAATTGCATTTGTTGCTGTTAATTTTTGTTTATTATTCAGATGCCTCTCCCCCAGTTTTTATCACTTAACAACACAAACATTCCTTATATATACATATAAATGTATGTCTTCCCTGATTTTAGGCGATCATACTGGGAGATGCGGGGCAATGCACTAGAAAAGAAGTCTAACTATGAAGTATTAGAGTAAGTATTGTACTTACAATCTATACCTGCAAATATGCAGAACTAAATTCTTAGTTTATTTTAAAATTAAATACTGATTCTGAAACACTGCTATTTCTAAAATTTTATATCCAGAAGAGGAAAAGGACAGAATCCTTGATGACATTAATTGTGTTAATAAACATTTAGATTTGTTGATAGATGTCTTAAAGCTAACATTGTATATGGCCCATTAACATACACTTTGTGTAGATTTAATCATTGCAAGATGATATTTTTTTCTAATTTATATTGAATTCTACAGCTGCCTATAAATTGCTTATAAATTATTATTCATGTTCTCTGTATAAGTTACTACAGATTGTTTTGCACAAATAGAGATACGGAAGTTACTGCTCATGTATCAGAAAAATCTAGAATAACTAGAAATTTTTCCAATAATGAAATTAATGTGTGCATCAGACTGTTATATTAGATTGTATTAAATTAACCCAACGTGGAGTTTATGTCGTGGGAGGCTAGAAACCCTATACTTCATCTTTTTCATAATTAATTCAGCAAAAGATAACTGAACACTGAGTCCTTTGTAGCTAAGTGCCAGAGATTCGGAAATAAAACAAAATTTTAACCCCCAGGAAGCATTCCACTAAAAGGAAGACTCTCAGACAAGTAAGCAAAATTATAACATAATGTGCTAGAAACTAAAGTGGAAGTATCAGCTGGGTGTTTACAGGAGAATGGTACTTGATGTGTGAGGTGTTTTCACATGGAGATGTTATTTAACCTAAGTCTTAAAGAATGAGTGATTCACAAAGTGTAGATATGTGGGGTTTGTTGCATGGGAGCCAGGAAGCCAGTCAAGAGGATAAATCAGCATTTGCAAAGGCACAGAAACATGGACCATCAGGCAAAGGTTAGGAAACTGAGTTGGTTGGGGGTAGATAGAATACCATTCTTATGAGGGAGAGAGGGGTATGTATACAGGGACCAGGTCATTACCTATCTAGTACATTCTTCAAAGAGTCTGGACTTGGCCTTTGATCATCGCTGACTCATCATTTCAAGCAGGACAATTATATGATGAGATTCGCAATTTAGAATTCCATATTTGTGAGATTAGAATTTCATTAAAGAAGATTGAAAATGGTAGCAAGGAGCCAGGAAGCTGTTGTACCTTTCTTGTCCATGTGAGAATGATGAGGCTGTGAGACAGAAGGAAGCAGTGGCCATGGAGACACGGGCTAGCAGAGGTAGAGTCTGACTGGAGGCTGATTACATTTGAATTAGGGACAGGGAGGAACCCAAGGAGTCTCTTGGTTTTCTGTCGTGGGCCACTATGGATACCAGTCACAGAAAAGGAGTGTGCTTGAGGAGAAAGAAGACAAGTTACTCGGAGCATGTTGATTTTTAGTTCTATGGGAACATTCATGTTTTTTAAAATGAAAAAGGAAAGATAAATGTTGGTTTATTTCACTGTTATGAAATGACAAATACCAGTAGCATTAAAAAAAGTCTCTTATGGTACCCTGTGCTTAGATCTTGGTTTCTAGTACCATTCTTCAGTGGAAGGCACCAGAGCTGCTTGGAAAAATGCAGTTTGAGGGAGAGGAGGAATAATACACGGGTGAGCCCTAGAGCAGCTTGTAGTGCCAGAAAGAAGGAAGTGCTCAAAAAGCAAAACGATGGGGCTGTGTCAAAGGATGAATGAGCCAGTGGAAAGAGTTCCCAGTGACAAAAGCTGGAACAATTCGAGCAACAAATTAAGTTACATAGTATTAGATTGTAACCCAAAGTATAAATTAAATACCCATGAGTCCATAGTAATATAGATACTTGAATAAATAAATAAAGGAGCAGTGACAAATTTCCTCTATAGAAAAATTCCAAATAATTTATGTAAATACCCTCTCTCAAAGGAGGTGGAGCATAAAACCCACCTCTAACGTATGAGCTACATTTAGTGGCTTGTTTCTAAAGAGTATAATAAGGAAAGGAAGTGTGGGGAAAAAGTAATTTTACAGTGAAGAAACCTGACAGGCATGACCTTAGCCAGGTGGTCAAAGTCAACATCACCAGTGATCAGTCATGTTGATAGTGTGCAACCATAATGTAATGTGTTGAGAAAGGCACTTTACCTCTGTGGCCTTCCTCATAATAAAAACCCATAACCACAGTCTAATCACGAGAAAAAACATCAAACAAATCCCTCTTCAGGGACATTTTACAAAGTACCTAACCAGTACTCCTCAAAACTGTCAAGGTCATGAAGGAAACAGTGGAAGTCAGAGAAACTCACATATCCAGGAGTTGCCTAAAGAAACAGGATGATTACAGGTAATGTGGTGTCCTCCATATGATGTTGGAACAGAAAAATGATAGGGGAAGAAAACTGATGAAATCTGAGTAAAGTATAGAGTTTGTTAATCATAATATATCCATACTGGTTTATTATTTGTGACAAATGTACCAAAGTAATGCAAGATATTAATAGTAGGGGGACCTGGGTGTGGACTATACAGGATACTCTCTTTGTAACTCTTTTGTAAATCTAAAACTATTGTAAAATAAAAGGCCTATCTAAAAAAAACCTGATGGGAGAATTGAGGTCAGCAAGTAGTTAGAGATGATCTAAGAAGGTACAATAGATGGCAAATAGTTAATGTGAAGTCAAGAAAGGAGTGCTAGTTGAGTGGCCTGGCTGAGTTACAGAGAGAGGACTCCAGGAACACATGTGATCATCTTTCAGGGTCACTGTGGAAGCCTACTCTAGTATAGTGGCTGGGGAAAAAGAATAATGTGAATTGTATTCTACCCTATCTGTATGTGAGGCCAAGATAGGAAAATGAAATGGTAACTGAAAGATAGAGTCTATGTGAGAACCAGAGGTATACAAAGGAATGAAGAGAGCCAGACATACTGTCAAAAGGATACAGAGTTACAGGAAGAGAGATACTTGAAAGAAATTTCCATGAATAATACATTGACATATTTTTAACAGCCAAAACAGTTAAAGAAAGAAAAGCAGGTTGTCTGTCAAGGTGAATTAGTGAATGGTATGTTTGGAGAGAAGAATTTTAAGTTCAAGATCTGTTTGAAATGAGAGTCAAATTTTGCACTGAAGTTAGTGTAAATTTGGCTTATTTCTGGAAATTACAGAACTTCAGATGATCAGAGAAGAGGTGAATAGAAGAGGACAACTTAGGGCTTTAACCAGTGTTAAAGGCTTTCAAAACCTTACGCAGTTTTTGTCAGGGGTCAGTGAAATGGAGAACATGAGAATTGCTATACATAAGGGCTTGTGATTATTATTACTTGAAACAGGAGAGCTAGACACAGCATAAGTTTGTAAATTAGATCCTTCTTAGAGGATTGCATGGAAAGTTGAATGATCTATTGTTTTGATATGGCTGTTTCATCTTAGTTAATTTATATGTGTGATATTTAAAGTAAGTAAATATGATAGTTAAAAGAAAGAGGAATCTTTAGTTTATTGTAGTTCTAGGATGCTATTGTGCTTATTTTGCTGTCCCCTCTTTCTAAATTCCTGTGCTTTTGCTCCACTGTAGTGATTCGTTGCAGTTATACAACTTGTGTGAATTCAGCACCCTATCTCCATATAAGTAGATTAGTTGAGTGACCTCTTGAAGCAGAATATCTGGGTTCAAGTCCTTATCGCACCTTGACTATTCTATTTGCCAAATTTTATTAGTAAGCTCTTGGTGTCTGTTTCCAAACGTGTAAAATGGGGATAATGGTGATACCTACCTATATATGAGATTGTCGTAAGGAGTTAGATGAGATAATTTATGTCAAGAGCTTAATACCTCTTGTACCCAACACTGAATAAATGTGGACTATAATTATGATTATTATCCATGGGAGATATTGATTGTCAATCAGGATAAAAACCAAACTGTAGAGTTTCTTTAAAGAGCATTAAGAAAAAAAAATAGAAAACAATGTTATTGTTCATCTGTTGATTTAATTTTGAGCCCTTTTAAAATGATTTTTAATTTATTTATTTTCAAAGGTAATAATACATTCTAGTTAGAGAAAAAGTGAAACTACAGTGTCAAATAAGAAAATTTCTTCAACTCCTCTCACTGATAACCACCATCATAGTTTTAATAAATATCCTTATAGCTCTCTGTTTTAACACTTGTGTGCACATTCAATGCATAGTTTTAATATAAGTGGAATAATCCTATATGCATCTTGCTTTTTTTATTCAACTTTATGTTTAATAGATCTTTCCATGTGACTAAATAAAAATATACATTAGTATACTAGTCCACCCAATGAGTATATAATGCTACATACATTTAAACAGCCACATAATAGTGGACATTCAGTTCAGGTTAATAACAATGTAAGGCATGGTGCCATTTTTTGTTCATTTTTGCCTATATGATAGGCAACAGATGATAACTTGCTTTATATTAGTTTGATTACTGGTGATATTAAACCTCTTCACATATATGGCCATTTTTAAGTTTTTTTTGTAAATTAA
The DNA here is from genome assembly GCF_000001405.40 of Homo sapiens. Taxonomy (NCBI): domain Eukaryota; kingdom Metazoa; phylum Chordata; class Mammalia; order Primates; family Hominidae; genus Homo; species Homo sapiens. The sequence continues at coordinate 140,841,770 of NC_000008.11, read as the reverse complement.
CTATATTTTAAATAAGCTTTTCTAATATATTTTTTCTTTATTAATTTTAAGCAGTCTTTGTCATGTTAACACATCTTGTAATGTTAGTTCTGTATTTTCTTTCCCAGCTCGTCATTTTCTTTCAACTATGTGTATATGGCTCTCATCATTACAGAAGTTTGTCTTTCTTTAATGTAGTAAAATCGTATTTTCATTTTGGTTTTTGAGTTTTAAGATCCGATTTTTAAAAAGGCATTCCAGAACTTAAGATTGTTAAATGTTTGTTTTGAAACTTTTGTGTATTCATTTCTGTTTTTACATTTTCAAATGTGTGGATTTTAAAAATATTTTCTTTTTAAATTAACTTTTGGCTTAATGACATTATGCTCAGATAGCGTGGTCTGTGTGATAAGAGCTTCTCAACTTTTATGGAGACTTCTTTTGTGGACCCTAGAATAAGATCATTTTCCCCTAGTGTTTTATCATGAAAAAGTTTCAAAAATACAAATAAGTTGAGAGACTTGTTCAGTGAGCATCTGTGTGTCTATTACCTGAATGCTACAGTTATTAACATTTTGTTGTATTTGCTTTGTGTGATCAGTTTTTATAAATGTTTTAGTGTGATTCAAAAAATGCACTTCCTAATCAAGCTTGTTAACATACCCATCTGTGATAATGACTTTGCCAATTTCTTCCTATAAGTCTATTAATTTTTCCTTGATATTTTGAGGCGCTTTTATTTAAACATACGAACAATATACCTTCTTGGTAAATTGAATTTTGCATCATTATGTAGTGATCTTCTCTATGCCTGATAATTTGTTGTTGTTGTTCTGAAATCTGTTTTGCTTTCTTTAGGTTAGCCTTGACCTGGTTTATACTTTTCATTTCTTCACTTTCAACTTCTCTGTGTCCTTATACTTTCAGGTGTGTCTTTTAAAAATGTCATAGTGCTGGATTTCTTAAATCCAGTTTGCTAAGTGTTTCTTTGAACTGACAGGTTTAGTACATCTGTATTTCTTAGGATGCGTGATATATTGGACTCGCTTTTATTATTTATTTCCGGTGTCCTAGAAATAAGCTGTGTGTGAGTGCATGTGCTGTGTATTTCTTAGTTGGTATTCTTATTCCACATTTTCTTCTGTAATTACGTTGAAATTTATAAACATCTCTACTCTTTCATTAGTTACCCTTACATTTAACCTTCTATATTAACCAACTCCAGATTTTAAACTTATCTAACCCTCTCTTAAACAATACAAGGACCTTTAAACACCTTAACTCTCCCCATCTTCTTCCAACTTACACATCATTTTTTCCTGTTATTTTAGTTATATCTTTTCAAAATTGAAACTCCAAATATTAGACATTATTATTATTTTATACAGTTATTATTTTTGGCTTTCCCTACATGTATATGATTTTATTTCTTAAACATCCTATATTGGGCCAGGTGCAGTGGCTCATAACCTATAATCCCAGCACACTGGGAGGCCAGGGTAGGAAGATGGCTTGACCAGCACGGATAGCATAGCGAGACCTCATCTCTACAAATAATTATAAAAATTAGCCAGGCGCGGTGGCACGCAGCTGTGGTCTCACCTAGTCGGGAGGCTGAGGCTGGAGGATTGCTTGAGCCCAGCTTGTTGTGGCTGCAGTGAGCTATGATCATGCCACTGCACTCCAGCCTGGGCAACAGAGGAAGACCTTGCTTAAAATAACCATTTTTGTATCTCAGACCACCCTTCTGGTATGCTTTTCCTTTTATTCCAAATATATTGTTCTGCTCATTGTTTTTTTCTCAACACTGTAAAGATACTCTGTTATGACAAGAAATGTCTGTTGACATTTCTTTATGGTTGCTCTTTCTTTTAAGGTCCTTTTCCTACTTTTCATCTTTTCTAGTTTTATTCATGTCTTGTGCTTCGATTTCTTTTTATAAATCCAGTTGGAATAAGACATACTTCTCAATTCTGTAGATTCATGTTTTTCATCTGGAAAATATATGCCACTATCTCTTTAATAATCAACAGATATATTTCTGATCTTTGCTGTCTCTTACATTTTTCGTGTTTTCTATCTCTCTGTCTCTCTGGATTCTCTCTTTTTTGGGGGAGATATTTCTTTGGATTTGTCTTATAATTCTTTAATTCTCTTAAGTAGTATCTTTATGCCATACGTTGTTCATTGTTTTTTTCATTCTACCACTTATATTTTTTCATTTCTAGACATTCCATTTCATGTGATGTAATCTTCTTCATGCTTGGTAACCTCTGGTATGCCCATCTGTGGTGTTTGTGCCGTTTATTTCTTCAAGTTTTTATGCATAGCTGTTTTCTGTTCTGTATTTGACAATAACCTTGAGGTACTGGGGTGTCTCAATCTGCTGTTACTCTGACTCTCACTCAGGCCACCAAAGTGGCTTGGATTAGAGGCTGGTGGCCCTAGACTGGGCAAGCTGAGTTCCAGGGGGCTTTGTTTACACTGCTGCGGCTTCTGGCAAGAGCCAGGAAATGATGCCACTTCCGCCTTCGTCAGGTCCAACCTCAGTGCCCAAGCGCCGGGTTCATCATCCCCACCTTGCAGGTACCGTCGGTCCAGAAACCCAAAAACAGTTTCCCTTCTGCCTGTCGTGCTTTGTGTTAGTGTGTGTGTGCTGGGGGCGTCCTAGAAACCGGCATGTTTATCACCCTGTTGCCTAAACATTCTTCATTGTAGCTCAATCTGTTTCCAACATTAGTTTCCCTTTTACTTTTACTTATAAGTTTTTTTTTTGTTTTTTTTTTTGAGACGGAGTCTCACTCTGTGCCCAGGCTGGAGTGCAGTGGCGCGATCTCGGCTCACTGCAAGCTCCGCCTCCTGGGTTCACACCATTCTCCTGCCTCAGCCTCCTTAGTAGCTGGGACTACAGGTGCCCGCCACCATGCCCAGCTAATTTTTTGTATTTTTAGTAGAGACGGGATTTCACCATGTTAGCCAGGATGGTCTCGATCTCCTGACCTTGTGATCCGCCCGCCTCGGCCTCCCAAAGTGCTGGGCTTACAAGCGTGAGCCACCGCGCCCGGCCTAGAAGTTTTTAATATGTAGTTTTTGATAATAAAATTCTGTTTTTAAATCTGTCTCTTTTTAAAAAATTTCACCCTTGTTCTTGAAAGGTAGCTTAACAGATGCTGGTCAAGCAATCTTCCCACTTTGGCCTCCCAATGTGCTGAGATTATAGGTATGAGTCACCATATCTGGCCCGATAATAGCTTAACAGAGAAAATGTAACTATTAACCTGGTTACATTTTATATAATAAAGATACTTAACAATATTGCATTTGGCCATTGTAAAGGCTGATGCCAGTGCTTTAGGAGTGGCCTGGCTGAGAGGATGTGCAGGGACTCGCATGCACACACCATGGCTGTTCTACCACAGGAGCAACTGGGAACCCCAGCAGCTCTCTCAAGGAGTGTGTTGGCATTTCTTTTTCCTATTGGTTTTGGCTAGTAACTTGGAGCCATTTAGAAATTTATATTTCTTCGGTACAGAAAGGAATTATACATGAATACAGAATACTGCTTGTTTCTTATTAGTTCATTTCATGGTTCTCTTTTTCCTTTCTAATAAGAAAACTCATGATATGTTCCACATAATTTATTAGATTCCGGCAGGAATTTTAAAGTCAAACTCAGTTGTTTACAGCCTAATGCACAATGCCCTTTCAGCTTTACTGTACTTTTTTTTTTGAGATGGAGTCTTGCTCTGTTGCCCAGGCTGGAGTGCAGTGGCGTGACCTCGGCTTGCAGCAACCTCCTCCTCCTGGATTCAAGCAATTCTCCTGCCTCAGCCTCCTAAGTAGCTGGGATTGCAGGTGCCCACCACTGTGCCCGGCTAATTTTTTTTGTATTTTTAGTAGAGATGGGGTTTTACCATGTTGGCCAGGCTGATTTTGAACTCCTGACCTCAAGTGATCAGCCCGCATCGGCCTTCTAAAGTGCTAGGATTACAGGTGTAAGCCACCGTGCCCAGCTGCTTTACTGTATTTCTAAATGACTTTTTTTGTTTTTGTTTGTTTGTTTGAGACAGAGTCTCTCTCTGTTGCCCAGGCTAGAGTGCAGTGGCATGATCTCAGCCCAGTGTAACCTCCACCTCCCAGGTGCAAGTGATTCTCCTACCTCAGCCACCCAAGTATCAGGGATTACAGGTGTGCACCACCACGCCCAGCTAATTTTTTTATTTTTAGTAGCGATGGGGTTTCATCATGTTGGCCAGGCTGGTCTTGAATGCCTGACCTCAAGTGATCCACCCGCGTTGGCCTCCCAAAGTGCTGGGATTACAGGTGTGAGTCACCACGCCCAGCCATAAATAACTATTTTGAGTTATACTAGTACTACTACTACCACTAAGGCATAGTTTCTGAGAGTGTGACAAATACATCTAGAAGCTTAAGGGTTTTTTCTTTAAACCAACTAGAGAGTTCATCAGTCTTTCTTTTCATGTCTTTCCAATCTAGGAAGAACCAAGGTACTTTTTTTGTAGGCAAAGGAAAAGTATAAGACACTGAAGTCCCCCAACCCCTGTCCCTGGTACGTTACTTCCTGTGGGCTCACACAACAGGGAACAACTGGAGTGCAAAACAGACAAGACTTTTATTTACATCATTTGTAAATAAGAGGTGAGGAGGAGAGAAGGCAGCTACCAAAGGAGGTCAAATGTTTTAAGAAAAATGTTTTTCGTTAGCCTTTAAAAGTACATTGCTGATATTGACAAACCAATACAGTGTTAAAATTAGGATTTCTAATATGGCATTAGAGAAGGAAGACTCTTATTTTCCAGTAATTATTCCCCAAATTAGAGAACTATAATGTGAAATTATTTTAAATGAACCATCTAACTTTTCATTTCTGCTTGATTCCTTATTAAGTGGTTTGCCTTTTTTTAGAAATTTGTTTTTAATCATCTTTGCATTTAGTATATTTTGCTATAGTGGTTTGTATAGTTGTTTCTCTTCACTATGGAGAATGTGAGCTGCATTCTGTTGTGCGGGGAATGTATTCCCCACACATTATATAGTATCTGATATCTGTAAGATATTCCATAGGTATTTCTAGAATGGATAAATTTGTGGTTTAAAATTAGCTGAGCTTAGTTATCGCTGTACTTGTTTTCATTTTTCTTGTCAACAGTAGTCAATTGCATCCTTTAGCTACTTATAATAAATATCAAAGAAGGAGGTGCTGGTAGATTTGGCAGGAATTGATGGTTGCCTCACTGAGACAGAAGTTTATTTCTCTTATATAAAAGAAGTGATAGACAATCAGTGTTTCTCAGTCATTGGGGCTACAGGTTACTTTAATTTTACCATTTTGTAATCCATAGCCACCTCATAGCCTAAGAGGCTGCTGAACATCACTCATCACCACGTATGTATTCTAGTCCCCAGGAAGGAGGAAGAGATGGGCATTCTCTTTTTCTTTTCAAGGACACAAACGTGTATACAGTAAGTCTTCACTTAACATCAATAGGTTCCTGGAAACTATAAGTGAAACGACATAAAGTGAAACCAGTTTTACCGTGGGCTAATTGATATAAACAAGAGTTAAGTTCTTGTGGAATGTTTCTCGTCACAAAAACATCCCCAGCTTCTAAGTAGAGACCCAAAACACTTCTAATATTAAACATTGGAATAAATGTAAGCATACATTTTAAAAAGTCTGATTAAAAAAAAAACCAGATAATTATTTACCCAGTTATTCCAGTTCAGGGTCGTGGGTGGCTGGACCCTATCCCAGCAGCTCAGGATGCAGGTCAGGAGCCAGCCTTGGACAGGATGCCATTCTCGTCACAGGGAGTACTCACTCCCCCAACCCCATACTCACTCATCCTGGGACAATTCAGACACACCAGTTCCCCTAACATGCACATCTTTGGGATGTGGGAGGAAAGTGGAGTAACCATAGAAACCCCACACAGACACAGGGAGAACATGCACACTCCATATAGTGGCCCAGCTGGGAATCAATTTTTTTTCTCATCAACACTATAATGAAACAACATTACATAATAATGACATTATTTATGAACCTGCTGTTTAATACTTTCCCTTAGAGGGACATAGGAGAAAACATAGTCGCATAGCCATACCTGCTACAGAAGAGACTGGGGAAGGCAGCACTTTACCTGGCCAAAAGACAACTTCATCCCCAGGATGAAGGGGAGAATGTCATTAAGAAACAGCAATCTCTGTTGCAGTTAGATAATTTTAACATTTGTCTGTTAAGAAGCTTGAGTATAATTTAGAGGTGAAAGTACCACCATACTATTTCTAAATTAAATATACTCAATTCTGACAGTTTTGGAGAAAGAGTAAGAGTTACTACATGGAAATGCCTATTTAAGTTATATTTGAAGTTAGTTTTGGCTGCATTTTTGCCTGGGTTTTAAGTATTTGAGGGATTATGTTCACAAAATATTAAACAGGGTCAACAGACAAGAATCTTCTCAGAAATATTGCCAGAAGAGAAATAAATTTATCCTTGACTTAAAAATGTGCTTATAATAAGCTTAGTTTCTTTTTAATATGTAAAGAAAGTTGATTCCCATCTGAGGCTTCTAAAAGCCAGCTGTGTTATGAATTTGTGGATATGAATACACGTGCAGGATAAGGCCACAGGCTGGGACTAGATGGGCACCTAGAGGATTCATCTCAGTGAGTGGGGAATGCTGATGGCAGTCAGCTGGTGCAGGTGGGGAGAGGCCCTCCTACACAGCCTCTTTTCCTGCAGCATTCTGGATGGCCACTGTGGTGTGAAAGGAGGAATATGAGGAGGTGCATAGTCATCATGCAGGAATGTGGGAGGGCAGAGCTCTCTAAGGATTTTCCAAAAATGCTAAATGGCAACAGGAATCAGTGGAGTGTTAAATGGGATTCTGAGGTTTAGCAAAAGAGAAAGAAGACCATATCAGTCAGCAGTGTTCTAAATCTTTCACTTAAAGGATAGAGGTCAGTTAAACATTAAGAGAGTTCTGTTTAAAATTGGCCAGAAAAACCTTAAATCTCGATGGCTAAGTGTATTGGTTTTAAACTCTTATCTTATAGTACCTTTCACACTGTGTTGTAGTTAGTTGTTTATGTAATTATCTCACTTAAGAAAAGGAAACATATTAGCGATTTTTCTATCCCATGATCTGTTATAGTGCCTAGTATGTCATATGGTCTCAGTGAGGGAGTAAATGAATACAGCCTCTCTTTTCTTTGTAGCTTCAAATCTAAATGATTTGAATCTTAGTGAATAGATCATAGAAACCGTTTTTGTTAGTCCTGAGAGAGAAGTAGGAAAGGTAATACTTAGAAGCCCTCTGCTATGTATATACAAGCAGTCCCAACGAAAGGCTTCTTAACATACAGCTGTCTCCTGTGAGATCTGCTGCCTTCTGCATTGTCATGGTAGAGCTCTCTCCTCATGCCTCTATACCTTCTTTCCCCAGTCTTTCTGAGCAAGGCAAGAACCTTGAGTGGTTGTCCCTGTGGTAACTCTGCACCTATTCCCAGTGCTCATGCATTTCACCCATCCCTGTGCTTACTGAGGAGCCTTTGGGCCCACAGCACCAAGCCCTAGAGAATGAGGGTGGCTGAAGTCCTAGATTCATTGCTCTGGCCCAGCCCCACCCATTGCAGCTTTCTGCGACAATGGAACTGTTCTGTGACTGCCCCACCTAGTTTGGTAGCCTCTAGCCACATGGGACTGCTCATCACTTGAAATGTGATGAGCATTGCAGTTGGGAACAGAATTTTTAATTTAATTCAACTAATGTAAGTATAAATAGCTACATATCACTAGCGGTTGTATATTGGACAACACAGTTCTAACCTAATATTAGTGTCTTGTCATCTGTGTATGGGTTCAAGAGGTTTCTCTGAACTGATGTGGGAATCTAATAAACTGATGCTTGGGTTTGGGAATTGGGGTTTGGCAATATTCTAAAAGCTTCATGTGAGTTAGTTTTTTATTACATGAGTTTAAATGCATTTAGGACATATCCTTTGACAGTTAATATAGTAAGGAATTATTGTATGATAAAGGTTAGTAATTATATTTTGTTGATGATGTGTAAGTTGTATTTGTTGTTTTATTCGCATACAGGACAGTTGTGTAGAGTTTGGGCTCAAAGAAGGTTTTTACGCCACTTGAGGCAAAACTACTGCTGATTAGAGTGCACATTGTAAACCAGTCCCAAACACACAGATCATGGAGAGAGGCGACCTCATATTAAAAATGGGACAGCCTACAAGTCCCTGTTTGGTTTCCTAAGGCTTTAAATTTAGATATCTATAATAGGCTTTCCCTAAAAACTTTGAACATAGTACCTTAGGTGGGCTCAGAGTCCTCTATCACAAAACCTGAAGTAGTTTGATTTCGAGATTAAATTAAAATGTGTTAAAGGCAGCGTTGCAGAATTTTTACCATGACCTTGTGTACTTGAGCCTCATTTTTATTTTCTCAACTGCCAGGTATCAAAAAAGTTCTAACATATGGACAAACGTTACAAATTCATTATTAGTCAAAAGAAGTTTAAGAAAACCTAAACTGTATATATGCTAATTATTAGCCTTCAGGTTTCTTTTTTTTTTAATGGAGTTGTCTTCACCTTTGAAGTAAAAGCAATACCTAGTATTCGTCTTTATTTTCAAAAAACATATGCTTCCTTTCATTTTTCTTGAATCATACAACACTTTTGGTTTATCTTTAACTTTCTTATTTGTGACAGCAATGAATATGGTAAGTTCTTTAGTTATGCCTGGCTCTGAGAAAAATAGATGTGTAGCTGGGTTGATTAATAGCAGTTGACAGCCACACAGTGGCGGAGAGGATATTCCCTGCCCTGGTCTTTCCCTCACCCAAATACTGACGTGTGTGTTGCCTTCTTGAAACATGGCCAGTTGCCTTCTTGAAATCCCTACTAGAAGGGCGTGCACGTACACCTTGCCCATGGGTCTGTTTTAGGCCCTCACATGTCTAAAACAGAACTGTTGATGCCCACCCACCTTTCTGTTCTCGGTGCGTAGCTTCAGCATTCCCTCACACCTCATGTCCAGTCACTCATCCCTGTTGCCTCTTTGTCCACAGTAGCCCCTCAATCTCACCACTTCTCACCGCTTCTCCTGTCCACCAGCAAACCTCAGGTCAGGCCATGCCTCCCTCTGCAGTAAACAGTGAGACACAGGGCATGTGGACCAGAAGCTGTCCAGACAGCAGTGCTTTCTTCTAAGGCAGAACAGAAACTGCCCCCTTCACATTCCAGGAACTTCATAAACAGTCTTACTTAAACCTCAGCACCACTGCATGGTAGTAGGAGTTCACATCCCCACTTTACAAGTAACCGGAGGTTCGCAGGTGTTAACAGCAAGTCTGTCCTATGGCAGAGCCAAGATTCAAATTAAGAACTCTCTGAGGCTGGGCGCAGTGGCTCATGCCTGTAATCCCAGCGCTTTGGGAGGCTGAAGCGGGCAGATCACTTGAGGTCAGGAGTTCGAGACCAGCCTGGCCAACATGGTGAGACCCCATCTCTACTAAAAATACAAAAAATAGCTGGGCGTGGTAGTGCAGGCCTGTAAACCCAGCTACTTGGGATACTGAGGCACGAGAATCGCTCGAAGCCTGGGAGGCAGAGGGTGCAGTGAGCTGAGATTGGCTACTGCACTCTGGCCTGGGTGACAAAGCGAGACTCAGTCTCAAAAAAACAAACACTCTGATATGAAAATAAATGCTTGCTGTTAAGGAATAGTGGCTTGAAAATGTAGATAGAGGCAGAAATCCTCAAGAATACTGCCTTGTAGATTCCAGAGTGTGTCTTTTGTGTACTAATTTTGCTACTTTTCCGTAGTGATTGGCATAAAAATTCTTAAAATGCAAAGACCCTGTGTTTTTAGGAGGCAAAATGAAAAGGAGGAACTTGTGTGGATTCTTTTCCCCCCTTCATATCCAACTGTCAAAATAGATAATGATGGTTTTGTAAAGGTAAGGAAGGGAAGTTACAAACAAAAGTGGCTAGAGACAGAAATGTAAAACCAGTAGTTAAATGAATTAACTGATGGGTAAAACCAGAAAGTAGTATATCATAGAAGCTGAGAGAGAATTATAGGATGTAATGAACATAATATCAGAATAAGAAAGAATGAGAACTGAGACCAGTTTCGAATTTACCAGAGGAGGAATTCATTGGCTTAGGAACTACTAGCAGTTAGATTATAGAATAAGGGATTTAAAATGTTTGAATATAGTATCAACCAAATAAACTGACATGATGTCTCTGGTTTTGTTTATAACGTCAGCTAACTTAACAGTTACGGATGAAGAAGTCATCCCTGTTTCTTGATACTTTATATTCAGTTTATTATATGTGATATAGTATGTGATTCTGAAAAGATACCTGTATTTCCCTTTTCTCCTTGATCCTTTTATGTGTTTCCTGACGTTCCTTAATGTCGTCAGAGGCATTATTTCACATTGCTAGCACACGAGTGACACCTAGTGGCCAAAACATCTGAGTAAGTTAGTAACCAAAGTACTAGGAAAAGAATCAGCTATTCTTTCCAACCTATTTTCTTGGCCAGAGCGTTGAGGTTCTTGATAATAATGATCAATTTAATTTTGTTGCCTGACTTAAAGAACATTGCTGCGATTTCCAGCATTTCCATAAATTCACCTTTTTTACCTAGGGCATAAATTTATCTGTTTGTTTTTTCCTAATGTGAAACTGAGACAAGTGAATGAGTCACTTAATCAAAAAAGTCTATTTTTAAAAATAGTCAACTTTTAGGATAAACCTAAGGGATTTATTTCTGTAACTTCTCGGGTATATCCTGAATCATTTACTAATCAGGCTAGCTATTTTCTCTACAAATACAGTATTACCCAGTTGGAAGTGATGTTTATAACCTTCAAGAAATATCTGAAAAAGGACAGTTTTTAATACACTATAATTTACAAAGAGGGAATATTTTAGAAGAGTTTTCAACAATAAAGGTAAAAAAAGAAAAAACCAAAAGGATTTCTATTTAAACCAACTTGTATTCATGTTTCCAGTACATATCTAGAAAATGATTTGTCCCATCCTTCCTGTGAATATACTGGTAAATTAAAGCATTATTATACTTGTTTCCTTCCTAAATAATATATGGAAGGATAAATAATTTACAGTGCTTTTATGTTCTTGCAAGTTTGTCATATTAATTGATTTGGTGGTGTTATTTGTTAATACGCTTCTTTTTATATTTCAGAAAAGATGTTGGTTTAAAGCGATTTTTTCCTAAGAGTTTACTGGATTCTGTCAAGGTAATTAGAGTCTCCTTTATCATAATAAAATAACAAAATTATGCCAAGACCTTTTCCCCAGTGGTAAATTGCTTTTGGGAAAGTAAAATGTAGTTTCCTTCCTTACATGTAAAATATATAATTTAAAAAGCTGACATTTATTCTAGTCACATTAATGGCAAATAGGTTTTTAGTATAGCTTTCTCCCATAAAACATGGTTTTACTTCTTAATTGTGTTTGATACTCTGCTAAGCATAAAACTAAAAAAGTTATGTGCACAGTTATTCCTGTCATCTAGGTCTTCACAGGCTAAAATATTTTGACATGCAGAAGAAAAGGAGCAATATGTAAAATAATCGTGGTGGTGGAATCATTAATATTGTGTGTGTGTGTGTGTGTGTGTGTGTATGTGTGTGCGTGCATGTTAGTGCATTTTGAAGGTCTGTCTTTTGTTTCAACCCTTTGGATGCTTCCCCGCATTAGTAGCTTTGGCAGAGCCTCAGTTCTTATCCTTCCCATATCCAGCGTGGAGAGCACCTTGGAGTGAGGTGGGAGGACTCTGAATGTGTGATTCCCCCAGCTAATCCAGAGCACACATCAAGATTTTCAAGCGCAGCAGGGGATACAAACTTTAGGGTTAAGGCAGAGTCTGGCTCAGATGAGCTCTGCCATTTTCTAGCCTCAGGGTCTTGGGCCTGGTTTCTTATTTCTACAATGAAGAAAATAGTATTTTGTAGGGTTGATGTGAATATTTAACAGATTAGTAAATATATTACTTACCACAGTACCTGTCACATAGCAACAGTGGATGTTACTGCTCTTACTTTTTATTTTTCAAAGATCTTATTCTACATCCCATCAGCTGAAGCCCAAGCAGGAGAAGATACTCATTATGAGAAAATGTAGCTAACTTTGGATAAGTTATTTCATCTTTTGGTATTTCAGTTTACACATCCGTAAAATGGGGATAAAATCCATTTCTAACACGAGATTAATAAGAGGATTAAATCTTAGAAAGACCAAAAGAGAGAGAACTGTCGACGTCATGTTGATTATCATTGGGCCGGAGTGTTGGTATAATTTATCAGATGCAATCTGTGACAAAAGCTCTGTATTCAGATATCTGGGTCCTGCTCTCTGTCAAACCCATCCAGAATAGGACTGTAAGGATTAGTCACTGTTTCCCTGAGTCCAGAAAGTAACAGTATCCCTTCCTCTCTCACATAGCTTCTTGATAATCTAATGGGAAAAATAGATATAAAGGTGTTGGCTTTAAAACACAATGCATTCTAGAAATGCAATAAGACGTGCATTTAAGAATAGTACAGGAAAAATATACTCTTTATTTCAGGCTCTCTTTCTAGTGATGCTGCTCGACTTTTTCAGTGTTCATTCAAGTTTCCTGATCTATTAGTGAAATACTACAGTGAATTATTAGGGAACAGAGCATACTCCATTTAGTGTGGTTGAGGCCAGGACTACAGATCGAGACACTGTCCCAGTCTACAAGTAGCCCACAGACCATTGGCATGAGTGGGTTGAGTCAGATTTGAAAGAGAACAAAGAGTTTTAAATGAAGTTTGGCACAGTGGAAGGGGAATGAGAGAGAATGACACAATTGTGTCCTTCGAGAGAGTTATTAGGTGTGGGTGGCCCATACTCTTGCAGTTGGGAGAATGGGAGATTCAGTTTGACCTGGAATGTTTTTGGTGTGGGAGCCGAGAAGGCATGGGAAGACCCTTAAGTGGAAGGGATGCTGCTGTGTGTAAACCTGCTGGGTGCTGCAGTGAGGAGGATAGTGGAGACATTCAAACAAGTGTAAGCTACAGTTTTAGTGAATTTACATTGCTGTTGGATAGAAGAGTACTCTACCCAATGTTCTGTTGATGGTTATGTCACATTAGTAGTATTGGTCAGGGGTTTTCAGTTGTGAAGCACTGGTTTATGAAGCCTCAGAATTATTGCAAAGTCTCCTTAAATCTGTATGTGTATAAACAATTAGGAAAAGAGTGACTGTTGTCATTTAGGAGTCCAATACATTCTAGATTTTTAAAGGATCCCCATATTCAAAACGGAACCACAGGTACAGGTCACAGGTGCCATGGTGTGAGTGTAGCCAGAGTGAGACAGGTGCCCAAAGAGGTTCGGTAGAGGACTGGCCCTGTCTCCTCCATGACTGGTCCTTCTGAACCTCTGCTTCAATGTTCCCTCTCCTACTCTTTTCTCACCACGCAAAGTGGAAATGGCAAAATACTCCCTTCAATCTTGGGACCCTGTTTAGTATCTTAATTTTTAATTCTACTTTCTCTTTTTTTTTTTTTTTGTTGAGACAGAGTCTTGCTCCATCGCCCATGCTGGAGTGCAGTGGCGTGATCTCGACTCGCTGCAACCTCCTCCTCCCGGTTCAAGCAATTCTTCTGCCTCAGTCTCCCAAATAGCTGGGACTACAGGTGCCTGCCACCACACCTGGCTAATTTTTTTATTTTTAGTAGAGATGGGGTTTCACTGTGTTGGTTGGGCTGGTCTCGAACGCCTGAGCTCAAGTGATCCACCCACCTTGGCCTCCCAAAGTGCTGGGATTACAGGCGTGAGCCACTGTGCCTGGCCTCAATTTTTAATTATGTAGTTTGTTACTTGTTTGTATTTTATCTGCCTTCCTCCGCTATATTTTAAGATTGTTGAGGGCAAAGACAATATCTGTTGCTGTCTCCACTCTACACCCTTTGTTTGACATTGTACCTGGCACGTAGTAACATTTGGTAAATCCTACTTAATGAATAACAGCAATATGATGAGTAAAATAAGGGGAGACACTTTCTGAACACTGAGTACAATGTGAACAAAAGGTGTGAAGACAGGATAAGACTTTAGAAGATAGTAGAATTGAAAAGCTAGAAAGTTTCTTTCCTTGGTTATGCCTTCCCTACTGCTCTCCATCCCCACCCCCCTAAAAAAAACCCTCCTCTGCAGGAAATTTGTGCAGGTATCTTAAGATATGTTTCCAGGCTATCGTTTAGGCTTCCATTGCCCTGGCCTTTGCTGCTGATGCCCATGTGCTTTTTTTCCTGCCATCTTGAGCTGTACCTGGGTATCAGATAACTCCTGGTGGCCAGAGAGGGCTCACACCCTAGAAACAGCGAGCCCTGATAGCCAGAGAGGGCTCACACCCTAGAAACAGCGAGCCCTCTCTGTTTCTAGGCTGTCTAGGAAACAGAGGTCAGACAGGAAAGGGGGTTTTGGTTGAGTAGAGTCAATATGGGATCATTGTGGGCAGTCACTTGGTGTGGGCTTAAATGCTGAGGTAGGAGTTGAGGGGGATTGGGGACTCATTGCAGAGTGTGTAGAGTATGCAGAGAGTGCAGAGTGTGCAGTATGATCTCTTTTTGGATTCTAGAATATAAATTTGACAGCAACATGGAGCACAGATTGAAAGCAAAAAGAACCAAGAAGACTTGGGAGGTGATTAAGGAAGATGAGATGTGCAATGATCAAGGCCTGGATGGAATGGCTTCTGTAAGAATGGGAGGGAAGGATGACTAGAGGGACTTGAGAAAACTTCTTTTCCTTTTTTTTAGAGACAGGGTCTCACTCCGTCGCCCAGGCTGGAGTGCATTGGCGCGATCTTGGCTCACTGCAGCCTCGGCCACTCAGGTTCAAGCAATTCTCCTGCCTTAGCCACCTGAGTAGCTGGGATTACAGGCATGGACCACCATGCCCAGCTAATTTTTGTATTTTTTTCTGTAGAGACACGGTTTTACCATGTTGCCCTGGCTGGTCTCAAACTCCTGACTTAAGCCATCCACCCGCCTCCGCCTCCCAAAGTGCTGGGATTACGGATGTGAACCATCACACCCAGTCCAGAAAACCAAATAACAGATGTGCTTTTTGAGCAATTCAATTGCTGCTGATTTTGATGTAAATAGAATTAATTTTTAGCTACTGTTAGCTATGGATTCATCAGATTTATGGAGTGGCTCATAAATACGGTTCTTAGAACTGGTTTCTCACATGCCCTTTTTAATAAGGGAATCACTGTAATTTTGTGTACCCAATAGTGTGTATTTGGCTTAGGAATTCATAACCTTAGCCCAAGGTTTTTTCACATTTGACATAAATTCTTTGGACATTGCACTGATTGCCATGAAACTTCTATGGAATATGGTACCAACATATGCTCATGGGGGTAACAACTATAATACAAATTAGGTGGTGTCTAGACAGTCCCTTCTTCAAAGCTATTGCCAGTGAAACTTCAGCTAGCTAGAAATTCACACCAGTTTCTTGTTTCTTCTGAAATAGCTCTATAGAATGGCTAAGTCAGTTAACATTGGCTTTTCCATAAACAGGCTACATTTGTTTCTCCAAAAATCATTTTGTTTTACCTGATTTTTTTTCCCTTTCTATTTATATTCGTAGAAGATTATTTATAATTAACATTCACATTGAATTGTTGAAAGATTGTTTTATTATCTTTAGTGAAACTTGGATTAGCTATGTTTTATGCCAAAAATGGAATCTGGGATATATGTGCCTCAATTACTAAGAATAATTTGCAAGTATTTTAATTTCCGTCTCGTTGATGTTAGTAGTTTTAAAGACACATTTAAAAATTCACTGTACCAGTAAAACTGTCAAACCCAAATTGAGGGACATTCTACAGAATTCTGATGATTACTCTTGAAAAATATCAAGGTCATGAAAGATAAGACCCAGAAGCTGTTTAACAGCTGGAGGAGGCTGAGGAGACAAGATGTGTAAATGCAGTGTGGAATCCGGAGCAGTGAAAGGACATTAGTGGACAACTAGTGAAACTGGAGTCACTTCTGTAGTTCAGTGAATGTTGTCCTACCAGTGGGTACCAAGGGTGCTCCCCATACTGGCATTACAACTCTACTCTGAGCTTAAATTAGGCAGCAAGTCAAAATAGGCAAATTTTAATTTATTGCAATATAATGCACAGTAGAAACCTAATTTCAGAACTAGAAATGTTAAGAGATCAATAGTTATCAGTTTTTTTAGTATCTGATTCTCAAGTAATAATGTGGTTTCCTAGAATACTACCAGGAACACATGATTTTATTCTTGGAGAAAATAGTCATTATTTTCATTTCTAGGATGAGCAGATGACTATTTTAAGCTTAATATTTTCACCAAGCACAGAAATGCATATCTTGGTACGATGTTCAGCAGTGAATTCCTGTTATCTGCTGTATGCCAGGACCTGAGTTGGGGATGCTGGGTGGGGAGTGAAACCTGGCCTCTGCTTACAGAGCTTATCATCTGATGTGGGTCCTGTAGATAGGAGTAAGAAGAGGCTCTCTTCACGCGCTGTTAATGTATCTGCATTTAAAGCATTTGGTGTTTGGGTTGAGAAGTTATTCCTTAAAAACTCTCTTATTGCAGATTTTCCTTGGCATTGCCTTACAACCTTTGCATCTGGGAAGTCCTAGGAATCTATTGTTGCTAGCAGCATCTGATAATCATTAGGTTGACTAATAGGAAGTTATTTTTGTAGCTCAACATGGATGAATAGCAGCAGTTTCTTATGGTTCATCCTAGCAATACCACTTCATTTTGAAGAAGTATCACATTCTTAGTAAATTTATCACTATATGTAAATTGGTTTAAAATAAAATAGTGTGCGTAGATGCCTTGTTTCCAAAATCCAGGTTAACACAAGCAGGTGTTCAAACTTGAAATGCAATGAGAACAGTCTTGTTTACTTAAACAAGTTCTGCAAGTGTATTGATTAATATCCAGAGATTCTACACAGATTTTGTGGAATTTTGTTCCCCACTGAGTAATTAGGAAAGAACTAATGCTTTCTAAGATATCCTTTTCGTAAAAACTGATTTTGGAGTTTCAGACAGCAGAGATTTTCTAGTTTCTGTCCAGCACTGAACACCATAGGTTTGGAACTCACAGTCCTCATTGGCAGTCGCATTTAAGTACAGACCATAAGAACTTGGGTATATTCCTGCCAAAGGCGCCAACAGTTTTAGTTGGTGGAGAATGAGAGAGTTGTTTCTGTGTCCATAGGAAACTAACTCTGAATGATATCGTTTTCCTTTACTCCAGCTGCTTGAGCTTACTGGTTTGTTGTGTTGTTTGTTGCTCTCACTTCTTGGGTCTCAGCTTGTTAATGTGTAGGATGAGCAAGGTAACACCGCCTACAGAAAAAGCAGCATGTTTTCCCACATTCAGCTGAATGAGACAAATACAGTAAAATTGGAGTCCAGATTGTCTCTTAACATTGCATAGTTATTACTTTCAAACACATTTGCCCCAGTTACTTGGAAATTTTCCAGCAGATTAAATTATCGGGGAGAGCAGTTGAGTTCTTTACCACCACACACATTCCATGTCTAAGAGTTTGGGATGAGAAAATGAGGATCAAACCAAATTGACTCACTTTATTTAGCAAAGGGTTGATGGCTTCAATCCCTGTTGTAGAAGAACAGCACACAACTTCTTTTTAAGATTCTTAGTCATCAGATGCTGAGAAATAAGAGGCCAAGAGAAACAAGGAGGGCTTGAATTTAAAGGAGGCAGAGGGTAGAGAGTTGTTGGGTTACATTTGAAGAATGTTACGGGCGTAAAGTCTAACAGGACTTAGCTACTGGTCTAATGTGGGAGGAGGAAGAAGAAAATACAGGGCCTGGCCTCAGATTTCTGTCCCATACACTTAAGTGCTGTCTAGTGCTACTAGTCAAGAGACAATATTGAAGCAGAATCTGAACTGGGTGGGACTGCCCGTGATGCATTCAGCTGTGTAAGTAGTGAACTAGAAGTGCCTGGAGACTATGGGGGTCAAAGGGAAGGGGTATAGGAAAGAGTAAGTTCAGAGTGATAGAGTTGCAACCAAGTTAGATGTATATGTTAGGGTCCAGTCGGGTAGGGCCAATAAGCCACCACGGCTGAAATCTCAGTGCTCTTAGTGGCAGGTTTTAGATGTCTGTGAGAAACTGCAGTGGAACTGTCAGGTAGGCAGGTGTGTATATATATATATGCATTTTAACCTCAAGAGCAGATTCTGTTTCCTCGACTTCTATCTCCGTTACTTCATAGAATGTTTTAGGTTAATTTTAAAAAGCATTGAACAAATGAGCAGGTGTCAGTATATTATAATATTGCCAATAATTTATATATAAACCAGCAGCTGGTTGGGAATTAGGTACAAAGTAGAGAATTGACTTTTTTTCTGTACCTATTTTACATAATTTTTGATCACTGCATGTCAGTATTTACCTGAGTTGAAATATTCCTCTTAGAGTCATGAATGAATATACCAACATTTGGTTAATGTTAATAGAAATGTTTTGTCATTGTGTTCTGGTCCCTGTGTTCAGTTGACAACTGTTCCTTGCAACTGCTACCATATTCCAATTTATTGTATCATACACTTAAAGAGATTTTTTTATATTCCAGGGCTTTTGCTGGACTTATTTTCTATTAATACTTGTAGATGGGAGACATTTCTTACACTCAGAGCATTTGTACATTGAGGCAGCATGTTCTATGATAGAAGTTTGAAACTAAAGAAATCTGAACTGTCTTCCCACTTACTTACTAGAAAGTGAAACCTAATTTATCACAGGATAGAACTAGATTTTATTCATCCATATTATCTGTTTGAGAGTTTGCCAGAATCCAAGTTGTTATGGCAGAGACATGTAATTATTCATTGTAAAAGCACATCATTGAGTTTCAGCTGCGGGCTATACTCTTTTCTTTGGGGTAACAAGGCAGTGCATGCTCCCTTATCACCAACGTGGATCTTATATAAGTGCCATGTCTAAAAATACATTCAAAGCAGTATGAGACCCATAGGGATGTGGTGGTTGTTTCTTCCTGGTTTCTTCTATCAAGCAGAGCATCTTAGAAAAGGAGGTGTTTGAATTGGTCTCATAGCAAGTAAAAAGAAATCAAGTAGTTCTGGATTAGAATCACAATTCTTGTACCCCCTCGTTGTTACCTAATGTTTCAGTCTCTGTTTGCTCAGTAATATATGAAAAATAGTATCTCCCTTGCAAGGGTCATTGTGAAGACTTTGTTTATTTCCACGGAAGGGCCTACAGATGTCTTTTCTGGTATCATTTTTTGGTAGTGTGTGTGTGTTTGTGTGTGTGTGTGTGTGTGTGAATCAGCGCCTAATAGCACTATATGCACAGAATTATACTGTTCCTCCTGTAGCCATGAATGAAGATCAGAATGCTCTTTTTCCAGCTGTACTCTGAATTTATTGAGAATAGATACCTGTTCTGATTATGCAGTGTATGCCAAGTGCCAAGCACAGAGTAGAATTTCCTTAGTGGATTTGTTCTAGGTCCAGAGTGTAGCGGGCCTGCTTCTTAGAGACTGCTTTATATTCAGCAAAGTCCCAAGGTACTATATTGTTAATTTATAAGGAGAAAAACATCATGTAGGTGGCTACAAGCAGTACTCAAATCTCCATGTCCAATCTGCATGCTCTGTTGTAGAGTCTGTCCTACATAGGTGATCATAAGCAGAGAATGTTTAGAAAGCCTGGAGTCAAACCAAGAATATGCTTTTCGGACTTTTGTTTATAGAGCATCTGAGGCTGACCACCTCACTTTCCATGTGATACATTTTATAGTCAAGCCTTGCTAACCTTGAACCCATTTTATTGCTCTTCAGTTTAAGTTCTGTGAAGCTGTAATTAATCCTTTTCAAAACAGCTATAATTCTCTTATTCCACTCTGTCATACTCACCTGTCAAAACCTCAGCCCTGGTTAAAACCAACTATTGGTCAGCTTACTTAGCTTTGGCCTTCTCTTTTGTCTTCATTTTATTTGCAGGTGCCATCTAGTCCCATGTATTTAAATACTTCAGCTGGTGGCTCTGAAATTTCTAGCAACAGTGCTGCCCTCTCCTGAGCTCCAGACTTAGATCCAAATGTCTCCTTGATGGTTCATGTTGGAAGACTTCAAGGTCAAACACATGTACAGGGTTAACATGACTTTATTTTTTTCACCAAGCCTGCCTCTTATGTTTGCCTGTTTGTTCCATCTAAAACTCTACTTTTCCTGGATTCTTTACTTTCCAGTTGTCTTGCATATGATCATCCAAATGTCCCAAAAGTGCCCATTTCTCTTCTTCACCACTACCTTGGGGTCCATGCCACTAGTGTTTTCTTGCTTGATCTGTTACAGTGACCTGACTGGTCTTTCTGCTTTCACTCCTACACACTCCCCCAACCCTCTGTGTGCAAGAGCAGAGCGAGCTTTTTAAAATAAAAGTCACATGCCTTAGGTAATCCTCCCATGTTCCACTATCTTGGCTCATTGAATTCCTGTCTTCAGGAATCTTGTCCTCTGCCTTACCTCAACCTCTCACTCTGGTCTTATTCATTTCCAGTAATCGAACCCCCTCCCTAATTGTGTGTATCCTTCTCTCTGACCATAGCTCCTGTCTTTCCAGCTCACTTTCTGTAGTATCCCAGATCCAGTAATCCTTGGATCCTACTAGGACCTTCAAGCCACTACAGACAGGCTATTACCTCCATGACCCCACCAAAGTATGCCATGCCCTCCTAGTTTACGGTGTACCTGACTTAGCAGCCACACCTCAACCTGGGCCCCTGGCTGCTCCCCATGTCCCTGACCCACTGAGATTAGCAGGTCACCTAATCCATCTTCCCTGTCTGCTGGGCCAGCCAGGACCTCCCCTTGAACTCCACTGGGCCCTTACTGGCCTGCTTGACAGCTCCACTTGGATTTCTGGTATTCTTCTGGCATTCTTTCTGACCTTTACCCACCAAACTGCTCCTCTCACAATTTCTGCCATTTCAGTTTAATGGCAACTCTTAATTATTAGCATATCCTGTTGGTTCTATGTTTAAAGTAAATCCATTGGAGTCCAGTTACTCTGGAAAAAAAAAAAAAAAAGAAGAAGAAAGAAAGGTAGGGTCTGACTACTTGACTACTTCTCACCCTCTTTCTGGTTCTGTACTTGTGCCATCTGTCTCCTCCTGCCTGGATTATTTGGGTTGCCCTGACTTGGTCTCTCCTGCTCCTTTCATACTGTTCACAACACAGTGGCCAGAGTATCCCTGTTAAAACATAATTCAGGCCGGGTGCGGTGGCTCATGCCTATAATCCCAGCACTTTCGGAGGCTGAGGCGGGTGGATCTCTTGAGGTCAGGAGTTCAAGACCAGCCTGGCCAACATGATGAAACCCTGTCTCTACTAAATATACAAAAATTAGCCAGGTGTGGTGGTGCACACCTGTAATCCCAGCTACTCAGGGAGGCTGGGGCAGGAGAATCGCTTGAGCCTGGGAGGCAGAGGTTGCAGTGAGCCGAGGTTGCGCCACCGCACTCCAGTCTGGGCGACAGAGTGAGACCCTATTTAAAAAAAAAAAAAAAAAAAAAAAAAAAAAAAAAAAAAAAAAACCAAAGTCAGATAAAGTCACTCCTCTTCTCAAAGTCTCCTGAGGGCTTGGCATCTCATCAGAGTCAAAGCCAACTTGTTAACTATGGCCTACATTCTCTTGCCCCTCTTCATTAGACCTCATCACATTCCCTTTATCCATGGCCTTCTCAGACTGCTTCACACACCAAGGACTGGGGGTTTGCTGCTTGGAAAGCATTTACCTCTGCTATGCAGATTTCCATGTGTTTAAGTAGAAAACTCAAATAAGCGAAAAAGGACTGGAAGACCACCTATCATCTTACTTCATGAAAAAAGCAAAAGCATCGTTGCTTTATCTCCTTCATGGGTACATTGCTGTGTGCTCACCAGGACCCACACGTGTGCTCTTGCCTTTTAAAGGCATCTGTACTCCATGCTGACTGTTTTGTCATCTTTTTTCATGTAACAATGTAATATGGGTTTTAATGCCAGTAGATTAGTTCTCCAAAACAGTTCTTGAGGCTGCATAGAATGTTGGTTGAGAAGATAGATACACCATAGTTTACGTAACCAGGCTCTCTATTACTGTAAACAGTTCTGCAGTGAATCTTTTTGTTCCTGAATCTTTGCATGTATCTCTAATCATTTCTAAAGAATAATGTCCTGGAATTTTATTTTATGGATAAGCATTGTGGTTTTTTTAAAGTTTTTGATTTGTGCTTTCCTTCAGAAAGATATACTGTTTTTTTCCCTCCTAACAGTGGAATGTGCAAGTACCTTTATACCTTTGGCCTGGTGTTTTCTGAGTCATGTGCACATATAGTACAAACTTCTGTTTAAGAAATAAAACTCTATATATGAACTTTACAGTTAAAAATGGTTAAGATGGTGAATTTTGTGTTATATGCATTTTGCCACAATTAAAAGAATAAAGCTTTGATAAATACATTTATAGTTATTTGACAAGTATACTTTTTGGCAGTAATTTGAATGTAGGTGTTAGTAAGTAGTTGGTAGGAAAGAAATCTTACCATTATTGTTGTGGTCTTTACTCATTGCTGATTTTTACAAGATGTTTTGGTAATTTTGTCATGCAGGCCAAAACACTAAGAAAACTGATCCAACAAACATTTAGACAATTTGCCAACCTTAATAGAGAAGAAAGTATTCTGAAATTCTTTGAGATCCTGTCTCCAGTCTACAGATTTGATAAGGAATGCTTCAAGTGTGCTCTTGGTGTAAGTATGGGAATATGGGAAATAGTGGGCTAGTTTGATTTTACTTTTTCTTGTCTCTTGCTGTATATCTAAATTTCTGATGAAAAAATGCTAACTTGTCCCATTTTTTTCAATAAAATGATATTTTTTCATTTTACCATGTGAAAAATAGAAAAAGAAAATAATTAATGTGAGAATAAAATCACCTTTTTAAAAACAGCATGCCTAGCTTCATAATTAGGTTTTTAAAATTTTATCCCTGTGATTTGTTAATTGTTCTCTAAGGGCTAGTTTACCTATTTAGATAATCATCCCAGAGAAACCCTTGGCATCAGGCATGCTGGAATAAGCACAGTGCACTTTGTGCAGGCTTAACACATCCTGGGTCAATGAAGTTATAAATATTTTATCTTATTTGGTTAGATAGATTAATAGCAAACCAAACCAGCCCCTGCTTTGGTCCTTTAACATATCCACGGCTCTTTATCTAAAGTATTTCTTTTTTCCTTCTGCCACCTCTGTTCTCACTTGTTTCACCTTCAAAAGTCAAGCTGGATTATTTCAGTGGAACTGGCAATCGGCCCAGAAGAAGGAATCAGTTACCTAACGGACAAGGGCTGCAATGTAAGTCTGCTCTGACCTTTCGGGAACTTGGCGTTACACAAAGAAGAATCAAATTAAGGAAATGGGGCATTCTTTTGGAAAAGATCATTTTACAATTAAATTTTCCTATTGCACTGCATTTATTGTTCAGTGGAGTGGGGGACAAGTAAGAGAAAGTCTAGGTGCTGTTGAAATACCTCGGAATTACTTAGTTTTGGAAGGAAAGGAATCATACAAACCTAACATGTGTTAGTGAGACCTGAATGGGGTTGTTACTGTTTATCTGGAGAAGTTTTAAATACTAATTTTTAAAATTAAGTTCTGAATGATTTGGGTATATTTGTACTGGCATCTTACCCTTTGAAACAGCCTCTTCAGGTTATTTCCAGGAAAAAAAAAAATTATACATTCACAATTCTCTTGAAAGCCTTATTAACCTTATTTACCTCGAAGAAAAAATGTCCATCAGATGGAAACTCACACTTCTACCCCACACCTCACTTCTTTTGTTATCTTCCTAGCAGAAGTGCTGACCATTTCCTGTGTGATCCTCATTCTTCCAACAAGTATTATTGAGAACCTGCTTGGTGCCAGGCAGTCTAGAGGTTTGAGATACAATAAGGAACAAAACAGAAGTCCTTTGTCTTTATGTAGCTTATAGTTGAGTGCACAAAATAAATATGGAATACATCTGTGTCATACAACAATAAGTACCGAGATGAAAAGTAGAACAGTGTGAGGGTGGGTGTACTGAGAAGGGCATGCTCCCATTTAGATGAGTGTTCAGGGAACATGATTCTAGGGGCTTCTTCTCAGGCCTTGCACTAGTAACATTTCTTTTCCACTTAACATAGTGTAGTGATTTGAACTTTTTACTTAATTTATTCATACCTTGACCTGTACATATAATTTCCTATACATATATAAATGTGCCAAACCGTGTCTGACCTGCTTTTTTCCAAGTGTACTCTGGTTTCCATTCCCACTCTGCTCAGCTCCTGCCTCTACCATTCTTTTCTCTTCAGCCTTCTCTGTAACCCCCCACCCCCTGCCCATACTTAACATGTAAGTGATTTAGTAATCTTCTGTGTTTTTCCTCATATTCCTGTTTTGTTATTCAGAAAAGGGGTCATCATCAGGCACACTGTCCTACTTGGTTATTTCACTCTGTGAACCTGGTAGAAATTTTTTCAAGCCCCGCCTTTCTTTGCCCCTTCCTCCCTGGGGGCCAGATGGGATTCTGTGAAGGGCAATTACTTTGCTTTTAGATTTCTGCCCCAAGACAATGACATAATAAATACTCCTTTATATATAATCTATGTACTACTGCTTTTTCTCCTTGTGGAAGAGATTTCCAAGGATGGAACTGCAGGGTTCGTTTCAAATAGTTGTAATTTTAAAAGAAGCTGTTGGATTGCTTTTCAGAAAAGCTAGGAAACTTCATATTGTCACTGGCAGTGTGTGAGAGTACTATTTTCGCACTCATTGGATGGCAGTTTTAATAGCTCTTTTAATTTTTCCATTTTAATAGATACAAAGTTATTCTTGTAACTTTTTTGCTCACTTAGATGTAAAGCAAGGACCTAGTAACTTTAAACATATTTTCATGTCTTGACTGTTTTTCTTCTCACCTCTGTGAATTAACTGCTCATATCATGTACTTTGCCTATTTTACCAACACAATTGTCCTTTTAAATTAATAAGTCCCTTTACACATCAAGGAAATCAGTGTGTTTTCCTGTTACCTTTTTTATGATTTTTTTCCCCAAATCTCTTGTTGGCTGTTGACTTTAAACAGACCGGCCTCCCTTGTCCCACATCCTAAGGATGACCACTGTCCTGACTTCTGCCATCACTGATTAAATCTCATTAAATGCTGCTGTGTCAGCTGGATATTCACAGAGGAAAACAGAATAAATTTTTGTGAAATTTTGTGAAAGTGCTTTTTTTTTGATATTGTGTTTCAGGACTTCTTTTATACCCTTCAATAAGATCTCAATCTTTTTCAGATAGGTCTTCCATATTAAACCAATTCATAAGTATTTTATAGTTTTGGGCCTTATGTTGAATGACTTTTTGGGGTTTTTCTTGCCACTTACAATTTAAAATTTATATTGTGAGCATAGAAGATATTCTTGATTATTGTTTAACATACAGTCTGCAACCTTATTATTGATTGAACAGGTTTTTTATTAGAATTTTGGATTTTATAAGTGTATAATAATGTAATCAGCAAAAGAATAATTTTACCTTTCCCCACATACAATTTTTTCCTTCAGTCACAAGAAGCTCAAAGATCATGTTTAATAACAGGGCAGTAGACAATATTCCTATTTTGTTTTAGATTTTAATTTATCAATTAAAAGTGTGTCATTATTTGGGATTGTTTTTATTGTTGAGTTTTAATAACATGTCTTTAATATTTTTATCTTTTGCTTAGAGTTTTATGAGTAGCTCCTAAATTTAATCAAAGACCCTTTTAGCATCTATTGATATGATCCTTTTTCTCCTTTATCATTATAGTAGATTATATTAATAGTTATGATAATATTGAGCCAATTAATAATATACAATATTCTTTTAAAATATTGAGTTATATTTGTAGAATTTTTGCAACTATTTGTGAGATTAATCTAGACTTTTTTATGTTAACTTTATTAGACATGGTGTTAAAGTTATATTAATTTCATTAGGTGAATTGGAATCTTTCAGTGATTTTTTTTTAAAAAAACTTTTTAAGCTCAGGGGTACATGGGCAGATTTGTTATCTAGGTAACCTCGTGTCACACAGTTTATCATACAGATTACTTTGTCACCCAGGTATTAATCCTAGTACTGATTAGTTATTTTTCCCAATCCCCTCCCCACTTTTACCCTCCACCCTCTGGTAGGCCCCAGTGTCTGTTGTTGCCCTCTGTGTGTCCTTGTGTTCTCATCTTTTAGCTTCCCTTATAAGTGGGAGCTAAAAGATGCAGTATTTAGTTTTCTATTCCTGTGTTATTTTGCTAAAGATAATGGCCTCCAGCTCCATCCATGTTCCTGCAAAGAACATGATCTCATTCTTTTTTTTTTTTGGCTGCATAATATTCCATGGTGTGCATGTACCACATTTTCTTTATCCAGTCTACCATCGATGGGCATTTAGGTTGATTCCATGTCTTGGCTATTGTGAATAGTGCTGCATTAGACGTACATGTATATGTGTCTTTATAAAAGAACAATTTGGCCGGGCGCGGTGGCTCACACCTGTAATCCCAGCACTTTGGGAGGCCAAGGTGGGCGGATCACGAGGTCAGGAGATGGAGACCATCCTGGCTAACACGGTGAAACCCTGTCCCTACTAAAAATACAAAAAATCAGCTGGGCGTGGTGGCATGCGCCTGTAGTCCCAGCTACTCAGGAGGCTGAGGCAGGAGAATGGCATCAACCCGGGAGGCGGAGCTTGCAGTGAGCCGAGATTTCGTCATTGCACTCCAGCCTGGGCAACAGAGCGAGACTCCGTCTCAAAAAAAAAAAAAAAAGAACAATTTATATTCCTTTGGGTATATAGCCAGTAATGGGATTGCTGGGTTGTATGGTACTTCTGTTTGTAGGTGTTGAGGAATTGCTACACTGTCTTATTATTTTATGTATTATTGTGAGGTACATTCCTTCAATGCCTAGTTCATTGAGGTGTTTTAACATGAAGAGATGTTGAATTTTATTGAAAGCCTTTTCTGCATCTGTCAAGATGATCCTGTGGTTTTTGTTTTTAGTTCTGTTTATGTGATGAATCACATTTATTGATTTGCATATGTTGACCCAGCCTTGCATCCCAGGAATAAAGCCTACTTGATCATGGTGGATTAGCTTTTTGATGTGCCACTGCTGGGTTTGGTTTGCTAATATTTTGTTGAGGATTTTTGCATCTATGTTCATCAATAATATTGGCCTGACATTTTCTATTTTTGTTGTGTCTCTGCCAGGTTTTGGTATCAGAATAATTCTGGCTTCATAGAATGAGTTAGAGAGGAGTCCCTCCTTTTCAGTTTATTGGAATAGTTTTAGTAAGAATGGTACCAGCTCATCTGTATACGTCTGGTAGAATTTGGCTGTGAATCCATGTGGTGCTGGGCTTTATTGGGTTGGTAGGCTATTTATTACGGATTCAATTTCAGAGCTCATTATTGGTCACTTCAGGGCTTCAGTTTCTTCCTGGCTCAGTCTTGGGAGGGTTTATATGCCCAGGAATTTATCCATAACTTCTAGATTTTCTGGTTTATGTGCATAGAGGTGTTCCTAAGATTCTCTGATAGTTATTTGTATTTCTGTGGGGTTGGTGGTAACATCCCCCTTTTCATTTCTAGTTGTGTTTACTTAGGTCTTCTCTCTTCTTTATTAATCTGGGTAGTGGTCTATTTTATTAATTTTTTTTTAAAAAAACAACTCTTGGTTTTGGTTTAGCAACAGGCAGGAATGGTTTTTCCATCTCACTCTCCTTCAATTCATCCTGGTTTTGGTTAGTTCTTTTCTTCTTCTAGTTTTGGGGTTGGTTTGCTCTTCTTCTAGTTTGGGGTTGGTTCTCTAGTTCTTTTTTGTGATCTTAAGTTGTTAAACTGAGATCTAACTTTTCGATGTGGGCATTTAGTGCTACAAATTTACCTGTTAACACTGCCTTACCTGTGTCCCAGAGATTCTGGTACATTGTGTCTTGGTTCTCATTCATTTCAAAGCACTTCTTGATTTCTGCCTTAATTTCATTATTTACACAAAAGTCATTTGGGAGCAGTTTATTCGATTTCCATGTAATTGTGTGGTTTTGAGCAAATTTCTCAGTCATGATTTTTAACTTGGCCGTGCTGTGCTCCGAGAGAATGTTTATTATGATTTCAGTTCTTTTGCATTTGCTGAGTACTACAAATTTACCTCTTTACACTGCCTTACCTGTGTCCCAGAGATTCTGGTACATTGTGTCTTGGTTCTCATTCATTTCAAAGCACTTCTTGATTTCTGCCTTAATTTCATTATTTACCCAAAAGTCATTCGGGAGCAGTTTATTCAATTTCCATATAATTGTGTGGTTTTGGGCAAATTTCTTAGTCATGATTTCTAATTTGGCCATGCTGTGCTCTGAGGGAATGGTTATTATGATTTCAGTTCTTTTGCATTTGCTAAACGGTGTTTTGTGTTCAATTATATAATTGATTTTAGAGTATGTGCCGTATGGTGATGAGATGAATGTGTATTTTGTTGCTTTGGGGTGGAGAGTTCTATAGATGTCTGTCAGGTCCATTTGATCCAATGTTGAATTCAAATCATGAATATGTTTGTTAATTTCCATCTCAGTGATCTACGTAATATTGTCAGTGGGGTGTTAAAGTCTCCCACTATTATTGTGTAGGAGTCTAAGTCTCTTTGAAGGTCTCTAAGAATCTGGCTTATTAATAATGAGTGCTGCTGTTTGGTTTTTTTATATATTTAGGATAGTTAGGCCTTCTCGTTGGATTGAACCCTTTACCATTATGTAATGCCCTTCTTTGTCTTTTTTAACTGAGTTGGTTTAAAGTCTGTTTTGTCTGAAATTAAGATTGTAACCCCTGTTTTTTTCTGTTTTCCATTTGAATGATGGATTTTTCTCCATTCCTTTATTTTGAGCCTATGTGTGTCATTGCATGTGAGATAGGTATTTTGAAGACAGCATACCAATGAATCTTGGTTCTTTATCCAGCTCTGTGTCTTTTAATGGGGGCATTTAGCCCATTAACATTCAAGGTTAGTATTGATATGTGTGGATTTGATCCTGCCATCATGGTGTTAGCTTGTTATTAGGCAAACTTGTTTGTGTGTTTGCTTTATAGTGTCACTGGTCTGTGTTTTTGTGATGGTTGGTAACGGTCTTTCCTTTCCATATTTAGTGCTCCTTTCAGGAGCTCTTGTAAGGCAGGTCTCATGGTAACAAATTTCTTCAGCATTTGCTTGTCTGAAAAGGATCCTATATCTCCTTTATTTATGAAGCTTAGTTTGGCTGGAATTATAAAATTTCAGGTTGGAATTTCTTCCAGAATGTTGAATGTTGGCCCCCAATCTCTTTTGGCTTGTAGAGTTTCTACTGAGAGGTCTGCTGTTTATCTGATGGGCCTTCCTTTGCAGGTGACCTGGCCCTTCTAGTTTCCTTTAACATTTTTTCTTTCATTTCCACCTTGAAGAATTTCATGATGATGTGTCTTGGGAATGATCTTCTCGTGTAGTATCTTACTCTGCCTTTCCTAAATTTGAATGTTGACTTCTCTAGCTAGGTTGGGGAACTTTTCATAGATCATATCCTGATACATGTTTTCCAAGTTGCTTACACTCTCCCCAGCTCTTTCAGGGACACCAGTGAGACATAGATTTGGTCTCTTTACATAATCCCGTATTTCACAGAGGCTTTCTTCATTCCTTTTCATTCTTTTTTCTCTATTCTTTTCTGACTCCTATTTCAGAAAGACAGCTTTCAAGCTCTGAAATTCTTTCCTCAACTTGGTCTGTTAGGCTATTAATACTTACGGTTGCATTATGAAATCTTTGTAGTGTGCTTTTCAGCGCCATCAGGTTGATTATGTTCTTTTCTATTCTGGCTATTTTTTCTCTCAGCTCCTGTATTGTTTTATTGTGATTCTTAGCTTCCTTGGATTGGGTTTCAGTGTACTCCTACATCTCAATGATCTTCATTCCTATCCATGTTCTGAATTCTATTTCTGTCATTTCAGCCATCTCAACCCAGTTCAGAACCCTTGCTGGAGAGGTGGTGCGGTCATTTAGAGGAAAGAAGGCACTCTGGCTTTTTGAGTTGTTAGATTTCTTGCAGTGGTTCTTTCCATCTTTTGGGCCAACGTTTCTTCAACCTTTGAAGTTGCTGACCTTTGTATTTTTGCTTGTTTGTTTGTTTATCCTATTTGATGACCTTGAGGGTTTGATTGTGGTAAGGTGGACTCAACTGACTGGCTGCATTTCTGGAATATTTTAGGGGACCAGTGCCCAGCCCCCAACTCCTGGACTGTGTGCTCTAATTCTGGGAGACTGGTATTGGGCTGCAACTTTGTTCTCTGGCTCCTGGAGGTTAGGAATCCACTGCACTTGTGGAGTGTTGGGGGTAGGGGTGCTCCCAGACCACTGGTCACTACACTCCAATGGGTGGTGTCAGCCAAAGCATTTCACAGTGTGGTGGCATAGGATCCGCCCTTGTTTCCATGTGCCAGCAGCAGTGGCAGCACACTGGGATGCACGCTCATCAGCCCGGCAGGTTGCTAGTGGGTACTGGGGTGCCTGTCTCCATTTGAGCATTCACTACAGTGGCAGTAGCAGCACGGTTTGGGTGGGGGGTTGCCTGTTGGCAACTGTGCAGCATTGGTGCTGGTGGTGGTGGTAGCACAGGGTTGGGTTGCTGGCAGGCCCAGGTCTGTGTGTGCACCCTGTGCACTGTAAGCATAGGTGTTTGCTGTGGGTAGGGGAGAATCTGCTATTCTCTGTGCCTGCTTTCACTCTTGGGATAATGTTGACATAAGCATGGGGTGCTGGCAGTGGGGACAGGGCTGGTTGGCTCTGTGCCTGCCAAGGCTCCGACTGAGGTGGCTGTCAGGCATGGGTGAGTTTTGGGGTTGCGTGCACATGTGCACTGGTGAGGCACGGAAGGCAATACCTGCCTGCGTACACAGGTGCCAGCAAAACTCTGTTGGGAATTGCTGTGGGCTAGAGGAACCTGCAGTGTGAGGAAGGAGCGGGTGGGCTGGTGTGTGGCAATGGAGGCTGCCCCGTGGGAGCTCTCTGCTGGTCAGAAGCGGTCAGCCACTGCAGGGGCTATGATGTGGGCCCCAGGGCACCCAAGGCTACCCTGCAAGCAGGCTCGTTCAGGCTGGGACCCCAGGAGAAGCCAGAAGCCCAAGGGGTGCTCAGGTCAGACTAACCCCCTTCTGATAGGTAAGCCCACCCTGCAGAGTTCAGGTCCAACAGTTCCCCTAGGGCTAAAGTCTCTTATGGGAGCAAGTCAGGGCTTCCCTGGCCATGTTCCACTACAGACGCTCCTGCACCAAACCCTCTGGGCTCCACCTCAGCTGGCTGCAATCCCTAGCACTTCTCTAAGCAGCTCTCCCTGCCACCTCAAGTGTCCGTAGTAGTTGAGGGGCCCCCTGCTCGGATTTAAGAGGCCTGTAGTGAGAGCAGGTTGCTCCTTGCCAGTTCCACTCACCCATTCCCCCAGGGTAATTGTGGGCCAGGAATGAGTCTTGGTGTGTGGTAGCCTCTTGCAGGGTTCCCAGCTTCCTCCCCCTTCAGCCCAGCTTCTGTGTCTTTCCTTCATCCATTCTCAGTGCCTTCCCTCTCTCTGGTGATTTTTAATGGCCTGAAATATTTTAATTCAAATTGGAATTGCATGTTGTTTAAAGACTAGGTAGAACTGATCTACGTAACAACATGATGCCTTTTTAAACGGCAGGTGTTTATCTTTTTAATCACTTCAAAAGTAATAGATCTTTTTTGAGACACGGTCTCACCCTGTCACCCAGGCTGGAATTCAGTGGCACGATCAAGGCTTACTGCAACCTCTGCCATCTGGGCTCAAGCAGTTCTCCTGCCTCAGTCTCCCAAGTAGCTGGGACTACAGGTACACACCATTACACTCGGCTAATTTTTGTATTTTTTTGTAGAGAGGGGGTTTTGCCATGTTGCCCAAGCTGGTCTCAAACTCCTGGGTTCAAGTAATCTGCCCACCCCAGCCTCCCAAAGTGCTGAGATTACAGGCGTGAACCACTGTGCCTGGCCTAATAGTAATCGATCTATCCACATTTTCCACTTGTGTCGGCTTTGGTAATTTAGCATATTATCCATTTCTCTACATTTTCATCTTGCTGCCATAGAGTTGCCTCTCATAGATCTGTTAAAATCTTTCCAGTAACTTTGTCTCTATATTCCTGTTTCATGCCTAAGCTCTTTTGATTTGGCTCTTTTTCAGACTTGTAAAGGTCTGTCTATTCTAATTGTTTTTTGAAGGACAAGTTTAGTGATGTATTGCAGCAGTACTATTCATTTTCATTGATTTCAGTATTTTTCTTCATTCTGTTTTTGTAGTATCTTCATTATTTTTGTCTTTTTTATTGTGCTCTTCCCTTTTAAGTGCATCTTTAAAATGTATTCTTGTTTACTTTGGAGGCCATTTTCTTCTTGCACAACTTTTAATATGTCTTACCTTTCTAGGTATGTGGTATTCTTCTTTCCATTGTATTTCTGTATACTCATTTGAAGTTTTATCTTTGGCCAGGCACCGTGGCTCATGCCTGTAATCCCAGCACTTTGGAAGGCTGAGGCAGGTGGATCACCTGAGGTCAGAAGTTTGAGACCAGCCTGGCCAACATGGCAAAACCCCGTCTCTACTAAAAATACAAAAATTAGCCAGGCGTGGTGGCGCCTATAGTCCCAGCTACTTCAGGACACCGAGGCAGGAGAATCGCTTGAACCCGGGAGGTGGAGATTGCAGTGAGCTGAGATCACACCACTGCACTCCATGCTGGACGACAGAGTGAGACTCCATCTCAAAAAAAAAAAAAAAAAAAACAAGAACAAAAATTTTATTTTTATTTCTCTTTTTCATTATAGCATTATTTAGAAGAATATTACTTAAGTTTCAAGTAGCCCTGGGGTTTTATCTCATTTTTATTTCTATGAGCATATTATGAGCCAAAAATTTCATATTGGCTTATGAGCAGGTAATATGATTTTTAAATGTTAACTGTTTCACAGTTGTTAAGATCTTCTTTATGGCCAAGCGTATGATTTTTATAAATGTTCCTTGAAAATATATGTTTTCCTTTTGAGTTTATAAGGACCTCTGTGCCTATGAAATAAGAGGTATTAGTTATATAAAGTAGAAGAAAGCAAGATTGGAGCAATCAGGATAGAGCCCCCAGAAGATTCCTTGCACTGCACTTCTCACATTTCTGCCTGCCACACTCCTCCTCCTCATTTGTTCTGCCTCCCATGGGTGAACTTCATGTTCCTGAATGAGACCAACCCTCTGCTATGTAATGGCTTCTATCCCATCTTACCTGTTCATGGTAATTCTTCAGTTCTGCCCACTCTTTCCTGTAGCAGCAGACATTTCTAACATACTGGATTGTTCCTGTCAGCATAGAAAAATGTATAGTTTCTCCCATCCTAAAATCCCCTCTTTTAGCCCTGTGTCCCTCTCTCTCCCTGGTACCTCATGTTTTCGTGTCATTTATTGCAAAACTTCTTGACAGATTATCTAACTGCATTGTCTTTAATTCTTCCCACTCCCTCTTCAACCTGCTTCAACCAGGCCTTTCCTGCCTACTACCATTACACTACCACCGTCCACCCCTCAATGCCTTGCCAATGATGACAGTGATCCTCCTGTAGATAAGCCCACTGGGTAATTCTGAGTCCTCATCTACTTTACTTGACTTCTCCAGTGCTGTCCAACAGCAATACGATGTAAGCCTCATAGGTGATTTAAAATTTTATAGTAACCACATTTAAAAAGATAAAAAGATAGGTGCAATTAATTTTAATATATTTTATTTGATCCAGTATATCCAATGTATCATCATTTCAAGATATAGTCAGTGTAAGAATTCTTGAGACTTTATCTTATTTTTATCATTCCAAGTTTTTGAAATCTGGCATGCATTGTACCCTACCAGCATATCTCAGCCTGGAGGAGCCACATACCACTGGGTGCTCCATAGCTGTGTGTGGCTTCCTGCCACCAGTTGAACAGCACATCTCAGATTCTCCTTCTCAAGTGCTCTTTCCCTCTCTTTTTGCCCTTGTAATGACCACTTACATGCCTATCTTGAGTGTTACCTTAGTCAGTTTGCTTATATATTGTGTGCAGCTGCCTTGTGCTAGGTGGTAGGCTAGATTCTGCTGGTGCAGTACTGTATCTGAATGTAATATACCTAGTCTTAAGCTCGTGTTGCTCAAGTCTTGTTCTCTTTTTCGCAGTGAAACTTTTTCTGAGGCTTTATTTCCTCCCTCCTCTCCTTTCCAATAAATTAGATATTTTTATACAGCACCGTGTATTGCTTTGTTATAGTCCTTATCACAGTTGTAATGGTTTACTTGTGTAATGTTTGTTTAATGTCTGGATTCATGTTATCCTTGTTTGCTGCTGTATATCTGATACTTGGAACACAGTCTAGCACCTAATAACTTCTCATACTTCATTCACTTACATGCCAGGCATGGCCCTGCTTCCTTGTAATCTGGTGGTGGACAAGGTGGACATGATACTCCCATCCTCATGGGGCTTTCCTTCTAGTTATAAAATAGAATATAAAGAAGAAAATAAGCAATATAAATAATGGGATTGTGCTAAAGGGCTATAGTAGGGTGGCGTGAGAGAGTATCTGAGTGTTTGATTTAGAGTAGGTGGGCAGTGCCAGCCCCTCTTAACCCTGTTCTCTTTATAACAGATGTTTTAAATTATCTTTTGCTATCCTGAAATTAAAATTACAGAGCATGTTATTCCCCTACTCAAATAATTTTTTAAAATCTCTATCAATATCTTAAAGTTTAGCACAATACATTGGAAGGCACTCTAGTCAGACGCACCTACTTAGTAAGGACTTTTAATTGGAGGGAGAACAATCAGAAGCCACTCCATACAAGTGGTGTAGGAAAGTGATAGGGAAAAGTTATGTGACTGACCTTGGGGAATAATGCCAGAGTGAGGCAGAAAAACAATTTTAAAAAATATAATTTCCATAACCTAGATGTCTTACTGTGCCTTCGAATTTTTTTTTTAATTATGAGATAGCAATAACAAGGACTAATTGAGATAGTATTCCTCATTTCATGTGTCACCACCAACATAATGATGTTCAGCTCTCGGTCTGTTGGAAGGCGCCTCCGACATCCTCTGTTACGTACGTGCATGCAGTAGCTACAGATGCAAACTGATACAGGTGCATTTTGTCACTGACCAAAATAACTATAGCAAGTCTTGCCCTTGGTGGTGTCATTCTCCAAAATGGTGAGGAACTCTTAATAAAACTTCAAAAACAGCATAGTA
Organism: Homo sapiens; assembly: GCF_000001405.40. Classification (NCBI taxonomy): domain Eukaryota; kingdom Metazoa; phylum Chordata; class Mammalia; order Primates; family Hominidae; genus Homo; species Homo sapiens. Next base: position 140,806,251 of record NC_000008.11, on the reverse strand, counting down.
TAGGATTCCCTTGCATTACGCGTAAGTTGCATTCCTGGAAAGTTCAATGCAGAGCATACTTTGTGGTTTTAAACAGACTTTGTTTCTAGAGTCAGATTTTTCAGTGACATAAATACACACCAGGACATTTGAAAGCCGTCGAGGATGCAGGACAATTTTTTATTGTGCAGGAATTACCCATGCTTCATGTGACATCTAGCAGCCTTGGTTATAAAAACAACCCACCCCCTGAAATGGTTCTACCCCAACGAAACTAGAGCACATATCATCAAGACAAGATCATGACAGTAAATTAGGTCAGAGAGGCAGGCAGGGGTCAAATCATGTAGACAGTTTGCTCATAGAAATCATGCTATGTAAATCATGCAAGTTATGATGCTTTGTATTGTACCTTTTTAAGCAGAGGAGTGATATGATCTGGCTTTCAGGTAGGGACATTATATAGTAGCATGGATGAAGGGAAACTAGGAAAAATGGCAGGACTCTAAGCAGAATATCATATGGTGGCCTGGACTATAGTGACAACTGTGAAGATGGGAAGTAAACACATGAATTCTGGATGTTTGGAGCTGAAGTTGCCAGGACTTGTGGAGAGGTTGGATAATGGGGAAAGGGAGAAGAATCAGTGAGAATGCCTTTTTTTTTTGGCTCAGGAATCTTGTTGAATATGATCTTTTTTTTCTCTTCTTTTTTTTTTTTTTGAGACAGAGTTTTGCTCTGTGCAGAGTGTAATGGCATGATCTCAGCTCACTGCAACCTCTGACTCCCTGGTTCAAGTGATTCTCCTGCCTCAGCCTCCTGAGTAGCTGCAATTACAGGCACATGCCACCATGCCCAGCTAATTTTTGTATTTTTAGTAGTGACGGGGTTTCACCATGTTGGCCAGGGTGGTCTCAATCTCCTGACCTCGTGATCCACCCGCCTCATCCTACCAAAGTGCAGGGATTACAGGCATGAGCCACCACACCCGGCCAAATATGATGCTTTTTATTGAAGTCAAGAAGCCTGGAGGAAGAACATGTTTTGAGGGAGTACCCTTTTAACTATGTTGTTAGTAATCTCTTGCAGACATCCATGTGGTAGTATGATATAGGGAGCTGGATGCATGAGTCTGAGTTCCAGGGAGATGACAGGGCTGGAGATGGTACTTAACGCCCCAGGACTGTATGGTATTTGTTTTGCCATGGCAGAACTAGGGGGAATAACAGGGCCCACCCAGCACAGAGCCCTGCAGCCCTTTCACATTTGTAGATTGAGTAGGGGAGAAGCCAGTAAAAAGAACTGGGAAAGAGAGACCAGTGAGGTGGAAGAAACCCCAAAAGGGCAGGATGTCCCAGAGGATAAGTGGGAAGAATATGCAGAGGGGCTGTGGGACATGCTATGAGAAGCCTGGGACCAGAGAATGGAGGGCTGCCTGTGGCCTCCCGGGGAAAGGCAGGAGCCCTGCAAAACACATGTCTCTACAAACGGCGCAGGAAGATGCTTTGCTGGGAAGGGCAGCCCAGTGTGAACCTCTTTCTGAACAATTCCAACTCCGTTCTAGTGGCATCATCTGTTCGCCATGCAATGGGAAGGGGCATTAGCTGACAGAGTGGCCTTAACCAAGCAAATTGTTTTGAAGAAATGTATAGGAATCTTCACATGCAAAATGATCATCCTCATGAGATGCTAGAAGGATGGAAGATTCATGTATCTTTTATATGTATTTTTTTGAAGAAGGGTCTCACTGAGTTGCCCAAGCTAGAGTGCAGTGGCGCAGACTCAGCCTCCTGAGTAGCTGGGTCTACAGGCACAGACCACCATGCCTGGTTATTTTTTTTTTTCTTTTGGTAGAGAAAGGGTCTCACTATGTTGCCCAGGCTGCTTGAACTCCTGGCCTCAAGGGATCATCCCACCTCAGCCCCTCAAAGTGCTGGGATTATGGATGTGAACCATTGCTCCCAACTCTATCTTTTTTTCTTTTTAAGAAGGAGAGTGTTTATTAATTTGTGCAGCAGTAATAGAAGAAAAAGAAAAAAAAAAAGAAGAAGCCAAAGTTTATGCTACTTAGGAAAATGACCATAGACTCTCCTGGCATGGCTTAAGAGGTTATTCTGTATTGGGAAGGGCCCTTTGGGTACCTACTGTCTCCCTAGCTACAGATCTCCAGTTAGTTTCAGAACTTACTCTAGCCCAGGGTGCATGGGGATTAATCCCAGATCCCCTCTTTCTTTGGGAATGGGAGTAGAATGTTCTCTTTGACTAAGAATTCCATAAGATTCCTCCCAGGCTGGCAAACGAGTCAGGCCAAAGGTTGCTTCAACTTCCCTCCCTCCTTTATCTTCTGTTCTCTCTCAGTGGTAACTGTACTCTCACTCATCCAACTCATGTATGGGTCTCCTCAGCACATCACAGAGAGCAGACCTGTACCTGACCTTGAAGTGCAGGAGACAGTCTCATGGCTGCTCCCCTGGGGCAGCATGGAGAATCTGTTTTTTTCCCCAGACCTCCAGTCTTAGGGAGGATGTCTTCAGGACAACGAGGATTTCACAGAACATTTACAGACTCTGTGAAATGAGTTTTTTATCCGTAGTCTAAAGATTTTACCTTTCCTTTTTATAGCCCACACATCTTGCTGACTTCACTCAAGTGCAAACCATTCAGTATTCAAACAGTGAAGACAAGGACAGAAAAGGAATGCTACAACTAAAAATAGCAGGTGCACCCGAGGTAAGGAACTGTTACGTTCATCATTAAGGGAAAATGGTTAAATAGGGATGTTTTAGAATTGTTGACTTTTTTATGAAAAGGATGAAGTTTTTATGGATCATCAGAATCACAACTTTCTTATATATAGAAAGGGTTACATTAGAAACAATAATGATTAAATGTCCCCAAGAATAGGACAGGAGACAGATTTAAAAATCATCCAAGAACGTTATTGTAAAGATAATGATGATTAAAGATTATCATCAGGCCAGGCGCGGTGGCCCACACCTGTAATCCCAGCACTTTGGGAGGCCAAGGCAGGCGGATCACTTGAGGCCAGGGTTCACATGGTGAAACCCTGTCTCTATTAAAAATACAAAGATAAGCCAGGCATGGTGGTGCACACCTGTAATCCCAGCTACTTGCGAGGCTGAGGCACAAGAATCTCTTGAACCCAGGAGGCAGAGGTTGCAGTGAGCTGAGATGACACAACTGCACTCCAGCCTGGGTGACAGAGCAAGACCGTGTCTCAAAAAAAAAAAAAAAAAAAAAAAAAAAGATTGTCATCAAGTACCAAGGAAATTAACTTCTTGGAATTATATGTACAGTCATGTTTTGCTTAACAACAGGTACGTTCAGAGAAATGCCTAATTCCCTGATTTCTTTGTTGTGCAAACATCACAGACTGTTCTTACACAAACCTAAGATGGTTGTAGCCTACTGTACACCTAGGCTATACAATATAGCCTGTTGCCCTAAGCTACAAACCTGTGTAGCATGCTACTATACTGAATACTTTAGGCAATTGTAACACAATGGTATTTGTATCTCTAAATATATGTAAACATAGAAAAGGCACAGTAAAAATACAGTATAGAAGATAAAAAATGTTACACCTGCATAGAGCCCTTACCATGAGTGGAGCTTGCAGGATTGGAAGCTGCTGTGGGTGAGTCAGTGAGTGAAGGATGAATGTGAAGATCTACGACATTACTGTGCACTGCTGTAGACTATAAACACTGTACACACCATATACTTAAATTTATTTTTAAAACCTTTTTCAGTAGTAAACATTAGCTTACAGTAACTTTTATATTTTATAAACTGATTTTTTTCGGCTTTTTTGACTCTTGTAATAACAATTAATTTTAAATATATTGTACAGCTGTACAAAAAATTTTCTTTTTTTACATACTTATTCTGTAAGCTTTTTTCTAGTTTTAAAATGATTTTCTGTGTTTTTTACTTTTTCAGCTTTTTTGTTAAAAAGTAAGACACAAACATACACGCTAGCCTAGGCCTACACAGGGTCAAGAGTATCCATATCACCATCTTCTACCTCCACATCTTGTCCCACTGGGAGGTCTTCAGGGGCCGTAACACACATGAAACTGTCATCTCCTATGAGAACAGTGCCACTTTCTGGAATACTTTCTAGAAGCCCTGCCTGAGGCTGTTTTACATTTAACTTTTTTTTTTTAAATAAGTAGAAGTACATTCTAATTAAAAAAAAAATAGTAAATACATAAACCAGTAACATAGTCATTATCCAGTATTATGTGCTGTACATAATCGTATGTGCTATACTTTTATAAGACTGGCAGCACAGTAGATTTTTTTTACACCAGCTTCACCATAAACATGAGCATTACAACTTCAGGATGGCTACGGCATACCTAGCAATAGGAATTCTTAGCTCTATTATATAAATCTTATGGAACCACCATTGTATATGCGGACCATCATTGACCAAAATGTTGTTATGTGGTGCATTGACTATATATACTGTAAACTGAGTTAATTTCCACACTGTGTTGTCCATGATATTCTCTGGGTAGAAATTATTATGTGATTATAATAGTTATTATTATATGATTATAATAATTATAACAGCAGCAGTACCTGATACTGGGCACATGCTACCTGTGGTTCTTTACGCAGAAGCCAAGAGAAGCTGTGTCATTGTCACAACCAAGGAAGTAGATACTTTGATATACTTTGGTTAACCCCATTCTGTAGCTGAGGAAACTGAGGCATGAGAGGTTGGCCACATCAAGTAATTGACAAGAGATGGGGTTCATACCCAAACAGTCTGGATCCAAAGCCTGTGTTCTTAATCAACAGGCAACAGTGATTTAAAACAAGTGGCATGAGAAAGAGCCATTTGGCAAATACTACCTAATGTGGTCCTTTCTGCAAGATGGACAAAATACACTCGTGTATGAAAGGATCTGGACAGTCTGGTGGCACACACGGTTGTGCTGGTGTGTAAAGCATGTTTTTTGAAGCTCATCTGTTTCCATCAGCACACCAGGATTCTTTGGTCTGTTAACGGCCAGTTCTCTGGGTAGCTTTATTTGCAGCACTCCTCACTTAGGCTGATGCCTCGTCACTCTTCTGCCCTGTGATTCTGTGAGTTTGGTGACATCTGAGGGCTCTAGGAACTCTTGTTGATTCTGGAGATTAAGCAAATATTACCAAACAATATCAAATTTTATATTGGAAAGAGAATGATTTCTAAGCCCTTGGGCGAACATGCTATATGTGCTAAAAATAATGAAATTTTATTAATTTTCTTTTACATTAGAAATTATGATGGATGGTTGATAAAAAATTTACTCCACATTAGTTTCTGATAGAAGTCATACTTTAACTTACTGATTGTCTAAATTCTTCCCTTAACTGGAGTATGCCAGAGGGGCCAGACACTCTGAAGGAAAATACTTTTTTCATCTCTTTTGATTCTAGAAAGTGAGCCCCAGTTTAAGTGATTTTTCTGTTTTCATCTGGGTTTGCATTTGTCACATATTCTAGGAATAATGTCCTTAAATATCAGATTTCCTTTCTCAAATCTCATGACAAATCTTGTTTCATTCCCACTCTTCTCTGTTTTCAAGTGTATAGAGATGTCTGATGTCATAGCACAGCTGTCCTTTGCTTACTGGGAAGAACAATGAAGTCTGTTTTCTTGATCTTTTCTCCGTTAGCCTCTGACAGTGACGGCACCATCCCTAACCATTGCGGAGAATATGGCTGACCTAATAGATGGGTACTGCCGGCTGGTGAATGGAACCTCGCAGTCATTTATCATCAGACCTCAGAAAGGTGAGGTGCTGTTTCTGAGCATTCCCAATTGCGCTTCTACCAAATATTTAGCTGTGCTTGCCCCTAACAGCCTGTTATCCTCTTTTAGGTAACTGTAAAAATGAAGACCAAATGAATAATTCAGCTCAGTATAATCTGAGGACTTATTTTTCTAGGGATGGTGATCCGTTTCACACCTTCCACAAGCCAAGAGCTGGGTTTGAATAGAGCCTAAAAAAAACATTGTCTGTGTTTTGAGCTACCTACTTAGAGGATTTTCTAAATTGCCATTACTATTTTTAAATACATTAGTATTTTTAAAATTTTGGGTTTAAATAAAATTCTGGGTTTAAAAAAAGGAATCCGTTATAACTCACTATAAATAAAGTGTCCTTTCTACTTTTTCTTATATATCTCAAAAGCTTAGAGCATTCAAAGAAGAAAGTACAGTCTAAGTCATGATGTTAAAAAATCAAAGATTAGAATGAATAAATATCCTAGAAACGTCACTATAAAAGCGGTGTGGAGTTTTTGCAAGCATATAATGAGGAATGCTTTTGAGGATTTGGATTTCTGAAAGAATCAAATGAAAATATTCCCAGCAGGATAATAGCATACATAGTGTGAAGCAGGGAAAGACTGAGTTTGGGAATTATGGGACTTAAGTTCAAATCATGAGTCCTCTGTGACACCATCTATAAATTACTTTTCTGAGCCTCAGTTCTGTCATCTGGTCAAACACGAAGAACAGTAACTGTCTTCTATGGTATTAGGAGGATAAAGGACTTATTTATAGGCTTGGAACTATGCCTGGCACACTTGATGCTCCTAGATTTTAGTTGTATTGTTGTTCCTGTTGTTGCTACTAGTTGAGTCTGATCTTGACACTGTATCAGCCTAGACTTTGAGATACCTCATCTGTAAAAGAATGATACCTATTTTGTAGGGTTGTTAGACACCTCCCAAGGAGTAACTGTAAAGCAGCTCACGCTGTGGAAGTGGGGACTCTGAATGTGGGTTTTGCCAATACCCCTTCTAGCACTCACCTCAGTGACTAGGATGATTATAGAGGAAAAAAAGTCCTGAAGTGCTGTGTGGAGTGCATTCAAGTCAGCAGAATTGTATTAAACAGCGATGAGGATAGAGAAAAGGCCAAAGGTCAAGTGAAGCAGATAGAAACGCAGAGGATCCAGCCTTGCCCAGCAGGGAAGTGCTCTGTTTACAAAGCAGTTTGAGGAAGGCATGGTGTTTGCATGGGAGGTACATGTGAGTGTTGTGTGTTTTATAGAGAGGAGTCATTGGACCCTTTATTTATGTATCTCAAAAGAGGTAACTGATGGTGCTGTGCCCTGAAAACAGCAGCTGAAGCCATGAGCCTTCGCTAAGTAAACATAAATCTGTGTGATTCCAGGACATGGCTTTTCTAAAGGAAAAGTGTTTTCCCACGGTGATCACACCAATAAGCCTATTCATATATTTTTCCTAAGTTTTCTTTGTATAAAATAGAGTAATGAAGTTGCTTTCAGAAATCTCTACAGTTACTCTCAGTTAAAGCCTTTGCAGCTATAGGTCTTGATTTTTCACTTTGTGCTTTATTTTTTATTTTTATTTTTGACGTTTTCTTCTTCCAGTGTCGCACTTTATACTTTAAACAGGAGTATATGCCTTACAAATATTATTTAAATGTTTTCAGATAATTTCTTTACATAAAGATAGTAATTTAGGAAAAATGTTAAATGTAATAGATTGCCCATTTCCTTTTTAGTGAATAATTTTTCATCTTTTATCTTCAGTTTACCAAAAGGTCCTTGACATACACATTTAAAAATAACATTCGGATGTCAGGCATTAAATGAGCCTTCCATGTTTAAAACGTAAACATCTTCCTGTGTTGATTTCACTATTAGCTAGCGTTTTTTGCTCTCTAGGGAGAAACATTTGGATATCAAACATGAAATGCGATGCTTTTTAAGCTCTTTGTTCATATGAAAAGAGCATTAATGAAAATGCTTGTCATGAAAAGCTAGATAGGGCATTGGTTGTTTCCAATTTTATATTGTCTTTATAAAATGAATTATTAAACTTGGTAATTTTCTTATTCTCAATCATAGCATGTTTATGTATTATATAACTATTTCATCATAGATCCCTAAGGTGAAGATACATTGCCTAGTTAAAATAATATTAAAGTCAAACATCTTTAGTGGATTATAGTCAAAAATACATGTGAACACAGCACATGTACATTTTTTAATTGAGATTTTTTAAGAGTTCAAATGTTAAACATGTTTCTGCAACTCTAATGTACCGTTTTCCTGGAAACATGCTTTAAATAATAATTATATATGCCCATCTGTCTTCTCTAGATCATAAACTACTTATACATGTATACATGTATATGCATAACATAGCATGACAGTAATAAGTGATCAGTACATTCTACATGTGAATTGGGTGTGCCCAGATGCATTTTGTTAGTTCTTTGATCTACCATAGTTACTTTGGATTTATAAAGTGCTTTTAAAAGGGATGTTACCTTGTCATAGTGGCTCATGTCTGTAATTCCAGCTACACAGGAGAATCCCTGAGGCCAGGAATCTGAGACCATCCTGGGCCACATAGCAAGACTGTATCTAAAAAAAATAAATTAATTTTAAAAAATAAAAATAAAAGGTGATTTTCCTGGGGAGAACATAGTAAGAGCCACAAGCCAAATTGTCCTGGACTGCATTCCACCACAGTCTGCATAACCTTGGCCCTTTCTGTAGGGCATTATCTAACCTACACCTTACCTGAAAGAAAGTATACAATCAATTTTGCAGTGTTAGTAAAATTCTGTAGTAACATTTTTTCAGAGGAAAGTGTATAGTGTAATATAGAGTTGTAATTACATAATTGTAAGTAGGTTTTCTGTGTATAGAATGATGGTGAATACTGTGCATTTCAAGGGAGGGAGTGAATGCTTCTAAGCATGGCATAAATTCCAGAAGACATAAAAATAGAACTGTTACATTTAATTACATAATTAAAACACTTATGTGCTGCTGAAGCGACACAATTACATAATTAAAACGTTTCGTTTAGTACAAGGTAACATTTTTAAAGCTATGATGACAGGGGAAAATATTATGACACATATAATAAATAATTAAAATTTCTCATTTTTCAAGTGTTCTTCCAGCTCATTCAGTAAAAGACAACCTAGTATAAAAAAGAGGAATGTACACACAAATGTCCAGTGAATATATGGATACAGTGATATATTTCATTTTATGTTTATTACATTGATTAAAGAAACCTGATAACCACCACTGGCAAGACTTCTGGAGAATGCCAGAATGACTCATGATTGTGTCATTGTAAATTGGTACATTTTCAGAAGACAGTTTAGGAGTACTCTGCCCATTTGTCTGCCTCCTGGAAATCAGTCATACAAACCACTGACCTGAGGAGGATATTCACTATTGCAGTGTTTATAATAGCAAAAAATGAGCAAAAATTAATAAATGAGGGAGTATGCATACATGATGTAATACTATGCAGCTGTTTAAAAAAATAGCTCTATTAATGTATTAAAAACCTACATGTAAATGTGTGTGTGTGTGTGTATCTCCAAACTTGTGTATTTATAAGCATTAAAAAGTCTGGTAAGTTAAGTCACCAATTTCAGTTAATGAACACTTCTAAGAAGAATGGAAGTACATTTGAACAAAAACATTAACTCCCAGAATTAGACATTTTAGGTAGTGAGTCCTTAGGGTTTTCTTAAATGCTGCTTCTACTGATGGTGTCTGTTGCCATTTTTCTGTATTCCATTACTCTGTTTATAAAAATATTCTCTCAGAATCCTTCTGTTGTTTATCTCCTTCTTTACAGCTGCCTTTCTACCCATGCCCAGCTACTTAGAAAGTCTCCTGTTAGGCAAAAATATAATAATGGATTCCTTTTTCTTTCAGGAAATAGAAATTTCAACAGAATACAAACAGAAATCACACTAATGTGTCATTTGAAAGGCTATATTATTAACAATTTGGGTGTGAGTAAGGTGGTGGTGCTGGTGGTGGGAGGTGGTCATGTTCATGGGATAATAAACGTAACTATCAGGACTTTTCAGTTACTCTAAATTTGGTCTTCCTGGTGTGACTTGGTTATTTTGCTTGAAATAGATGTTCAAAATGTCAACAAGTGATGGCTTGCAGTTTGGCTTGAATTCCTATGATGTGCAGTGAGTTGTATATATGCAGTGTTAAGCCTCACAACTATCTCTGCAAATCAGAAGAATTAAACAGTTTTTCAGAAAGAGTAACACGGGGTCCTAGGTTGATTTATTTCTTTCTTTACCAAACAGTGGTCGGACAGTCTCCCGAGTGCCAGATACTCTGCTAGATATTAGGGATGCCTTTGGGCAGCTTAAGTCTTACCGTAACCTTAGGCAGGTTAAATAGTCTGTAGAGAAGTATATGTGGCAAATGCTCTGTGGATGCAGCAGAAACATAGAGGATGCCGCTCAATGCAAACTGAGGTATTCCAGGAAGGGCTCTCTGCCGGAAATAGAACTTGAATTGAGCTTTGAAATATTGAGGAATGTTTCTACCTGAATGAAGGAAGAGCACATTTCAAGGCATGTGTGGTATGTTCAGGGGAATACAATGTGCAGTAGTATAGAATCAGGGAATAGTGACGAGTAATACTGAAAAGGCAGATTGGCCAGACCAAACACTGCATGCTTTCAACATGTAGTTGTTGAGCTCCTTCCATTTTCCAGGCACAGTTCTAGGATAGAGGATGTAGCAGCAAACAAAACAGACAGGGTTGTGCATGCATGGAAATTTCATGTAGGTGAGGACATACGTGCGATAAACAGAGTAAATTAATAGAGAAAATAAATACTGTAGCATATAATATATCAAATGATGTTGAGCTGTATCGAGAAAAATAAGACAGGGAAGAAAGTAAGGGATACAATTTTAAGTAAGGTTGTCAGGGAAGGTCCCACTGAGAGAGTCGCACCTGAAGGGGTGGAAAACAGAACCTACAAGGATATCTGGCTATTCCCTATTGAAGGCTGGGGAGTGCTAGGAAGCATGCCTGGAACAGCAGAGACCCAGGTCACTAGAATGCCTAAGGGGGTGATCCCAGGGCCAGTGGCTGGTCAGGATGTAAAGGCATTGTAAGGGCTTTGGCTTGTACTCAAGTGATTTGGGAAGCCATTGGAGGGTGTGAAGAGAGGAGTAATGTGATCTGGTTTATGTTCTAGAATAAGTACTCTGGCTGCTGTGCTGAGAATAGACCATGGTAGGTTGGCCTGGGTACAGATAAAGTAGAGGGACCAATCAGGAGGCTATTACCATGATGTAGGCAAGTGATGTTTGGGTCAGGGGTTCTGGAATGACAGTGACAAGTAAGAGGACTTTGGATAGAGTTGGACAGTAAAGCCTTGCATTTGCTGCACTGGGTATGGATTGGGGAGCAGCAAGGCCCTGTGATGACTGCTGGTTCCACCTGAACAATGGGAAGTATGCAGGTGCACCCACCAGGACTCAGTTTTGAATATCAGCAAGTCCCAGCAACCTTCAGACATCCAGAGGGAGGTGTCATGTAGACAAGTTCAGGTCAGGGGAGAGGTCCAAGCTAGAGGTATGCATTTGGAGCTGCAAAGTGTGGGTGGTATTTGACGCTTTGAAACTGTATGAGGTTACCAAGGAAGTGAGGTTAAGAGATACAGGTGTGAGCACTGGGTTCTCTAATCTTCATCAGGCCAGGGAGATAAGGAAGAACCAATAAAGAAGACGAAGAGGTGCCATGAGAGGGCAGAAGAAAACCAAGAGAATATAGTACAAGGTTCGGGAGGCCCAGGGTGGGAAGCTCTCAGAAGGACAGAGTGATTAGCTGTGTTAAGTGCTAACTGTAAATGAACAATTGGGCTTAGCAAGGCAGATGTCATTGGAGATGTTCAAAAAGTATTTTCCGTGTATGGGGGTGGGGGGGAACTGATTAGAATGAATTCAAGGGCAAAAGTAAGGAGAGGAACCGTGGACAGCAAGTGTGACTACACGAGTGGTGTTACCAAGGAGCTGCCTAGAAGGGCACCAGAGTGGTGAGTGGTAGATGGGTGCCTCCTCAGCCTCCCATACCACCCCACAGACACGATACAAAGATGACAGCCAGAGCAGTGTTTGTGTGCTGAGAGAAGTGAAGCAGTGCTTTGTAAATTAAGCTGGGGTGTTTAAATCTCATCCTGAAAGTTTTTGAGAGACACTAAAATGTTAAGCATAATAACTTGCTTGATTGATGAATTGGTAATTTGGGAAGATTATTCTGAAATAATTTAGCTCAGATGGATTAGAAGACAGGACCAATTAGGGGGCTGTTACATTAATTCAGATTAAAGAGGTTAAACCAGGGAGGGCTCCATGTTTCCTGGTTTGCGAAATGAAGGCTGAGGGAAAGAAAGCGTTTCCCTCACCATTGAACGAAGTCCTCAGCTTCACTGTGGTCAGGCCGGCATGAGCCAGTCACTGTGTCCTGCTCAGCAAAAAGGGAGCTCACCCTGAACTGTGGTAGATAGCTGCCTGGCTCACCTTCCAGCCAGCTGTGTGCACGGCTCCTTTAGATGACAGCTCCAGGACTTGCCTTCTCTCATACATTCATTCCGTTGGCAGCCATGCACACCTGTAGAATTGTTTTCCTTCTGTTTCTCTGTGCTTCCTGCACAGGTTTTTCTGTTGTTACTAGTGAGTAGTTTTATCAAAGTGCAGAATGCCTGGTCCTTTGACAAGGAGTGTTGACTAATCATAAGAAACCCTTCATCTTTTAGTCTCCTGCAAACGAAGTCTTTCACCAACTTAGCATCTTAGTTCTTTATTATGATTAGGCAGTACCCTTTAAACAATTGTATCTAATACTCAGTTTATGTTTGTTATAAATATTGAAAATAAAACCATGAGAACCTAAGGTAGACAGTGTAGCAACTTTCTTTAAAGGGTCATTGCTGGAATACCAGTATAGGCCTCATCCTTCCTCCCTGATTCTAGGCACCATCTTTTCAAAAGGAGTGAAAAGAGCCTTATGCATCTCTTTTCTTTTTCCCCGCAGAAGGTGAACGGGCTTTGCCATCAATACCAAAGTAAGTACTGCTTTTTTTGTACTGTTATTTTGTTTTGTTGGAAAGTTTAAGGAAATTTCTATGCTTTATTATTCATTTTCCTAAAAAAATTAAATTCAATATACATGATCAAGGAACTAGGAAACAATTCTAGAAAGAAATCAAGTCAGTTTTAAATTTTATTAAGTATTTAGGCTTAATCAAAAGGTTTTAATTTTTCCTTTAAGTTCTATGGGGGAGCTAAAGAATAATCATAATGTTGAGAGCCTGTTGTTAAACATTTGCTTCATATGTTATTGCTAATCTTTACAAGAACCTGAAAATATGTGGCATTCTGGCTATTTTACAAGTATGAAAATTAAAGAGAAATAATTTATGTTAATTTTCTTGTTTATTTCCTAATTTTATAGTGGGCATGTTGATCTACAAAACTAAAAGAATCGAATAGTAATACCAAAAGAACTTATATAATTTTATATTCTCAGCCAATTTGCTAGGAACTGGGGACTAAGATATGAATGTTAAAATCTAAACAATCAGATACATAGGTAAACACACAGTTATAGCTGTGTGGTAAGTGCTTTCAGAGATATTTACACTTTCCAAGACACTGAAGAAGAACAGTGAGCCTAAGAGGCCACTGGAATAGAGAGGGTGAGGCCTGGGCTTTGTTCTGTCCCTCTCCTTCTTCTCCATAGCCAGTCCCTTACTATTTCCTCCAGTTCCATGTTCTAAATGGATCCATCTGCTTCACTGCCTTCCCACTGTGTCTCCCCCGTGTTTAGCTATCTGGGCTACCCAAGTACACTTCTGTGTTGGGGTTCCCCAAGATCTAGGAGTCACAGGACTCAGCTATGATGTATTACAGCAAATGGATACAAAGCAGAATCAGCAAAGGATGAAGGTGCATGGGGTGAAGTCCAGGGAAAACCAGATGCAAGCTTCCAAGGGTCCCTTCCCAATGGAGGCCACAGGACACTCTGAATTCCCCAGCAATGGATTGTGACGACCTGTGTGAAATGTTGCCTACTGAGAAAGCTCATTAGAGACTTGGTGCCTAGGGTTTTTATTGAGGGTTCTTTTTACATGCACTCTGTGCCTGGCATGCATCCAAATACCAGACTCCCAGAAGGAAAGCAAGAGTTCAGCATAAACCACATTTTTTGTACAAACATTTTAGGCATAGTGTACCATACCTGTCAGGGGATGGTGGCAACTCTGCGAAAATCCAAGTTCCCAGATAGCAGGCAAGGGACAATCATGTAAGGTCAGTCACAGGCCTGCTACATTAACTCTTTTCTGTGTACTTCTACTAAATCAGTCTCTGTCCAGTTTTGCTCCTTAGCCTGTCCGTGCTCTGTGCTACAGCTTGAGGAAGCTTTCCTAATTAAATATCTTACATGACCTACTCTTGCTCTTAGGATACTTTGCAATATTCTTAACCTAGCTTGCAGGAGCCCGTGTGATTGTTTCCTGCTCACTTCTCTAACCTTGGTTTTTGTCACTCCTCATACTATTCTTCAAGTACATTTACCTTTTTTTCAATTCCAGGAGCAAACATCCTGTCTTTTGCCTGAAGGCCTTTGCCAATATTCTGTCTTTGCATGATCCACTCTTCTTCCAACCCCCTTTTCGTTGCTAAGCCTAACTCATCTTCTAGGTCGCATTCTACATCACTTCCTGTAGAAACCTCATTGACCCACCCCCAAGCCAGGAGAGCATCCCCATCATGTTTTCCTGTAATAGTTTCTAGTTATTAATTACCAGAGTCCTAAACATGGGCTTTTAACTTGTCTACCCTCCCCAGCCAACCTGGCAAGTTGCTGACAGCCAGGGTCATATGCAGTACTGTGGGCCTCACACAGGCAAGGTCTGCATGTGGCTAGTGCACCTCTAGCTTTGGACAGTGCACTCTACAGCATCAGCAGTGTCTGATAGAGGTTCATTTGGGGTCATATCAGGGCAGGAACTGATGTTTATTTAGAGTACCTTTAGTTGTGGGAAGTTAAGGGATAATTTTGGATTAAAATCAAAGCTGGGCAATGTGGCATGTTCCTGTGGTTCTGAGGCTGAGGCAGGAGGATCACTGAAGCCCGGGGGTTTGAGGCTGTGGTGTACTATGATCATGCCTGTGAATAGCAACCACACTCGAGTCTGGGTGACTTCGTGAGACTCCACCCCATTTCTTAAAACACAGACACACACACACATAGAGGAATCATGAACATAGGTATGAAAGTGAGTGAGGAAGGTAGTACATTGCAAGTGTTAACAGATAAAGGAAACTAAATAAATGAAGCAAACTTTACAAGAGTGGAATTTCCACAAACCTTATAGCAGCAGGACACCATTATTGCTGTTGATCAGATAAGAGCTGAAATCCAAGCTATCGTGAGAAAGTTGCTTAGCAACAGCATACATAATTGTGGCGCAGACAAGGGAAAACCCCAGTGTTTTGGCAGCACAACAGGGAAGGAAATGATGTAATTTATTGATTTAAAATGTGTGTCCTCTGACTGCCCAATAAATATAGTTCAAAGATAAGTTGTGATAAATCATGTAGCGCAATGGAAGAGAAAGTAATGAGTTGTTAGAAAACAACTTTGATTAAATTTTTATACTAAAGATATAAAATTTCAAATATTTGGAGAATTCTGTAAAAGGAACACAAGTCTATGGCTGTTTGCTGTGATTATTATAGAGATTATACAGTTTCACATTAAATAGTTGTAGTGCTTCGAAACGATGTACAAGTTGAGCATTTCTAATCTGGAACTTCAAAGTTCAAAATGCTCCAAAATTGGAAACTTTTTGAGGACCAACATGTTGCAGCAAGTGGAAACTTCCACACCTGACCTCATGTGACCTCATGTGTAACAGGTTGCAGTCAAATATTTGTTTCATGAACAAAGTTATTTAAAATATTGTATGAAATTACTTTTGGGTTACATGTATAAGGTGTATATGAAACATAAACAGATTTCACGTTTAGACTTGGGTCCTATCCCCTAGATTCCTCATTTTGTATATGCAGACATTCCAAAATCCAAAAAATCTGACATTGGAAACACTCTTGTTCCAAGCATTGTGGATAAGAGATATTCAACCTATACTGTTTTAAATGTCAATATTTCATCTGGAAAAGGTTTTCTCTTATAAAAAGATCAGGTAACTTTGACATCTAAAGACTGTGTGGCTCCTTTTTTCCCTGTGTTTTGTGCTTTCCAAAAGTTTTTTACCAATTTTTTAAACGGCACCAAGACTTTTGGCCAAAATTTTATTTTTTGTGGGTAAATATGTAAAACTAGTGTTAAACCATGTCATGAAGCAAGTAGCAAGATACATTGAGATTACTTTTTTAAGTATGTAGGTAATAGTACATATTAATGTATTGCTTGATAATTTTTTATGTGCCATAAATTTGAGAAAGACCAGTCATACTGTAGTATTTCATATTATGTTTTAGAGAGCAAAATCCACTTCCAGGTGTATGTTTTTTTTCTCATAACTTTAGGGGCAATCCTTTAGTGTGTAGCATTTAAATTTATATTTTTATATTTTTATTTAACCCATTCATACCAGATTAAATTGTATTGCATTGTTTTAAATTATTGTCAAGAGTATCTTTCTCAGAACAGTTCAACATTCCTTCAGTTGTGTATTTTAATTTGTGATCTTTAAAGCATTAAAGCAGCCTGGCTATTTTAATAGTAGAATCCAATTTTTAAAGAAATCACGTATCTAAAATTTTGTCTTCCTCATCCAAGGCAGTTCCCCACTTGATGAGGCCGAGTTGCGGGGTCCTGGGGAAATTGCAGGGCTTACAGCTTTGCTCTTGTCTGTCACAGGTTGGCCAACAGCGAAAAGCAAGGCATGCGGACACACGCCGTCTCTGTGTCAGGTAAGGGGCTCTAGGTAGCAGACCTCGAAAAGCACTCTCATGGGGTAAGACGATCATAGATGTCTATTTTTAGTATAATTGCTTCGTTCTAGAATAGCTTATGAAAATAAGCATTCTGGCTATCCAAATTTGCATAATTTTACCATCATTAAATAGTTTTAAGTATGGCTCATAGTTTTTTTTTTTTTTTTTTAAGATGGGACATAGATAAAATACCAGATCACTCAGCAAGTTGTATAGAATTCCAAATTATTTTTGGGTTTTAATATCATGTTAATCTTATCCAGAATGAAGTTGCCATTATAATTTATCTTGCAATTCAGTAGAATATACTTTGCATATTTATTTTAAGAAGTTCAGGAAATGTGAGACATTTTAAAACAATTTTTGTCTTTCACAATATGGTGTTTGAGTATTGCTTTTTAAAAAATATAGTTAAGATTCTGGCATGAGCATTGTCTTAACTATTTGCTGGTGCAATTAAGTGTGTTGTACTTTCCTTGGTATGTTTCAAAATAGATATGCCTTTTTTCCCATTTAAAAATGTGGGAAATAAAGGAAAGGGGGAGGATGAGAAAGCATCTTCTGTGGGCCCATTTGATATCTTAAAATACATATACCATCTGTATATGCACATATATACATACGTAACCATATACACACATATGTAATTTGTTCTTATATATGTGCATACATATATGTTACATTTCTGAAATAATAGTTTCCTTTTAACTTTAGCATCTCACTTAGAAAAGACCCAATTCCTGTTTATTTTGAATCAGTTTTTTTTGAGACAGAGTCTCACTCTGTCGCCCAGGCTGGAGTGCAGTGGCGCGATCTCAGCTCACTGCAACCTCTGCTTCCCAGGTTCAAGGAGTTCCCCTGCCTCAGCCTCCCGAGTAGCTGGGATTACAGGTGCCTACCACCACACCCTGCTCACTTTTGTATTTTTAATAGAGACAGGGTTTTGCCATATTGGCCAGGCTGGTCTCAAACTCCTGACCTCAGATGATCCGCCTGCCTCGGCCTCCCAAAGTGCCAGGAATTATAGGCGTGAGCCACTGGGCCTGGCTTCCTTGTTTGTTTGTTTTTTTAATGGTGCACAAATGTCCCATAAGCCCTTACTCAAGAAGTATTTTTGCTTGTATTTGTACACTTGGCAGAGATACTCAATAAAGGTGAATGATGTGTTATACTGTCAAAGTACTACTGCTTGAGAAATCATTGCTCACTTCCTAACTAAGTAGAGAGAAGGTTGGAATGCTAGAGCTGGTCTTATGGAAGCTTCGGGGTTGCCAGCATGTTCTCAGGTAAACAGTTAATCATCCTTATAAGCTTAATCGTGACTTCTTGGAGTAGCCCTAGTTTCCAGTAGTGACACTGGGGCAGTAAACAGCACTCAGCATTTGCATTTGTTCAGTCTGTAGTGGGTACAGAGAATTGGCAAACTTGCCAGGCCCTCACGGAGTTTGTAATCTAGTTGGAGAGAGAAAGACCACCACACATGCTACAGTCACAGGAGTCTGGAGGAGGGAGCAACTGCTGGGCATCAAAGGATGTTCTGCAGGATGTTCTGTAGAGTAGGTGAGATTTGAGCAGGGCTTTGAATAACTCGCAGGCCCTTTGGTCCGTCTTCTTGCCAAACTGTAAAGCAGCTTTTGGGATGAGCCCCGGGGACTGCCCTTTTGGTGCTTGCCACACACTGTCTCCACAGTCTCCCCAGGCTTGATCAAGAGAGAAGGGAAATGTCCCATTATGTTAATAAGGACTATTCCTGGCATCTGTCTTTGGGTAACAAAGTAATGAAATGTAATAAAATAGGCCCCAGCAGTGCCTTCAAATCTTGTTCCTCCTGTTTTACTAATCTCTTTTAATCAATACTCTCCATTCAAGGTTTAAACCTCAGATGTGTCTTTTAGCAGCTGGTCATCACCAAACTTGGATTTTACTTCTTCCAGCCAACCCCCACTTTATGATCTCAGTGTTTTCTTCTTATTTCAGAACCCCATTAAGAGGAATAAAGTTAGCTGGCATTTTATGAGTACTGTGTTCCAGGCTCAGGTTTAAGTTCTATGTTCTTGTACATGTATCATCTCATTTAGTCCTTACAACAAAGGGCCTATAAGATAGTTTTCTTGTTGTAAAGCTGAGGAGACTATGTTCCAGAGAGGCTAAATAATTTGTCCAAGGTTACATAGCTGCTAAAATCTGGAGTCATTATTCAAACTCTAATGTCTGGCTTTAACACCCCCCTGAATTACTTGTGATCGTGCTTTCATTTTTTCTTCCTAGGTATTCCGTAACTAGGAGTTCATACTTCAGTACCTTCTCCATGCTCTTAGATTGCTACCATGTTGATTTAAATAGGCAGTTCTCTGGTCAGAAACTTTTAGTAATCATTTAGTATCCATCAGATGAAGTTTGGGCTCCTCAGCTTAGCCCTCCAAGACCTTTCATTATCTGCCCACCACCCACTTCTCCAGTCTTCCCTCACCTCCTCATCTACATTGTTTTTTAGCCAAAAAAAAGTTGGTGGCTGTGGCTCTCCCATCCTCCTTATCTCTGTTGTTCTGCTTGAGCTGTTCCATCCAGACTTGCTCTTTTCATCATTACATATAAAAATAGTTTCACTTTCAGAGTTAGTGATACTTCAATATATGACTATCACTTAGGTGATTTACAAATCCAAGCAAAGAATAAGTGGTGTCCAGTGGATATTTAATGACATGGCATTAATTGTTCGGAGTCCTGTTTGTCCTTAGTCATTCCCCTACTGCTTGCTTACTTAGGTGGAACCAGAGAAACAAGTGTGGTATATTTCTTTTCTTTTCTTGCCTGCCGGCCCTCCCTCCCTTCTTCCTCCCATCCTTTTTTCCTTCTGTCATCCTGACATTCAATGGTGTGATATGTTTCTATCTTCCACAAAACCATAAAACCTAAAAACTGATAAGCCTAGCTGGCCAGGAACCAGTACATTGCACTTAGCCCCAGAGCTGGTAATTCACATTTCTAGGGACATCTTTGTTAAGCCGATACCTAGAAAAACGGTAATCTTACTAAATCCCAGGGTTATTTCTTACCTGCCAACCTGGAAACACCGTACTATGTGGGATGTAGTGCTGACACACCAAGGTAGAGGCCCTACTGCTCCTGGATCCTTGTGAAATTCTGCATGTGCTTCTCCACAGTAAGCGTGTTCAGTGTCTAGGATAGTGGGGTGAGGCTGCAGTCAACTGTATGCCAGCTGCAATTACTTGTTTTTCTGTCATACGATACTTCATTTAACCCCTAACAAGCCCTGCGGGATTGAAGAGACCTCAGTTTTACATTTCTGTTTTACATTAATCCGGCCAACAGATAGTTCTTGAGTGCCTGCAGCGTGCTGAGCACTATTCTAGATACTGGAGTCTGCTAGAAAACAAAGCCACGTCCCTCCCTTTATAGAGTTTACATTCTTGGTGAAAGAGTCAAACCATAGATAGTGAATTAAAATAAAGCAGATGAATTGAGAGCAACAGGAAAGTTATTTAAAATTGTGTTTCTGTATGACAGTAAACCTGCACATGTATTAACTCGTGTGGGATTGTAAAGCCCTTCATAATTGTTAAATATTATTTAATCCCACAGTGGCCTTGCAAGGTATTTATTATCTCTCCATTTCACAGATATGAAGAATTAAATTCAGAAAGGTAAACAAACTTATTCAGTGTCACACAGCTTGAAAATGATGGCACTAGGATCGGAACTCAGGTCATTATTACCCTCTAGGCTCTATTGCCTGTCATGAGCAATTTGAGAGAGTTTGCTCCCCTGTACTGATGAACTGTTACACTCCCAAGTGTCAATGAAGATGGAGAGTCTTCATGGGATTTGTCTGGCTCTCCCATTTTTCTTCACAACCAAAGAGTTCTTACCTGACCCAAGTCTGGGTTCATATGTCAGTACCTCATAGAAAGCTTTCCTGAGTACTTTAAGAAGATCTGGACTCTTCCTCCTCAGAGCTCTATAGTGCACTGTACATTTCTCTCTTATGCATAGTCCTAAAATAAATGTCATTGTGTTTTAGAAACCATCTTGTCCACAAAACCATGAACCCATTGCATGTAAAGACATGTTCTGTTTATCTCTTTATTGTCTGGGATATAAGTTTTGTAATTGTTTTTAAATAAATCCATGAATTCCTGAGTAAGGTATGGAGGTGTGCTGGGTCTTAGAGGAATGCATTCTGGGTAGCGGGAACCGACAGCAGAAAGGCAGGAATATTTGGACCGACCAGTGTCACTGGGGCTCTCAAGGGATTACCTGTAAGCTTGTCACTGTAAATTGTTCTTGATTTTTTCCTAGGAATCATTATAAATGGTTCTAGATTCCTTCCTAGGAGATGTTGGGCAGGGGTAGAGAGGATAACCAACAGAAAAAGCGAGGATCTAGATAACTTTAGGACAGTTTGTCGCTCTTTGTGGGTCTCTCTTGTTGGCAAATAAAGCAATATCCTTACATTCCGGAGAGAAGATACCAGGTACTTTTTCATATTTTGTTGCAAAATAAAGGTAGTTATTGGATCACCTTCAGTAAGATTGCAGTGACAGTTGATGTTGAATATATGAACAGTGTATCTTTGAAATTCACACAGTATTTCTCTACAAAAATAAGTGTAAGATTAACAGAGATTTATAAAAATATCTAACAGAACAACATGTGTCCCTGCCTGTATTGTTCTGAGAACCTGTAGAAGTCTTTTTTTTAAGCCTAATTATTAAGTTATAAGGAAACTTGTGCTTGTTGTGGAGCTCGGGTACAACTTGGAACATATCTGAAAGTCAGGTGCTGCAGTCTATCATAAGGGACCTGTAAGTATGCTGAAAGAGGAGGTGTGGCCTCTGTGGGGAGGGAGTGCTTAACCAATGGTTGTGTGGGTTAAAATTACCCTAGAAATCAGGTATTTCCAAATCAATGAGTAAAGCTGTATTTTAAATATTTTGAAGGTATAAACTTGGGGGTTTTGTTTGGTGGATTATTGTGTTTGGGTTTTTTTTTCTTTTTCTTTTCTAAAATAACGAAGCCCTTGATCAAGCAGTAAAACCTTAATTATGACCAGAAGTACAAGATAACACATGATAGTAATACCATTGCATTATGCACATGGCTCTTGTTACATGTTTGGACTACACATGTGGCACTAGAGATAATACAAGTTTTCTCATTTGTATCTCTGTCATGTACACCAATGCAGTGATCTTTTTCAAATGCTTGGTTTGATTGTCTCTAAGCCCTTCATGCTAAAGGGCAATTATACTACTTTGTGATAGTTTTTTTCCCCCCACTTTGTCACCCAGGCTGGAATGCAGTGGTGTGATCTTGGCTCACTGCAACCTCCGCCTCCCAGGTTCAAGCCTCCTGCCTCTGCCTCTGCCTCCCGAGTAGGTGGGACTACAGTTGTGCACCACCACGCCTAGCTAGTTTTTGTATTTTTAGTAGAGATGGGGTTTCACAACGTTGGCCAGGCTGATCTCGAAGTCTTGACCTCAGGTGATCCACCCACCTCGGCCTTCCAAAGTGCTGGAATTAAAATTAGTCGTGAGCCACCACGCCTGGCCCTTTGTGATACTTTTTCAGTATTTGTTGCAATTTAAATAAATTTTTAATTTTCTAACATTATTTTGGTTCAGTTGTTTATCATGCAACATAATTTCCTTTATTCAAGATTACTTTTAGGTTTTTCAGGTTAGTGACTGGAAATTATTCTGAACTATTAAAACATTTAATGAAATAAATGTTATTTGTATTTTGTATTAAGCTGCTTCATTACAAATTCTAAAACAGCTCACTTGTATATGCAAAGGTGGTTTGTAAACTGTAAAGTTCTATAAAATATAAGGTGGTATAGTCTATAATAATTACTGCATTTTATCTCTTTCTGTGTGGTCTCTGATACACTAGATTTGTTACCTATTCATGACTATGCCACTTATAAATACAGGTAGTTATTTACATATGCATGTGTCTTAGAGATCATGCCTGGCCCATCCACAGGCATCATTTTGTTTAAACCTCATGAGAGTCTTCGTAATATTTTCACTTTACACATAAAGAAATAAAGACACTCGGAGCTGAAGTGGTTTGGCCAAGTTCACATAGCTAGTAAGTAATAGCCTGATGGAAATCTTGATCTTGGACTAGAAGGTTTGTTCTCTTTACATTAGACCATATTGACTCATTTCTTTCTTTTTTCTGGAGACATGGTCTCCCTCTGTCACCCAGGCTGGATTGCAGTGGCTTGATCTCAGCTCACTGCAGCTCAACCTCCTGGGCTCAAGTGATCCTCCTGCCTTAGCTTCCCAAGTAGCTGGGACTACAGGTGTGCGCCACCATGCCCAGCAAATTTTTGTATTTTTTTTGTAGAGACGGGGTCTCCCTATGTTGCCCAGGCTGGTCTCAAACTCCTGGGCTCAAGCGACCTGCCTGCCTCTGCCTCCGAAAGTGCTGGGATTACAGGTGTGAGCCACTGCACCTAGCCTATGTTGAC
Organism: Homo sapiens; assembly: GCF_000001405.40. Taxonomy (NCBI): domain Eukaryota; kingdom Metazoa; phylum Chordata; class Mammalia; order Primates; family Hominidae; genus Homo; species Homo sapiens. The sequence continues at coordinate 140,782,947 of NC_000008.11, read as the reverse complement.
TCATTTCTAAAGCTTGATAATATAAATGTGTGGAAGGAAATAATACTTTGAAAGAGTTTGCGTGTGATTCCATTAAGGTTTTTTCCCCTCATTTATTAGGAATAGGATAGTGCTGACTCAGTTCCAACTCTCAGAAGTGTGCCCTGTATTCAAGTTTGAAAAAGGTTCTTCTGTCTAGTTTTACACTCTAGTTTCAATTTTGATAATGCTGTGGGTTTCCAAGGTAGTCTCTATCTGTTGCTGAAAGCTTGATTTAAATGCTAGCTTTTAGGAATTAAAAGGGGAAAGAAAAGAAAAAAAAAAACCTTGCCCTAATTTGAGAGCATTGTCACCTATTATATAAGTAGTTCATTTTTTTCCCTACCAAATCTACGGGACACTGAAAAAATTAAAAAGTAAAACTAAATTTAGGCCAGGCACAGTGCCTCACGCCTGTAGTCCTAGCACTTTGGAAGGCCAAGGCAGGCAGATTACTTGAGCCCAAGAGTTTGAGACCAGCCTGGGCAACATGGTGAAACCCTGTCTCTACAAAAACTGTAGCCAGGCGTGGAGGCGTGTGCCCATAGTCCCAGCTACTCAGAAGGCTGAGGTAGGAGGATCTCTTGACCCTGGGATTTGGAGGTTGCAGTGAGCTGAGATCACCCCACTGTACTCCATTCTGGGTGACAAAGAGAGGACCCTGTCCCCCCCCCCAAAAAAAAAAACAACCAAATTTTAAAAGATAAATTCATTTTTGTAAATTATATGCTTTGTGACATAATTTAATCAAATTAATGCTACTAATAATTTTTATGTGCACAAAGTAGTAGGTATTGAATGTTATTGATCTGTTCCTAGTACCTGGCTCACTGGAAATTATTCTGGTAGTCAGTCTGGTATTAGGAGAGACTCCAAACCACTGAGAAGCGTACAGTTGTCACTGACTTCATATGGATAGACTGGCTGATCGTGTTGTGCATGAATAAGGAAGTGAACAATCAAAATAGCCCAGCTGTGCTGCCTTCTTTCCGATAGCCCTCCCTCTCCCACCATTACATCATTCGAACTCCCTTTGCCACTGTTGAGATCGGGGTGTTCTTCGTAGTCATACCGTTTCTTCTCTGGGTTCTAAAGCAGTTGAAAAGAATACTTGGAGGTCATATAGGTTTTGAAATATCAGCATCGTATGTTGTAAAGAAGTATCCTGAAAAAGGACCCGGAACCACTCCTTCACCCTTGAGCTGAACTCGTCTCAGCTGCAGGCAGTGCAGACAGTGCAGACAGAAACTCACAGACCTCCCTGGCAAGGGGTAGCCTGAGGCACTTTCAAATTTTTAAAAAGGCCAAATGAAAAGCTGAGCAATAATGAGTACAACAAAAATTTAAAGTGGATTTTTGTTTTTATAAACTCTTCCCAGCCCACAGAAATCCAGCTCAGTCTTATAAATTTTGTTTCCAGAAGAGAGTATTCCCATCTTCTCCCAAGCAGCCCCCACGCTATAAAGGGGAAAAGACTATATGAGAGTATTAGAAACAAAAATGTATTTTTGTCTTTATAAAATAAATGCTTCACAGTTGGCAGTATTGGGTATACTTGGCTTATGAACCATCTTGATCCTCTGGCGAAACTTATTAACAATAATTAATAAACTTCTCAATCTTTTTAAAAAAATATATTATTAAAACACAAAAAGCCCAAGTATCATCATCTTACCAAATATAAAATAAATATTGCTAACATCAAAAGGCCCAGTTATTTTTTTCTTTGCAGAAAATAATTTTAAAGGGAATGCTTGAAAGTTTAAAATATAAATTCTAGAGTTTGACCTCAAGTCTTCCCCCACCCCGTTTGTAGCTTATAGCTATACAATAATTGTGGATTAAAATCAAACTGCATGAGTCAAGACAAAATATTTTTGATGCCTTTACAAAGAGGAGACCATGGAAATGAATAAATATTAAGTACCTACTATGCTTTTGAATTTTGAGTTTTTAAAACTTTTTATGGAAAATTTCAAGCATATACAGAAAAGAGAGAATAGAATTGTATCATGATTTTTCGTATCATCATCACCCAGATTCAGCAACTAAAAACTTCTGGCCAATTTTATTTCACCTCTGCCTCTGTCCACTTACATACACACATAATCCCTATTGGTTATTCTAAAGCAAATCGAAGGCATATTTCACCTGTAACTATTCCTAAAAGATGAGACTTTTTTTACAAAACATTATCAGCTATCCAGTCAGTGTTCAAATATCCCTGATTGTCCCATTTTCATATGTGGTTTCGTCTAAACAAGAATCAGACAAGAAGTACTTTGTGAATTTGCTTGAGTATCTCCTGTATGTGTCAGCTAGACCTTGTTGGTTGATTGTTACTAGTTGCAATTACTCTGTTGAAGAAATTGTGTCCCTTGTCCTATTCTCATATTCTGGATTAGGCTGATTACATCTCTGTGATGCTGTCTTGTTTAACCTATTCTTTTCTGGCCCGTTTATTTCCCATCAGCTGCTTGTTAGAACCTAAAGAAGTTTGATCCAGTTTGGGCTTGATTCCCCCCCTCCCCACAACAAGAATACTTCTTAGGTGATGTACATCTGGTTGTTCTTTGTGATGTTAAGACTAATCAATGGGTTTAGGTCCCATCACTCTCTGATCCATACATGAGAACGTTCCCATGAGCATTTCACCTAATAGTTTTAGCAGCTGTTGACATTAATGCTTAGATTTCATCAGAGGCCACAAAATGGCACCCTGTGAATCCTGTCATTTCTTCTCCCTTTGTTTAGCTGGAATGCTTCTAGAGACAGCGTTCCCTCACCAGCTGCTTCATTACCCTCGGGAGCAGGCTTCTCCTGGGAAGACAGGAACTGCCTTTTTCTTTTCCTTTATTTACCAGTTTTTAAAATAGTAAATTATACCTTGCTAGTCAGATGTCATTCTTTGAGATTTTCTTTTTAAAATATCAGTATGAATTTGTGTGTTTTTCACATTGTTGGAATAGGAGGTTCCCCCATGACCACCCCAGGTTGGATGATTACTGGGAAACCTGTTTGCTGGAACACAGAGTTCGGTAGTGTTCAGCTTTGTCAGCACCACACCCTCATGCCCAAGGAGAAGAATAGAATTGAGAGGTATGGTCAAAGGAAAATATCGCCTTACTTATGTAACTAGAAATAAAAAGGAAAATGCTGATCCAGTTGGACTAATCTCATTATGCTCTTTATCCCTATTCATACCTGTTCCTCCAGAAGCCCCAGACTCCCTTGTTGCTGGCATACCCTCTGCATACCCTCTGTTTTGTCTTTATTGCTCAGTTTCCCCCAACTTCTAAAACACTACACCTCTGTCTTCTGGGACTTCTCTATATATTCCTCTTTGTCACCTTCCTCTAACTAAAACTCTGGAGGGCACTGATACCCCTTGGTGCCTCTGTAACCCTACTGATGGTGTCTGAGAACCATGGTAGCACTAGGACTGGAGATGAGGTAAGGGTGCCCTGATTCTCATTGCCCCTTCCAGACTACTCTCCCTCAAAAACATGAGCTTTGAATCTCACATATCAGAACAAGGCTGTCCTATGTTCCTCAAAGTTCTGAGCACCCAGTTCACTGTCAGTGCTCCAGCATCCCCCATCGTAGTTTGGGAGGATTTCAATATTCATGGTAGGCAATTCCTCCAGCATGTCTTCTTTTTTTTTTTTTCTTTTTTTTTTTTTTCCATCGCCCAGGCTGGAGTGCAGTGGTGGGATTTCGGCTCACTGCAACCTCTGCCTCCCAGTTTCAAGCTATTCTCCTGCCTCAGCCTCCCGAGTAGCTGGGATTACAGGTGTGCGCCACCACACTCAGCTAATTTTTTTTATTTTTAGTAGCGACGGGGTTTCACCATGTTGACCAGGCTGGTCTCAAACTCCTGACCTCAAGTGATCTGCCCTCCTTGGCCTCCCAAAGTGCTGGGATTACAGGTGTGACCCACTGTGCCCAGCCCCAGCACCTCTTCTCTCCATTCTTCCAGTGGTGCTGTCTGCTATTTCTCTTTCCTGTGAGACCTACACTTTATCTACAACTATAACTCTCCTATAATTTCAATTTTAAGAAAACCCTCTCTGACTGCCACCTCCAATTTTTCTAGCTTGTCCTTGATCCCATCCCCATTCTGCTGTCTACATCACATTTTTTTGTCTTCTCTGGTTTCTTAACAAGCCTAAAACCCCTGATCAATAATTGTATCCTTCCCTGGCCTACATCCCCATCATCTCTGCCCTACTCGTTTGTTTGGTTTTAACTCACTTGGCCAAGTTAAAGCCAGCTCGTTCTGTCCCATGTCTGCTGTAGCACAACTGAACCGTAAAGCGAATAGCACAACCACATTGCTTTGGTCTTGCTTTCAATTCCATCTCACAGCCACTTTGAACCTTTCCTTAAACCTCCAGCATTTGCCAGCCATAAGTGCTGCCTGCCTTGATCTCACAATAGATGACTTGTCCTCACCCAGTTAGATCTACTACTTTTTTTGAGACAGAGCCCCTCTCTGTCACCCAGGCTGGAGTGCAGTGGTGCGATCTCGGCTTACTGCAATCTCCGCTTCCCGGGTTCAAGCAGTTCTTGTGCCTTAGCCTCCTGAGTAGCTGGAACTACAGATGCCTGGCTAATTTTTGTATTTTCGATAGAGACAGTATTTCTCCATGTTAGCTGGTCTCAAACTCCTGGCCTCAAGTGGTCCATGTGCCTCAGCCTCCCAAAGTGCTGGGATTACAGGCATGAGCCACCAGGCCCAGCCCAATTAAGTCTAATTTGTTACCAGTCTACCCTCTATCACTTGTTACCTGGTCAGGAATTTTCCCTGCTCTACTACTGTTAGTTTTTTTTCCCAACGTGCAGCAAGCCAATCATTGTGGCAACAGGTTTTGCCAAAGGGGAAAGATCTCATTCCCAAGGCTGCCGTGTGAGGAGATGAGAGAACAAATGTCAAATATGCCTCTCCAAAGATGAAGTTTTAGGGATATTTATGGGATAGAGGAGCAGGGCAGTTGAAGGCATGGGAAAAAGTGATTGGGTATAAGGAAAAGTGAGTTAATAAGTGATCTGCCCACACATAGTCAGGCTTCCTGACTCTTCATAGAACGCGTGTTCAGAAAATGGTAGCATTACCCTGATCTGAGGGAAGAGTTTTCAGCTCTCTGATGTCATATGGTCATCTCTCCTGCATTGGCATAAGCCCATTTGAAGGATTGGTGGCCTCAAGCTGCTTGAGCGGGACAAGAGCTGCCCCCTACTTCCTGAAAAACAACTTAAAGCACCCATTACTGCAGTGACCTACAGGAAGCTAATGGGAGTTTAGTTATGGATTGTCTGGCTATTTGACTTGCTAGTGGGAGTTTTTAGATCTAAGCGACTAAAAGCAACTGATATCATTTGGATATTTGTCCCTGCCCAAATCTCATGTTGAAATGTAATCCCCAGTTTTGGAGGTGGGGCCTGGTGGATGGTGCTTGAATCATGAGGCAGATCCCTTATGAATGGCGTGGGCCGTTCCTTTGGTGATGAGTGAGCTCTGGCTCTTAGTTCACATTAGAACCTGGTCCTTTGAAGTATGTGGCTTTTCCCCACCCCACCCCTTGCTCTTGCTTTTGCTGTGTGATGTGCCTGCTCCCTCTTCACCTTCTGCCATGATTGTAAGCTTCCTGAGGCCTCCCCAGAAGCCAAAAAGATGTCAGCACCATGCTTTCCATGAAGCTGGCAGAACTGTGAACCAATTAAAACGTCTTTTCTTTATAAATTACCCAGTCTCCGGTATTTCTTGATAGCAATACAATAATGGCCTAATACAGCAAACAAGGCAGGTTAAGTTTGGCAGGCTTAATCAGGTTAGCTCTGGTTTCATTAGCACATCACCCACTGTGGTTTCCCCGCCTTAGTAGCCCCCTTCTGACATCACTGGTCCGCTTATGATAGAAGAACTCTTTATGTGAGTTATTGCGATTCAGTGTTGCTCCTTATTGAAATTGCCCTGCTTTTGCTTCCAGAATACCATATTCTTCCTACTTCACTCATTATTCAGCACTTCGCGCCTGAGGATCCCAGGACTCAGTTCTTCTGACACTTTGTGTCAGCCACAGTCACACCCTTGGGGATCTCATTGTGTTTCATGACTTAATTATGCTGCTGACTCTCAGATTGTTATCTTAGTTTTTCAGACTTCTTTCTTGAACTCCAGACCCGTGGCCACTATGTTCTCGCCATGTGGAATCTGATGTCTCATAAGCATTTCAGACTTAATATACTCAAAAGGAACTGATATTCACGCCAAGCCTGCTTCTCTCCCCTTCTCCACTCACTAAATGGCACTACTTTCCTTCTGGCTGGTCAGATTATCCTTGGGGTTATTTTTGATGCTATTCTTTGTTTTCTTCTCCCATATCCAATCTATTAACAAATCCAAATTGCTCCTGCAAATAAACTCTGTACTTATATTAATTTTGCCTAAGTTTTTTCCTTTAGGGTTTACACTGGGAATATATTTAGAAGACCAAGTCATAGATTGAAGTTGTCCTATATAGGTACTCTGATTAGCAGCAATTACAAGTGGATTTGTAAAGGAAAAAAGAACAGACAGTTCTTAAATTGTTTACCAAAAATTGGCATTAAAATAATGTAACTATTGGCCAGGTATGGTGGCTCACACCTTTAATGCCAGCTCTTTGAGAGGCCGAGGCGGGCGGATCACCTGAGGTCAGAAATTCCAGACCAGCCTGGCCAACATGGTGAAACCTGTCTCTATTAAAAATATAAAAATTAACCAGGTGTGGTGGCGGATGCCTGTAATCCCAGCCACTGGGGAGGCTTAGGCACGAGAATCACTTGAACCTGGGAGCCGGAGGTTATAGTAAGCAAGATCACGCCACTGCACTCCAGCCTGGATGGACACAGCAAGACTCTCTCAATGAGAATAATAATAATAATAAACTATTGATTGTCCATTGTTCTTTATATCACAGATTCCAGGAATGTGAAGATAATATTTTAGTGGTTTAGGTGCAGGGGCGAAGATACCCTTAAAAATGGTAATTTCCTTTATAGGTGTAAATTTCTCTGACAGAGGATTTCAAAATAAGCAGCTAAATGTCAGAAAGTTGTATTTTGGAGACTGATTTATTTTGATAGGTGTCCTTTTCAACTTAGCTTGTTTTTTAATTAGATTACTGACTTCAAGTTGGAGCCCTTTAATGAACTGGGCAAATAAAGCATTTGCAGTTTTCAGGGCCTAGTATTTAAATATTTGAAAAGCAGGCATAGCTGGAAGGCCCAGCATAAAAATCAAGGGCCTGGTATGGTGGCTCACACCTATAGTCCCAGCACTTCAGGGAGGCCGAGGCAGGCAGATTTCTTGAGCCCAGGAGTTAGAGACCAGCATGGGCAACATAGCAAAACCCCGTCTTAAAAAAAATCAAGGACCCCACTTTTTGTTTTTGTTTTTTTTTAAGGCAGGGTCTCACTCCGTTGTCCAGACTGGAGTGCAGTGGCGTGATCTTGGCTCACTGCAACCTCCATCTCCCGGGCTCAAACAGTTCTCACACCTCACCCTCCCAAGTAGCTATGACTACAAGCACACACCACCACGCCTGACTAGCTTTTGTATTTTTGTAAAGAGAGTATTTTGCCATGTTTCCCAGGCTGGTCTCCCAACTCCAGAGCTCAGGTGATCTGCCCACCTCTGCCTCCCCTAGTGCTGGGATTACAGGCATGAGCCACCATGCCTGGTTCCCACTTTTACATTGAATCCTGGTTCCCCCGAAAGAGGGAAATACCATGGTGTTACCTGAAAGGAGTTCTGATCCAGACCCCAAGAGAGGGTTCTTGGATCTGGCTGAAGAAAGAAGTTGAGGCAAATCCATAGGGTAAAATGAAAGCAAAGGAATAAAAGAATGGCTACTCCATAGGCAGAGCAGCAGTGTGGGCTGCTGGACTAAGGATACTTACAGTTATTTCTTGATTATATTCTAAACAAGGGGTGGATTATTAGTGAGTTTTCTGGGAAAGAGGTGGGCAATTCCCAGAACTGAGGGTTCCTCCCCTTTTTAGACCATACAGAGTAACTTCCTGACCTTGCCATGGCATTTGTAAACTGTCCTGGCATTGGTGGGAGTGTCTTTTAGCATGCTAATGCATTATAATTAGCATATAGTAAGCAGTGAAGATGACTGGAGGTCACTTTTGTCACCATCTTGGTTTTGGTGGGTTTTGGCCAGCATCTTTACCACAAGCTGTTTTATCAGCAAGGTCTTTATTATGACTTGTATCTTCTATCAACCTCCTGTCTCATCCTGTGACTTAGAATTCCTGACCTCTTGGGAACGCAGCCCAGTAGGTCTCAGTCTTATTTTACCGAGCCCCTATTCAAGATGGAGTTGTTCTGGGTCGGATGCCTCTGATAATAGGACCACGCTACACAATGTTCCACAGTGTTCCATGCTGGAGAGACACTCCTGTGATGCTGATGGGTGACCCAACACCAATCAGCCCATTCTGCCATCTTCCATAGGAGTCTTACCCGTTGGTGGTGAGTGTTTCCTTAGCCTCCAAGTGTTCAAACTGCTTTTCTTATCTAAATGTGTAGAGAAGTAAGTAGCCCTCTGCAGTTATAACCATTCACTGTGACCACTGTCAGCCACTCCAAAACTGCAGCTTTTGCTGGTGACTTGCCAATTGATCACACATTGCCACACATACAAAGTTCAAGTTCTCCCTCACAGTATGGAGTAATCCCTGTACCGCAAAAGCCAAAGAGAACAAGTAACTCAGTACAAAAGAGAGCAGAGAATGAGAAGAGTGACATCGTCTGTCATTTTTCAAAGGCTTCCTGGGAGCCTTCTAAAAGGGAATAGGTAGGATTGCAGTAAGCTAGTTGAGACTGAGGTAAATCTGAACCAGCGTAATCACATAGAAAGTTGGACTGGTGAGAAAGGAAAAGCTGCTCAGAGCAGCCTGAGGTATGTGAGGTCTGCAAAATTTATCAGTCCCAGAGAGGCAGGAGTATGGGGCTTCAGTCATGCCCTCCTCACCCCTATCCTGCACCCGGGCCCGGAGCAATTGTTGAAAGGCATTTTTTTCTTGACTAGTGGCCTTACCCATTATCTTCACATTCCTAGAATTTGTGAAACAATGTAGGAACTCTCTCTTTTCCTTTAAAAGGAAACAATATTCTGAATGACTCTTGACATCATTTAGAATAAAAGCCAGTGCCCTTACCAGGAGCTAAGAGGTCTTAGACACTCTGGGACCTCACTGAGTGCATCTCAGTGCCACCTCCCCCTTCCCACTCCCAACTCTTCATCCACCTCACCTGACCTCCCTGCTGCTCCTCAGCACGTGTTCACACTGACCTCTGCAGAGCCAAGGCCTGTGTGTGTGCTGCCTGGCCTCCCCTGATGTGTGCATGGCCCTTTCCCTCTCCTCCTGGAAGTCTTTGCAGATGACTCCCTCCATAATCACCATATTTAAAATGGTAGCCCCACTTGAAAATATTCCTTCTGCTGGTTTTTCCCTAGCACTTACATGTTGACATGCCATAAAATTTACTTATTTTATCTTCCTTCTCCCTTACTAGAACGTAAGCTCAATAATTTGAAAGTTTGGGTTTCTATTTTGTTCACTGTTCTAACTCCAGCACCTACATGGTATGCCTAGTTTATGGCAGGTGTTCAATAATTAAAATGATTATCTTGAATACAATAAAAGTCCTAATCCTTTTTGTTTTTGTTTTTATGATGTGTGATAATATTCTTGGTATTACTCAAAAAGAGTTGTACTTTTTTAAAAAATTCACTTTTTAAGTTAGTATAAAGAATATTCAGTCCAGTTTAGAAATGAACAGTAGAAAAGTAAGAAGAGCTAGCACTTGTGGAGTGGTCACTCTGTTCTGGGTGCCCAGAGAATCCCATGGAATCCTTTCCCAACCTCCTTAATGGAGGTAGCTTCTGTTATAACCCCATTTTACAATAAGAAAACTAAGCAACAGAAGTTGAGCAGTGTATCCAAGGTCAGAATGAATAATTGAGCCAGTATTTGAATCCAAACTGTCTGGCCCCAGAGCTAGTGTTCCATATATCTTTTATTTTTCTGTAACTTTACGCTTGGAGAATAGTTGTAAGAATAGTAACGTGATGTCTCATATGTTCTTTCCTCCATTTCACTATATTTATATTTTGGCTCACTTGCTTTATCACTCTATGGGTTTTTTGTTGTTGTTGTTGTTGTTAGTTTTTTCCTTGAACCATGTGAAAACAAGTTACAGACATGGTGCTGCTTATAAACATTTCAGTGTGTGTTTAAGACCAAAGATATCATCTTATGTGATCAGAGTATAATTATCAAAATCAGGAAATTTAATACTGAAGAAATGCTCTTATCCGCAGTCTAAATTATTTCATACCAGTAATGTTCCGTATCGCTGTTGCTTCCTGATCTTTCCCTTCCCCAGCCTCCAGTCCAGAATTCATCCTGCATCACACAGTGCATCCAGTTGTCAGGCCCATCTTGGCGAGACAGGGTCTCCCTCTGTCGCCAGGCTGGAGTTCAGAGGCTCTGCTTCTGTGGTCCAGGCTCTACCTCCTGGCTCCAGCAGTCCTCCCAACTCAGCCTCCTCAATAGCTGGGCCCACGGGTACGTGACTCCACACCTGGCTAATTTTTGAATTTTTTTGTAGAGACAGGGTCTTGCTATGTTACACAGGCTGGCAGGCCCATCTTCTTAACTGAGAGACCAGTTTATGCTTTCCTCTAGGGCCATCATATACAAAGTCCAGAAATTTAGTGTGTGTAAAGGTAGCTTTTAAGTCAAGCAATAAGATGAAATTGTCAGTAAATGTTACTGGGATCGGCCGGGCGCGGTGGCTTATGCCTGTAATCACAACACTTTGGGAGGCCAGTGTGCGCAGATCACCTGAGGTCAGGAATTTGAGACCAACCTAGCCAACATGGTGAAACCCTGACTCTACTAAAAAAAAAAAAAATACAAAAATTAGCTGGGCTTGGTAGCAGGCGCCTGTAATCCCAGCTACGCGGGAGGCTGAAGCAGGAGAATCGCTTGAACCCGGAGGCAGAGGTTGCAGTGAGCCAAGATCGTGCCATTGCACTCCAGCTTGGGGGAGAAGAGCGAGACTTTGTCTCAAAAAAAAAAAAAAAAAATGTTAATAGGATCAAAGCATACCGTTTGAAAAATATTACTGAAGTGTACATTTCTGTTCTCATTTCTGTTGCTAATATATTGACAATGTCAATAAGATTGTTACCATCTTGATGGGCAAACAGTCCTGACCCTTGTTCTTGGGTCCATACTTCTGATCTTTCTTTATGATACCCCGTGAGTATGCAGTTAAATGTTGATGTTACCTGTGTCTGTCATTTGTTAATGACTGCTGCATCTTAAAGGGCTACATCCCTGCATCCCTGGCTTTGACTTCACTTTCACACTTGTCCACTATTGCCATTACCATACTGCAGTTGCTGCTTATTTTCTCATTTTGCTATATGCTTCTGGAGAGCTGAGATGTGTTTTATCGATCCAGCTTTTTGACTCTAAAATGAGCTTTGAGTACATGAATGAGTGAGCAAATGAATCCGTAATGCTAGTAGAGGTTTTGCAACCTGTGTTTTCAAAGATCCTCATCGCCAGTTTTTATGTTAAGGTAATTTATGTAAAGTATATAACTCAAGAGCTGTGAGTGTGTCTTTGCTAATGATTTGGGGAAAGTTGTTCGTAAAACTCTTTCACAAATGAAGATCTGCTATTTTTCTGCTATGGTTGAATGTTAAATGTTCACAAGAGTCTTGAATTATTTATTGGTCTTTGTTTTTTCCTGTGACTGTTGTCATTTGGAAAAATATCTGAATATTCAACTGGCTGGCTCTACAGAGCTGGGAGATTCTTACGTCTTGTTTCTGTATCAAGTGCTAATCTACAGGAAATTAAATTTAAAAATATTAGTATGTTTTTTAAAACTCAAGTCAATCATAGTAAGAAATAAGGCATGCCAATAGTCAAAATAAAAGCATTGCAATTTTGTATCTGTTTTTATAGATAAGCCTTTAAATGTAACAAAAGTTGTCTTTTGTATTGAAATAATTTGTTTCTATTTTTCTCTTTCCCCTCTTGCCTCTTTATAAAGGAGTCAGTCACTGCCAACATAAAGTTAAGAAAGCTAGGCGCTTTCTCCCTTTGGTCTTCTGTTCCCATGATCCTCCTTCTACGGGTACTGCACTCATATTTGCACAGGCTCTCCTATTAACCAGAGCACTCCAGAGAAACTAACTCTAACCTGATGCTTATAGATTATCCTGAACAGATCATAGCTTTATTGAATATTAGTGTATGTGCTGTTCATTGTTCAGAAGCAATAAGGGGATTGGGGTGGGGGCAAGGTTTTATGTCACTGTTTTTGGGTTACTCTCTTGAATACAAGATTTTTTGTTTGCCTGTTTGCTGGTTTTTAAATGCATGACAGGGCAAGAAGTCGCTTCTCAGTTTCATTTGTGTTGTTTGAGTGTTTTCCCACAGAGGTCAGCAGGATCACACTTTTTGCATCATGGATTTCCTAATATAGCATGCAACTGAATGAAGGAGAATGGCCAAAGTGACTCCCTAGTTGTCTGCTTTTCATGCTTTGGGGACAGATATTTAGGGCTGCTGCATAGTAGAGGCAGCTATGCCATTTGGAGCATTTTCTAGGAAAGCAAAGATTATTTATAATAATTGAAACAGTAATTTCTCCAGACTATTCAAAACAAAATTTATTCTGTGCAAACTTAAATGGGAACCTTCGTTGTCAGCAGAGCTTCAAGTACTGCACTCCCCACAGTTTATAGTAGTGGGCCTGGCCTATGTCTACCTTATAATATTTAAATCCCACTGGCTTATTGGAATGGGCTTGCTGAGGGCTTATTCTCTTCTTGTAACTAAACATACAGATTAATGACTAGTTTGTTTGCATTTTTATCTGAGGGGACACAAGTTCCCTTTGAGGAAGGTAGAAACCATTTTTAAAATTTAATTGTAAGAGGCAGTCAAATTAACTTTGCTTAGTGTGGCAGAATCCAGTTTACACTCTGTAATACTTTAGCTGTGTAACTTCATGTAATACATTGACAGCTTTAAACTTAGCATTATGCCCTCAAATTCAAGTAAACATACTACCACTACAGTCTTTCTTTATCTTTTGAATTAAACCCTGGGGGGTAATTGTTTTTTATTTTTCTTACACTTTGGTTTACTTGTCATTTTAATAGTGTTTTCCCCTCTCTTCCCTCTTCTCCTTCCTATGTCTCCCTCCCTCTGTTCCCTACTTCCCTTTCTTTGCATGCCACCCGGATCTGCAGATGAAATTAGTGGGGACGGTAATATTTATTTTCACATTTGTGTTACTGCTATGAGATAATTATTTATGAAAATAAATATAGTTTAGTATTTAATGAAAGGCAAAATGTGCTTTTGATCCAACAGAACCAAGTACAAAATGGTATGCAAAATATTTTAAAAATTGCTTAGGGCTTTGGCATGGAAAGGATAACTATCAATTTCTTAATCACATTTTAGTGGTAAGTTTGAGTTGTATGTATTCCTAGTAAATTTCCTAGATTTCATTATTAAAACTTTGAGAGTTCTTAAAAAATGTCAAAAGCAAAATTAGTAACACTTGAAAGCTGTAAATGGTAGCGGTCCATACACTCTGTTTCCCAAGTGTGGTATCTGTGTGATAATTCTTAGTTTGGGAATGAGATAGTAGAAAGGAAAGAATGAAAAATGATTTTAAAGACTCACAGAAACTAACGGAATTAGGGAAATATCAGCAATAATGATAATTGGTTTTTCAAATAGTTGATAGCACTTAAGGTAGAAATTTAAAAATTTTAAATCACATTCTATGTCTTACATTTCCCATCTACTTCATATACTGCTTGCATGAAACTTTATCCTCCTTTATACTAAAGGAGTAAGATTTTATAAACTAAAATTAAGAAGGAATTGTATTTTTTTCCTCCTGATTAAATGAAAGAATGCTTTTACTGAAGATTTCACCTATGTTCATTTTTGTAATAGGATAGAGATATTGATAACGAGTATAACGAGCTAAGCAGTTTCAGTAAAAGGTCTTAAAAGTGCGTGTTTTTCACAGGATTTGAGGTCAGAGATTTGAGCTTCATTTTTAGATTAATTCTGTGATAATAATCAATTAGCAGCTGCAATTCATCTAGAGCTTTCTGCATGTGACACTTTACTGACTTGATTCCTAATTCTCACAGCAGTCATTCAGAATATCACTGGGTATTGTCCTCACTGTTTTGCAGGTGAGGAAAGTGATAATCAGAGGATTAAGAGAGACTCTAAGGCTGCTAGAGGCAAGTGGTCAGGTCTTAGGCTCCAGCCTTGCCCTTTTTCCACTGCCCCATCCAGTCAGCAGCTGACTAGCTGAGGGATTACAAGCAAATTGCTTCATCTCTTGGGTCTTCATCTGGGAAAGGTCTCAAGTGGTTGTTGTGAGGATTACTCTGTAAGCATCAAAATTTAGATAAATGTCTGCAAACACTTGTATGTATTTTCCCACCTATGAATTTCTCAATACTATGAATTAGCCAGGGCAAGTGTACTTAACCCATTTTACAGGTGAATAAGCTGAGCCTTAAGGGTAGTCACTTGGTCTTGGTCAGTAAGGCCCATGGACCAAATATGGCCCACCTGTTTTTGTATGCTACCGTTTCTTGCCTGTGAAATAGGGATGGTGATCATAGTACAACTTCAAATAATTTTGCTGAGGATTAAATGACAATATATGTAATTATTTACAACAGCATCTAGTATATGGTAAGCTCCCAATAATATGATTAGTAGTCAATGTCATTATTAAATATAGAATGCAGACCTAGCTTCATTTGTGCCCAGGCCTTTGAACTTGTTTCCTTTTTTCTTTGTATTTTCCTTATCTTTTGAATTAACCCTTGGGGGGTAATTTTTCTGTTTTCCTTAAACTATGTTACACTAACATGTGGAGGGCCCAGGAAGTTTCAGACTGTACTCCAATTTTTAGGGCCCTTGAATATGTAAAAATACCTATCATATCAGTGTAATACTATCTTAACAATCCTAAAAACCAGGAAAGAAAAGCAAAATACAGCCAAATCAATGTCAAGAATTCTTGGGAAGGCTGGGTGCAGTGGCTCCTGCCTGTATTCTCAGCATTCTGGGATTACACTTGAGTCCAGGAGTTTGAGACCAGCGTGGGCAACATGGCAAAACCTCATCTCTACAAAAGGTACAAGAAATTAGCAGGCATGGCGGCGCGTGCCTGTAGTTCCAGCTATTTGGGAGGCTGAGTTGGGAGGATCACTTGAGCCCAGGAGGTGAAGGCTGCAGTGAGTCAAGATTGCACCACTGTACTCCACCCTAGGCGACAGAGCAAGAACCTGTCTTCAAAAAAAAAGGAATTCTTAGAAATATACACCAGATATTACCATACATATGAAACTCATATATAGAGGGTTATAAACTTTTGCAGATCATTTACCTGCAACATTGTTGATTTTACTCCATGAATTCTCTATTCACATTGCATCATAGTACACACACCTGCAACCCAAATATAAGTAATTCCTAGACAGCTTTGATACATCCC
This sequence comes from Homo sapiens, assembly GCF_000001405.40. NCBI lineage: Eukaryota > Metazoa > Chordata > Mammalia > Primates > Hominidae > Homo > Homo sapiens. Next base: position 140,767,301 of record NC_000008.11, on the reverse strand, counting down.
CAGAGATTTTATGTACAATTCATCCAGCTAAAAAAAAAAAAGAAAGAAATTTACAGGTTTTCTCTTGTGATTGTATGAATTAATTGAAATGTATGCAACATGATATTTTCCACAATGTGTGCTAGCCTGATATATATTAGCCTATTTATTTTACTCCTTCACAATTATTTTAGAGGTTGGTATCTCTACTGAGGATTTTATAAAATGAGACAGTCCTTGAAGGACTGCTGTCAAACCAAAAAGATTGGCTGAGAGTATCAGCACACAGGAATCCTAAATCCTCAACTGCCAGGTCCCTTTCAGAGAGCCCTCAGAAGAAGCAAAACAATCAGAGGAGTTACTGTTGCTTGATGATCTGTTATGTGTAGGGCACATCTCAACTTTCTGTCATGTCTCCTGTAATCCTCATAACAGTGCTACAAGGCAGATGATGTTATTTTACCCACGAGGGCACAGCTGAAGCATTGCCAGGTGAAGTGACTTTCCAAAGCTCAAGCAGTTTTCCCCAAATGGGCTTGTGTATTTTGTCACGTGTATTGCAGCTCTACCATTCACTTCTGTGCTGCCTCACACAGATTAAATCCTTTGCCTCAGTTTCTTAGGGGTATAGCGTTCCTTTACTGATTGTTGCAGTGCATTCATTCTTTTGGTTTAGCATGTGTTTCTTGAGGGACCTTCTCTGTGCTAGACACTGTTTTAGCTGCTGAGGACACAGTGTTGAGCAAGATACGTGAAGGTTCCACTCTGGTGGCTGTTCCATTCTAGAGAGGTGGGCATACAGTTCACAGGAAACAAAATTATATCAGGTTGTTATAGGTAATGAGGAAAATGAGTCAGGGAACATGATTAAGAACAGTGGGATGGGGGCAAATTAGTCTGAGGAGAGGTCTCTGAATAGGTGGCTAAAACCAGAATTGGCTCTAGGCCAGCATAAGCTTTGGTGCATGGTAAAGCCCTCAGTTGGAGGTCACTGCCACTGGTGTTAGCAGCAGCTTTATGCCCTTCTTCATTAAGGCAGTAGACACCTGTCACCTGATAGACTTGGGCTTCTGAACAGGCTTTTAATGAACTTTGCAGCCATATGAAGCTGTGGTGACAAGTGCAAAACATCTGCTTCGTAACACCATGAGCTACGTGCAGGGTTGTAGAGACTTTTCAGCAGTTTGGATAACAGGGCAGCTGGGGAAGGGAAGCAGAGGTGCAGAGTTTGAGTGGCTCTCCCAAAATCCTGCTGCAGCAGGGCCAATTCATGTGCTTTACTCCTAAAGGCACGTGCTTTATATGAAAGGAAGCAGTGAGGGTGCTAGGGCTGTTGTGTGGAAAGACAGCTTTAGTTGCATTCATTTTCTGAGGAGAGTATCACAAAGTTGAGCGTGTTAAACTATGGAATCAAAAGAGAAATGATTGCAAATGGCCATTTGTGTGGCTTCTGTTGCCTTAGCTGTTAGAGTAGATTCCTCCCCTGCTTAGTCTTTTTTGTTGCAAGTGTGTTAGCAGCTTCCTTCCGTCCCCAAATTTTCTTTCACAGGGTGTTTTGATAAGCCATCTTACACAGAAGCAGAGCTATAGGCCTACAGATGCCAATTTACTGTTCTTAGTATTTGCTGAAAACAGATTAAGAGGGAGAATACAGAAATAAAAGAATGTATGATTTGGAGTCTATTAAAACTTTTTTAATCTTTTAAGTATTCTTATAAACGTATAAGAATAATATAGATTATCTGCCTGTCATATAGGACTTAGGAATAGTTTACAGATAATAACTGTCTTAAAGAGAATTGATTTATTGGTGTTATAATCTGCTTCCCCAACTTTTTTTTTTACTGTAATCACTTTTAATGATGATTACATAATAAGAAGTGAATTCTTCCACTTGTAGATTTGATCTCAGTCATTACCATAGATGTGGAATGATTGATATCCCAGTGACTGTAAACCATATATATTCTCTATTTGCTTTGAATTCTGTACCTTTAATATCTGAATGCAGTAATAAGGCGTCACAGAAGAAAGAACTTGTAGCTTTTCGTTTCATTGGTGTTAAACAAGGATGCTAGGTCAAAGTATCAAAATAGAGCTCCTTGGAAATGATGCATCACAAAGTCCTGTCCCTGCTTTACTGACTCACAAGAATGGCCCAGCAGTTAAAATCCTTATACATGGAGCAGCTGAAGATTTTCGTTTTTCTAGAAAGAGAAAAAAGACAAGGCTGAAGTGATTTTTTCAGTATAGGTGTTACCACATGAGTGACTGTTTTCTTCAGATGGGTATTTTTAAATTTCCCATTAATATAGTGGTGGACTTTTAAGTTGGTGTATTACCCAAAAAGAGTAGGTAGATACATTGGAACTTCTTGACGTGATCTCAAAAAACCTCATTGTAATATGCTGCTTATTCTCCTTTTTTTCTTTGTAGATCTGCCCTTTTGACATTAATGCCTAAAATATCTGAGTTTAAAAGTTAGGAAACAAATTCCTGTTGCATTTCTCAACCCTGAGCAAATGGAATGAATTAGCACAGTTAATCTCAAAAATTAGGTACCATTTATTTTCTAAAGGTTCCGTTCAGATTATGCTGTCAAGTCTAATTGTTAATAAAATCAGATACCGTGTTTTATAGATACCAGTCTTATTTGGAGAAAGCCCAGTAGACAACTGTAGTTTTAAACATGTATTTGGTGTAGTTGAGGAAGAGCTTTGCGGTTGGTAGATTGGTTAATTTGAAGCATATACATAGTTGTTTCATGTCGTTCTGTTTTTTACAAGGGCTTTCTGTGTTAGCCCTGTTTGCTCTCCGATAAACAAGTCTGTGTATTATAACGTATTGGACAATGATGTCACTTTTATTTCCATAAATGACTCATGTGTGAGCAAAATTTGAGTAATAGTGTTTTAAGAATATTTCAGCGTAGTAGAGGATTTAAGCAGATCGCTTTGCCTACTTTAATTATATGAAATACCAGGAGGTCAGATGTTTAACCTCTTTCAACATATCTGTTTCTTTTCCTGCAGAAACAGATGATTATGCTGAGATTATAGATGAAGAAGATACTTACACCATGCCCTCAAGTAAGTAAACTTCTGATTTTGTTCTTGCTCAGACTTGACAGATGCCTCCTTGCATTTAAAAGTTATTGATACTTACTGTCTTTTTAGAGCCATTTTTAATACTTCCTTGGATGCTGAACAGAAATATTCTTTTCAACCTTTACCATTCTATATTACTTACATATGCCCACTCTAAGGTCAGAAGCCTAAAACTCAAATATCTGTAATAATTTTTAGTTACAGGATTTTTGTAATCTTGTTTTCTGACTCTATCATAATAGAACCTTTATTGATTAGGGTATTTTCTGTCTGTAGAAAATTAGTATTATTGGTTAAGTATATATGTGAATGTGTGTGTATATACACACACAATATATATATCCATATATGTATAATACACATACATACACACACGTATACCCATACTTTCACACACATATATTCAAAAATTTGCATTTTCCCCCTTTAAATTGTTTATTCTTTGTTGCCATTGACTAACCAATACAAATAGCTCATAACCATCGTCAGTTTGTACACCTCAGGGATGGGAGGTGTGGGGAGAGAAACAGAACTCTTAAAGGACCTTCATACAGCCTGGAAATGTCAAGATTCTGCTTCTCTCTGTGATGTGCAGCTTGTTGATTAAGGAAAATCTTGAAGCCCCAGGTCTCATGTTGGAGTGTATAGTCTCCAGATCTTGAATTAGATAAACTCTTGAAATTTCATTTGCAAAAAGAAATTTATTTCTTAATTTCATTTTCTTATTTTTTTAATGTTCCAGACAGTACTGACTTGAGTATAAAAAAAAAAATTAAACCTGCCTTTTAAAGAGTCTTCAGAAGTCTTAGAAATTAACTCAAAATCTGAATGTCCTGATTTCAGTAGAGCTATATATATTTGTAAAATAAATGTTATAGGTGCCTTATTCTATAGTATAAATATTCTTGTAAATATTCTTGTTTGGATTTTCTGTATACATTGAGGAAGCATTACCGGAATGAAGAGAAACAACCCAGTGTTGCCTTTCAAGTGTGCATTGTGCCCTGTGGGCCCATGTCCCCTTTCAGGAGCTTCTTGACTAGAGAGTTACTCGAAAGAGGCCAGAGCTGAAACTTGTGTGTACATTTTGATTGCCAGTATCAGTTTGGAAAAATGTTTAAACTTAGGTTTAACTTTTTGGCATGGTGGCGCACATCTGTAATCTCAGCACTTTGGGAGACAGAGGCAGGAGAATTGTTTGAGTCTAAGAGTACGTTACCAACCTAGGTGACATAACAAGATCCTGTCTCTACCAAAAACAAAATAAATTAGGCAGGCGTGGTAGCATGCACCTGTTGTTTCAGCTACTCAGGAGGCTGAGGTGTGAGGATTGTTTGAGCCTGTGAGGTCGAGGCTGCAGTGAGCCCTGATTGCACAACTGCACTTTGGCCTGGGCAACAGAGTGAGACCCTGTCTCAGAAAAACAAAAAAAGAAAAAAAAAACACCAAAACACTTGTTTACTTTTTTAATTAGCCATATAGACACTTGTACATTCCTGCAGATAATCCAGTTTTTATTTGTATATTTATTATTTATAGTTGAGCAGTAAATGTCCAACATGGCTTTCATCCATACCTGACAAAAATAAGTTACAGGAACTTGATGAGATAGGAACTTAAAAGCATTGTTTAACTAACATTGAGTTAACTTGAAGATATTTAGTTTTTACTTGTATTTAGTTCTTTAAAATTCATATTTGTGCTTAAAATATTTTAAAAATTAAGTATTGTTGAAATATTCTCTTCAAGTTTGTGTTGTTAACCTAATTGCTGTTAGTTATTTCTAAGCAAGGTCTTCAATTTTTTTCTCTCTTAATTGCAATACAGAAAGCTATGGAATAGATGAAGGTAACAGGATTCCTTTAAATTAACTGCATTTGCTTGCAATTGCAACCTGTGGAGTGATATGGGATGTTTCAGTTTTTGGTTAACTTATTTTTAAACTATTTGTCATTGGTTTACTTATACTGTTAAATCAATGGAACTACTAGCTAAAGTGATTTTAAAGAGGAAAATAACTGTCTAAATTTTGGGTTGAATGTTCTGTGTTGTTTATAATTTGATAAACCAGGGAGAACATGTAAAAATATTTGGCTCTTGGTGTATTTCATTGGTGATTACACTACTGGAATATATATGCAATAACCTATGGAGATGAGTTTCTTACCTGAAATAAATCAAAATACCAAGTAGTAAATGGGTTATAATTGAATCTATTACATTCTTAATGGGCATTTTCTTTCCATGTGCCTCAAAAACCTACTGAATAATCGATTTTGTATATTACAATAACAGTATATTAATTTGAGGCACATGGTCTCAAAAGTATATTTATGATTTATAATGTTGATACATCCAACCTTGATTCTGAGTCATCTAACTTTGAAATTAGTTTTAAGAAACTACCTCTTTAAACTCTTTTAGCTCCATGAGTAATGTAGAGATAGGATTATCATAAAGTGGAAAACTCTTAAACTTTCAAAACATAAAGTTTACTTATGACATAATTTTATGTTGCTTCCATATTTACAAACTGTAGTTATTTGTAAAATAATTGCTTTAATAACTGTGCTTTTATAGCCTTCATATATTAATACCTAAACTAATAGTTCTTAATAGTTAAGCATATAATTTAATAGTTGGGGCAATTATTTAGAAAACTATCAAATAGATATAAAATAAATCGGAAATTTAAAAACTCCTAGGAACAACATGAAAAATATCTACCTTTAGTAGAACTCATTGTTTCAGTAGTTCTTCTAATACCATAACTAATTACATGAATTCCTGTTAAAATATTGTTTAAGAGAATTCCACTGTGTTTAAAGCATTTTCATAGATTGATGTGCCACAGATGAAATTTTACTTATGGATGATCAAGAAATACGTCAAGTGTTATTTCTACATTTGGAATATTTTACTTAAGTATTGATGTGTGAATTATGTTTTACAGCCAGGGATTATGAGATTCAAAGAGAAAGAATAGAACTTGGACGATGTATTGGAGAAGGCCAATTTGGAGATGTACATCAAGGCATTTATATGAGTCCAGTAAGTCTTTTAAGACTACCAAACAACTAGACTAATTTTGACTATTTAAGTTTAAATTGCTTTTGTTTGTCTTCATGAGTCCTTAGTTCTTCTAGGTATTAATATTTACGGGTGTCTTTTATAAAGCTCTTCATAAATGTCAGCTTATACTTGGCGTATTCAGAAACCAAAAAATGGCAACATTAGCTCCTACAAGGCTGGGCCTGTCTTTTATTCATTTTAATCTTTCAGCCTTTGTCATCAGTAACAGTTTTTATAGGTGACTGTTCTTTGGATGGAATTAGCAAATCAGATGAGAGTCAGAAACAGCCAGTATACCTATTTACCTGCATTTTTGAGAAAGAAATGTTAATTTGCCCCAGTTTACCCTCCAAAAAAGATGAATAAATTTTAAAAATGATTGCTTTAATAATAGCTTAATGAAGTATCATTTGCTTACTATGAAGTTCACTCTTTTGAAGTGTACAATTCAGTGCTTTTCAGTGTATTCACAAAGTTGTGCAGCTATCACCACTGTCAATTGGAACGTTTTCTTCACCTCAAAAAGAAACTTTATACCCATTAGCAGCAGTTACTTCCCATTCCACCCTTCCCCAGCCTTTGGCAGCCACTCATCCACTTTCTGTATCTATAGATTTGTATATTCTGGACATTTTGTATAAATGAAACATATAATATATGGATTTTTTATTATCAGCTTCTGCTTAGCATAATATTTTTAAGGTTCATCCATGTTGCGGTATGTGTTAGTACTTCATTCCTTTTTATTGCCAAATAATACTCTTTTGTATAGATATAGACCACCTTTTGTTTATCCTTTCATCAGTTGATGAATATTTGGGTTGTTTCCACTTTTTGACTATTAAAATGTTTCTGTGAACATTCATATATGAGTTTTTCTGTGGATATATATATATATGTTTTGTTTTGTTTTGTTTTTTGGTGAGACGGAGTCTTGCTCTGTCGCCAGGCTGGAGTGCAGTGGTGTCTTCTCAGCTCACTGCAACCTCCGCCTTCCAGGTTCAAGTGATTCTTCTGCCTCAGCCTCCTGAGCAGCTGGGACTACAGGCGCGCTCCACCACGCCCAGCTAATTTTTGTTTTTTTAGTAGAGACGGGGTTTCACCATGTTGGCCAGGATGGTCTCGATCTCTTGACCTTGTGATCCGCCTGCCTCGGCCTCCCAAAGTGCTGGGATTACAGGTGTGAGCCATCGTGCCCGGCCCTGGATTTATGTTTTTAGTTCTCTTTTGTATATGCCTATTAGTGGAATTGCTTCATCATATGGTAACTATTGTTTGTGTGTGTGTGTGTGTGTGGGTGAGAGAGAGAGTCTTGCTCTGTCAGTCAGGCTGGAGTGCAGTGACGCAATCATGGCTCACCGTGGCCTCGACTTTCTGAACTCAAGTTATCCTCCCTCGTAACTAGGACTACAGGCAAGTGCCACCACACATAGCTAATTTAATTTTTTTTGTAGAGACAGCGTCTCTCTACATTTTCCAAGCTAGTCTCAAACTTCTGGACTCAGGTGATCCTCCTGTCTTGACCTCCCAAAGTGCTGGGATTGCAGGCATGAGCCACTGAGCCAGCCAACTTTTTCTTTCTTTCTTTCTTTTTTTTTTTTTTTTTTTTTTTTAGGACAGGGTCTTACTCTGTCACCAAGGGAGTACAGTGGTACAATCATGGCTCTCTGCAGCCTCAACCTCCCAGGCTCAAGTGGTCCTCCCACCTCAGCCTACCAAGTAGCTGGGACTACAAGTGTGTGCCATCATTCCCAGCTAATTATTTTATTTTTTTTAGAGACAGGGTCCCATGATGTTGCCCAGGCTGGAATGTTTAACTTTTTGATGAACTGCCAAAATGATTTCCAACACAGCTGTACCATTTTATATTACTAGCAGCAGCGTATAAGACTGCAGATCTCCACATCTTCACCAACATTTGTTATTGCATGTCTTTTTAAATTAGATTGGTGATTTTTTAAATGACACTTTAGACTAATAGTACAATCATGTGCCGTGTGTAAAGATGGGGATACTTTCTGACAAATGCATCGTTAGGCGATTTCATGATCGTGCAAACGTTACACGGTATACTTACGCAAACTTAGATGGTCTAGCCTACTACACATCTAGGCTATATAATATAGCCTGTTGCTCCTAGGCTACAAACGTGTATGGCATGTTACTGTATTGAATACTGTGGGCAGTTGTAGCACATGGTATTTGCATATCTAAATATAGAAAAAGTACTGTAAAAATACAGTATAAAGTATAAAATAACGGTACACTCATATAGGGCACTTACCATGAATGGAGTTTGCAGGACTAGGAGTTACTCTGGGTGAGTAAATGTGAAGGCCTGGATTATGACTACACTACTATAGGCTATAAACACTGTACGCTTTGGCTACGTTAAATTTATCTTAAAAACTTTTCTTAATACTAAATTAACCTTAGCTTATTGTAACCTTTTTACATCATGAACCTTTTAAGCTTTTTTCTATTTAAATTTTTTTAATTTTTTAAACTTTTTTCTTAACTAAGACACAAACACATACATTAGGCTAGGCCTACACAGTGTTGAGATCATCCACATCACTGTCTTCGACCTCCACACCTTGTCCCACTGGAAGGTCCTCAGAGGCAGTAATGTGCATGGAGATGTCATCTCCTAGGGCAACAATGCCTCCTTCTGGATACCTGCGAAAGGCCCTGCTTGAGGCTGTTTTACAGTTAACTAGTTTTTGTTTTGTTTTGTTTTGTTTTATAAGTAGAAGGGGCTGGTGCTGTGGCTTATGACTGTAATCTCAGCACTTTGGAGACTGAGGCAGGAAGATCACTCGAACCCAGGAGTTCAATACCAGCCTGGGCAACTTAGTAAGACCCTGTCTCAAACAAAATTTTAAAAATTAACCTGGCCTGGTGGTGCACACCTGTAGTCTCAGCTACTTGGGAGGCTGAGGAAAGATCATTTGAGCCCAGGAGGTCAAGGCTGCAATAAGTCTTGTTCACACCACTGCACTCCAGCCTGGACAACAGAGTGAGACTCTGCCTCTAAAAAATAAATAAGTAGGAGTACACTCTAAGATAACAATTAAAAGTGTAGTATATTAGAAAAAAAGAAAAACAAAGTATAGTAAATACACAAAACCTGTAACATAGTCGTTTATTATCATTATCATGTATTAATCACTATACATAATTGTATGTACTATACTTTTATATGACTGGCAGTACGGTAAATTTGTTTACACCAGCATCACCATGATCACATAAGAAATTTGATTTCTGTCATGTCACTAGGCAGTAGGAATTTTTCAGCTTCTTTATAATCTTATGAGACCACTATAGTATATGTGGTCCATCATTGACCAAAATGTTACTTTGTGGCACATGACATGCTTGCTCAAGAAACTGTCTTTGAACTAGAATAGTAGCAGGTGAACAGAGATGGCTCTAATAAAGTTACAATAACAGAGAAAATTGACTCTTATTTTATACCCCTGCTTGGAAACTGCAAATGACCATTTTTTTCTTCAGTAACTCCATGTTTATGCATTTTTAATGTCCTTTACACGTGTACTAGTGATGCTCTGAGCATTACTTTTATAACCCAAAAGTTATAAAAGGGTTTTTTTTAATCAAAGATAACAGATAATTGCCACCAGTAAACTAACCAAATTAGTTCACTTTTGGAAGCCTTTACTCTTGTGCTTATATCAAATTGTATAATTTGTTGTATATTTTTTGCTGTTTTTTACTCCTTTTTCAATTTTTTTTAACTATGGGTGTATTGTCTATATTCCACAGTCTCTTAACTCTGCCCTTTGAGGCAAAGTAGAGTAGAAGGAGCAATGGATGCAAATTTAGTGAAAAAGAAACAAACAGACAAATTTAGATCTGGCTCTGCCTCAGTTTGAGATTGGGGGAGATAAGGTGACTACATTACTGGAATGTAACTAAATTATCTCTGAGCTTCCTATAATCTCCAAAATTCCTGATAGGTAAGCATTCTAAAGTTCCCAGAGTACCATGACTTAAACACAGGTAATAGCAGGGTTAGTGGACTTTATTTCATTCACTTTTAAAATACGTAATCCATTTTAGTTGTGAAAATACAAGATAATTTTTTAAAATAGCCATAATCTAAATTTACTTTTTTCTTTTTTTTTTTTTGAGACGGAGTATCGCTCTGTTGCCCAGGCCAGAGTGCAGTGGCGCCATGTCAGCTCACTGCAAGCTCCGCCTCCCGGGTTCACGCCATTCTCCTGCCTCAGCCTCCCGAGTAGCTGGGACTACAAGCGCCCACCACCACGCCCGGCTAATTTTTTGTATTTTTAGTAGAGATGGGATTTCAACGGGTTAGCCAGGATGGTGTCGATCTCCTGACCTCGTGATCCACCTGCCTCTGCCTCCCAAAGTGCTGGGATTACAGGCGTGAGCCACCGCGCCCCGCCTTTTTTTTTTTTTTTTGAGACAGAGTTTCCCTCTTGTTGCCCATGCTGGAGTGCAATGGTGCAATCTCAGTTCACCACAACCTCCCGGGTTCAAGCGATTCTCCTGCCTCAGCCTCCCAAGTAGCTGGGATTACAGGCAGGTGCCACCACACCCGGCTAATTTTGTATTTTTAGTAGAGATGGGGTTTCTTCACGTTGTTCAGGCTGGTCTTGAACCCCTGACTTCAGGTGATCCGCCCATCTCGGCCTCCTGAAGTGCTGGGATTACAGGTGTGAGCCGCTGCGCCCGGCCCATAATCTAATGTTTACTAAATGTTTGTTGAATGAATTCCAGTCCCCAAGGATTCACATTTTGTTAAATATCTTTTTCTTTTTTTTTTTTTTTGAGATGGAGCCTTGCTCTGTTGCTCAGGCTGGAGTGCAGTGATGTGATCTCCAATCACTGCAACCTCTGCCTCCCGGGTTCAGGCGATTCTCCTGCCTCAGCCTCCCAACTAGCTGGGATTACAGGCACACACCATCACACCCGGCTAGTTTTTGTATTTTTAGTAGAGACAGGGTTTCACCATGTTGCTAGGCTGGTCTAAACTCCTGACCTCCAGGGACCCACCTGCCCCGGCCTCCCAGTGTGCTGGGATTACAGATGTGAGCCACCATGCCCGGCCTGTTGAATTTCTTTCTTGTGTATATTGTATATGTTTGTTTTGTTTTTAATGTGGGAGTCTAATTTTATAGTGCAAAGCAGTCTGTTCATTTCTCTTAAGTTTCTATTATAAATCCTTTTTCTAGAACATGTTCTTTAGTATTCTGTAAAATCAAATAATATTTTATCAAGCATTCTTGATGATTGGTCAAAATGTAACGTGGCATAAATTTCATGGGCAAGGACCAACCATTGGATACTTTATTTAAGGTTCAGTTAATTCTTTGAGCAATTTTGTAATCATTTTCTGCTCTGTGACAGCTACTGTTTCTAGGTGGTGGGGGGATATAACTTAATTCTACCCAAGGCACAAGTTGACAGGCAAAAAAGACGTACGCTAAATCCCAAGAGGGTCTGAGAAAAACAATGCATGGAAAATGGGAGGTCAAGATGCTGTTCCACATGGGATGCTCAGAAAGAACTTCTGACAAGACGTGTTAGCAGAGCTTTGAAGTAAGACAGGGAGTGGAGCTTGAGCATTCTCATGGGGAAGCCTGTTCTAGGCAGAAGGAACAGCCAGTGCAAAGGCCATGAGGCGGGGCAGGACAGTACACCACCAGGAGGACGGTGTGGCCGCGGAGTAGAGGGATAGGAAACAAAGGGAAGGCAAAAGGAAACCTTTTGGAGACTAGGAGAGCCACCAGGGGACATGTGTGGGGCCATGTGAACCTTGAGGTAAGAATTTTGACCTTCATTCTGAGAGTCAGTAAACATGAAGTTTATCTGATTGGCACACATTTTTTTCTTTATTAGGCAAGATTATCAGGCTTGTTTTTTCTTTCCTTCAAGCACCTGCTGATCACTGGCACATTCTCTCATTATTATTCGCAGCCTTAAAATCCGTTATTAAATCTAATTTTCTCTTAATTCATCCTAGAATAGCTTTTTTCTACATTTATTTGTTAAGATATTTTAAACGTCTACTAGCTGTTATTAATTCAGAGCCTAATCTTGCATCCCTTGTCTAGGCATAGTGGCCACAAGGTGGTATTTTCATTGAACAATGAAAAACTTCTCTTTTCCCTAAATATTGCCTGTATTTTACGAAGATTTTAAAAATCTATTTTGAGTAATTACCAATTAGTAACTTTTTAGTTTTTAGAAAAAACCCTTTGCACACGTTCTGGTCTTACTTACTTTGAACTGACCCATTCTCCAGCAGTCCGATCTCTGTAACTGGCCCTTCTAACAGTTCAGCATTCCCTAGACCTCTGCTGTCCACTTTAGGGGCCACTAGCCGCATGTCCTATTCGCCAAACCGAAGGCTGAGCCTCATAATCTGCTCATGTTGGCATTTTGTATATTTGCCAGCTATGGAATCTTACACTTAGCATTCATTTGAAACCCTAGGTCTTTAAAGAGCAGTATTTTGTTTGCATTTCCTTAGACTGTCTTAATAAAGCACCATGTTTACTGAGTATTTGATTAGTTGACAGGATTAATGATGGTTTTAAGGTCTTATCAAAGATTTTGTTGCTCTGATCGTCTATAAAATGGACATTTTCGGTCAGTTTTACAGTATACCAGCCATACAGTTTTCTCGTATACCTGTTACTTGCAGCCAGCCTCATATTTAGCTAGAAAAAGAATTCATGGTCATGGTCCTAAAGAAGTACACAGTCTAATTAAGGAAGACAAGACTGACTCATTCAAAGCAAAGTGGTTATATTTTAGCACAGATACGGTTAATGATTCTAAGGTTGTAAACTCAAACATTTAGTAGATAGGGTATTCTGTGCTCTTGTTCACATTCTGTGTGAGCCAACTACTCTGTCCTCCAAGGACCACGTCACCATTACCACCTGAACCCCTTCCTTGAGGCATCTGGCACATGGGCATGCCTCCTCTGGAGGTGAAGAAAGGGAATGCAGTCCCTGAGTCGATGATACAGTTCTCTTACCATTCAGATTTCTCTTGTTTGAAAATGTTTTATTTCCTGGAAACACATAGTATACAACTAGTGTGAAGTCTAAAATAAATAAAGGTATTTAAGGTATTTTGAAAGTATGCGACAGCTAACTTGTTAAGCAAAACACAATTTAAGGTATTTTTAAAATATGACACATCTAACTTATTAATGAACATCTTCATTTAAAAGAAATATATTAATAGCATTAATTAATTCTGCAGATCTTTACTGAGCATATAGTATGCATCAGTGCTATACTAATGGGGATTTTTTGACAAAACAGGCAAGTTACTTGCTGTCTTGAAACTTACATTTTAGTGATGGAGAATAGACAGTAGTTATGTAAATGACAATATTATCTCTGTGTTATGTATAATTATAATATATAAAATGATATAATGTGAAAGACAATAGTAAGTGTGCATAATGACTTTTTGGCTTTCAGAGCAACACATTTTCTTGGTTTGTCTCCTGCCTTCCTGGTCACCCCTTCTCAGTCTCCTTTGACATTTTCCACTCTTGTCCCTGACCTCTTCATGTTGGAGAGCTTCAAAGCACAGTCCTTGGACCTCTCTCATCTCCCTTGGTGATTTCGTCCAGTCACATGGGCTAGGCTACTTCTGGATTTCTATGTCCAGTTCAGATTTCTTTCTTGAACGCCAGTCACAGTATCCTGCTGGTCACTTCACCTGTGTGACTTGGCTATCTTACTGACATCTCAAGCTTATTACATCCCAGGCCGAGCTTCTGATCTTCCCCTTCCATCTTGTCAGTTTTTCTGGTCAAAAACCTGAACTTGACTCTCTCACACCTGCATCATGAGCCACCTTTGCCCTAGCTTCAGAGTATAACCAGAATCTCAGCCCTTCTCTCCACCTCCACTGCTACCATGTTTGTCCAAGCCACCATCACCTGTCACCTGTCACCTGGGGTACTGTGGTAGCCACCCGCAGAACTCCCTGTGTCTCTAACCTTGCCTCTCTGCAGCCATTTCTCAGTACCACAGCAGAATGCTCCTTCAAAATTTTGGGTCAGGCCATGGTACTCCAATGTCCAAACCCTACCTTGGCTCTCCATTTCACTTGAGTAAAAGTCGCATCTTTCTATTGGCCTTGAAGGCCCTGTGTGGTCTGGCCCCTCCGTTCCTCTCTGACTCTGTCATCTTCACCCTCCTACCTTCCACCCTCTGTGCCAGCCTCACTGGCTTGCTCATGTTCCTTGAGCACGCTATACACTGTTCCCTGCTGTTTCTTAGCCAGCTCCCTCTCCTCCCTCCTTTAGTTTTTTTGCTCTTGTCTCATCTGCTCAGTGAGGTCCCCCTCATACAGCAGCCTCCATCCCTGTCTCCATATCCTGATCTGCTCTCTCCCTTTTCTGTAACACGGTTACCTTCTAACATACTATGTAATTAATTCTTTATTTATTATCTGTGTTCCTCACTGGAGTGTAAGTGTGACAGGTACAGGGACTGCTGCCTCTGCTGTTCATCAGTGTATCCCAAGCACTTAGAATAGTACCAGCCACATGGTGTATCTCTAACACATGTTTGTAGATGAATGAATAAATGATTTGCTGTAATGTTTCACGTGCATGACCATTTTTCTCAGGGGATTTTATACTGAGTGTTTTTAAGTATCCCTCTCATTCTTGAGATTTTGCCGTTCTGATTCTGTCTGGTCCATAACCCACATAGTTGCAAAACAGACAGGTTTTCATGAATCAATTAATATAGCAAACCTTTTTGCATGTGTGTGTGATTCTATAATTTCCCTAACACAGGAGAATCCAGCTTTGGCGGTTGCAATTAAAACATGTAAAAACTGTACTTCGGACAGCGTGAGAGAGAAATTTCTTCAAGAAGCCTGTAAGTGTCTAGAAATTTCTGTGGAACTCCATTTGACTTTCTATCTGTGAAATCCAAACTGTCTCTGAAGAAATAAGAAAAATAGTGTTTTGACTTTTAGGAGACAACTATGTTTATTATTTTGCCTTGCAAATTAATGTCTAAATTTGTACAAGCACCTATCTACAGATTTTTCCAGGTAAACCATCATGTTTTATGTGTAAAGGTAGATTGATGTGCATTTACTTTATACTTTGGTACTTAGGCCATTACACATCTTTGCACTGGAATTGGTGCAGATATATAAGTGATCCTAATGTTGATGCTGCCCAGACCCCAGGAATGCAGAGGTGAGCATGACACACACAGTCCCTGCCCTGATGGAGCTCATAGACTAGTGAAGGAATAGGGCTCTATGACCATTCCCCTTGTCCTGCTACAAAATCAGAACAAATCACCCAGGCTGGGCACGGTAGCTCACGCTTGTAATCCTAGCACTTTGGGAGGCCAAGGCAGGCAGATCACCTGAGGTCAGGAGTTTGAGACCAGTCTGGCCAACATGGTGAAACAGTCTTCTACTAAAAATACAAAAAATTAGCCGTGCATAGTGGCACGCACCTGTAGTCCCAGCTACTCAGGAGACTGAGGCAGGAGAATAGCTTGAACCCCAGAGAGGGAGGTTGCAGTAAGCCGAGATAGCAACACTGCACTTCAGCCTGGGCAATAGAGCAATCTCTGCCTCAAAAAAAAAAAAGAAAGAAAGAAAAAGAACAAATCACCCAAAAGGAGGCCAGGTGTGGTGGCTCACACGTGTAATCCCAGTACTTTGGGAGGCCGAGGTGAGAGGATTGCTTGAGACCAGCCTGGGCAACATGGTGAAACCCCGTCTCTATGAAAAAATTTAAAAATTAAAAAAATTAGCTGGGCATGGTGGCGCATGCCTGTAGTCCCTGCTACTTAGGAAGCTGAGATGGGAGGATCACTTGAGCCTGGGAGGCCCATGTAGCAGTGAGCTAAGATCGTGCCATTGCACTCCAGCCTAAGTGACTGAATGAGACCCTGTCTCCAAAAAACAAAAGAAAAGAAAACTTCACGCAAGAAGAGACCTCAGGAAAGGACTCTTCTGACGGCTTCCCAGGTGACTTTAGCTAGAAACACTTATCTTTTTTTTTTTGAGGCAGTGTCTGTCTCGGGTCTCGCTGTGTCACCTCCTGGACTCAAGGGATCCTCCCATCTCGGGGCTGCAAATACCTGGTACTACAGATGGGCGCCACCACATCCAGCTAATTTTTTGTATTTTTGTTTGGTTGGTTGGTTTTTTTGTTTTTGTTTTTGTTTTGTGGAGAGACAGGTTTTTGCTGTTTCCCAGGCTATTCTAAAGTTCTAGGCTCTGCCTGCATCAGCCTCCCAGGGAGCTGGGATTACAGGCGTGAGCCACTGTGCCCAGCCCTTAGAAATAATTTTCTCCACCTCCATTCCTCTGACTCTTGGTTTGTGCCTCCTCTGAAGAAGCTTCCTTGAGTGAGCTCTGCATGAATAGGTCTTCTTTCCCAAATGTAAGCTCTTAAAGAGCAAGGATCTTGTCCACATCAAGCTCTTCCTTACCTGCCCTCAAGCGGTGATGTTCCTCTTCCTCCTTTCCTATGGTTTGCCTCTTCTCATGCTTCAGGCCCCAGCTTAAACATTACCTCCAATAGAGAACCTTTTTCTGACCACCATATTTAAAGTCTCCCCTTACTATTTTTTGTCACACAAGACTAGTTCTTTTTCTTCCTAATGATTCCTAATTAAAGCTACATTGTTTACAAGTGATTATTGCCTGTCTCTTCCTCTCTTCCTCTAGGCCTTAAGCTCCCTGGGGATAAGGACCATGTTTGTTTCGCTCACCACTCCATACTCAGTGTCCTGCACAGTACTTGACACCTAGAGAACACCTGGTAGATGTTTGTCATTCTGGTGTCCTTCATTATATGTGCATCAAATGAATGCCTTCTGTTTTCCATTGTAATAAATACCACCCAACAGTCCAATAAATTAATAATTCATAGAGTAAGCCATGTGGTGACTACATTAATTAAGTCTTAGTACATCCTTAATCCTATTCCTGAAACTTTGACTTAAGTACAAGAGAAGGCCTGGCCAATGACTTCTGTCTTGACTAGTTCATTTCTGCATAGCACCTAGGCCAAGAAAACAGACCACATCAGTCATCATCACCCAACACCATATCTGCCTTACCTTTGCTGGTATTCTTGTGCATTTTATATTTTCAAAAATGAAAATTTTAAAAATTGGTTATCTTTTCCTAAAATTCTGAACAGTTACTATGTTGTGATTTTGTAGGACTTTGGAATTGTCATTACAAAAATCAGTTATATAGTTTTATAGGAGTAGTCAAGTCGGACTAATTGTTTTCTTCTCTGAGAGGTTACTCAGCAGTTATTTCAGGGAAATGTGATAGATGTAGTGTATCTAAACTTCTGTAGGGCTTTACCAGGCTATATATAAGAGAAAAAATATGGCCTCGATCAGGAATTGTTAAACTTTTTCTTTAAAGGGCCATATAGTACATATTTTAGGTTCTGCAGACTATGCAGCCCCTGTCCCAAGTATTCAGCTCTGTCATTGTACATCCACAGACAGGACAGAAAAGAATGAGCAAGAATATGTTCCAGTAAAACTTTATTTACAAAAGCAGATGGCAGCCCCTGGGCCTTAGCTTTCTGCCCCAGATGGGTAAATAACAAGGGAAACTATTCTATGTGTTGATTTTTAGTTCAGTTTGGGTAGAGTTTCCTAGTGGCCACAAGACTCTCTTAGCCTTGTGCTGTTTTGTGTTTCTAATAATTACTTCTGAGGAAATATGAAAGGCTTGATAATTATATGTGAGAATAACATAAAACCAAAAGTTATAATAAATAGTTACTTACAGTAAATTGAAAGTACGGTTGTGAATATGCTGGGTGCCTGAGTGTTTATCCAAAAATATCATGGTATAAGCAATGAACTGAATGTGACAAGGTGAGATTTAATTATATGTTTTGGATTATGTGCTGGGTGTTTACATTATATGGGTTTTTGTTGGTGATGTTTGTTGAAAAAAACTACCAGGTCCTGTTCTTGGAATATGAGGGAAAACTTGTAAAACACATAAGTGAGCTAGACAGAACACCCACTAATATTGTTTTGCCCATTTCAAAGTCTTTCACAGTTTTTTCTCACAATGGGCGATACCAGCTATTCTGTAACATGTTGGCAGTATTACATGTTGATCGTATTTTTAAAATTACTTCTGTTATTCTAATTTCCTTGCTTGGCATCAGAATTATTTTTCCCCATTTTTATAGTCTGTGAAATCAGGTGTTTTTGGACCCACTGGACCAGGTCACCTTTAAAATCACTTCCAGTTTTGAGATCCTATAGTTCTGTGAAGTCTGTCCTGTGTCTTACTAATCCTAGTATACTGTACAAGTAACCTTCTTAGCCCTGATACTAGAAATTATAAATGCATACACCTTAACATACATGTTCACACACAGATATGTATGTCTATATGCAGTGCCCTCTTGGTCATCTTGGCTCAATTAGGCGGTCAAACTCATGTTACTGCCATAGGCCACATTTAGCATCAGACTCTCCTGAGAGTAGTAGTACAGGACCATAAACAAAGTATGCCAAAAAAGGCAGCAGCTGGCATTTCTCTCATGTGAAAGTCCTCACGGCTGTCCTGGAAACTTTTTTTTTTTTTTTTTTTTTGAGACAGAGTCTCAGTCTGTCGCCCAGGCTGGATGGAGTGCAGTGACGCAATCCCGGCTCACTGCAGCATCTGCCTCCCAGGCTCAAGTGAGTCTGCTGCCTCAGCCTCCTGAGTAGCTGGGACTACAGGCACACACCACCACGCCCAGCTAATTCTGTATTTTTAGTAAAGATGGGGTTTCACCATGTTGGCCAGGCTGGTCTCAAACTCCTGACCTCAGGTGATCGGCCCACCTCGGCCTCCCAAAGTGCTGGGATTACAGGCGTGAGCCACCATGCCCAGTAGAAAGTCTTTTATAGGGCCCTGAAAGCAACCAGTTAAATTTAAGAGGACAGGACCACAGTGGTGGATGCAGGAACCATTTATGTCTAAGATAGAAATCCTTTGTGAGTGCCCCATGGGTTGTGGCTTCCAGGGCCTTGCAAGGAACACACCCAGTTACCATAGTCTCCACACTCAGGGCAGCTTCTAGCTATAGCTTTCCACCAGGTATTTTTAATCCCATTTCACCTCCTCCCCCAGCAATTCACCAGTCAGGAGTGATTTTTACTGTAAAGATGGTTGCTTAGTAAATGAATTACACACTCCTACTTACCAGATTTCTAGAGGAAAACCTAGGAAGCTACCCCAAGGTCACATATGTCCATAGGAAAAAAGAAATGGTTGTCGTCGTCTTTCTTCTCCTTCACTTCCTCCTCCTCCCTTCCTCCCCCTCTTCCTCCTTCCTTCCTCCTCCTTCCTTCCTCCCCCTCCTCCTACTTCCTTCCTCCCCCTCCTCCCTTCCTCCCCCTCCTCCTCCCTCCTCCTCCTCCCCTTCCTTCTCCCCTTCCTCCCCCTCCTCTTCCTCCTCCCCCTTCCTCTCCCCTTCCTCCTCTTCCTCTTCAGCCTCCCCTTCCTTCTCCTCCTCCTCTTCCCCCTCCCCTTCCTCCTCCTCCCGTTCCCCCTCCTCTTCTTCCCCCTCCTCGTCCCCCTCCTCTTCCTCCTCCTCTTCCTCCTCCTCTTCCCCCTCCTCTTCCCCCTCCTCTTCCTCCTCCTCCTCCTCTTCCCCCCCCCTTTCTTCTCCTCCTCCTCCCCTTCCTTCTTTCTTCCTCTTCCCCCCTGCCACATATGCAGAAGGAAAGAAGGATTTTTCTTAGAGGTTACCTTACACCTCAATAGTAGGACATACCTTTTTGTGCCAATTTATGCCCATTTGTGAGCTGAACTGACCTGTGGAATTGAGTTTTAAAGTTCCCCTATTGCCAGCCTTATGTCTTAATTGAATTCATCTTCAGAGAAGCTGAAAGAGTTTTCAAAAGAATAACTAGGCCGGGTGCGGTGGCTCACGCCTGTAATCCCAGCACTTTGGGAGGCCAAGGCGGGTAGATCATGAGGTCAAGAGATCGAGACCATCCTGGCCAACATGGTGAAATCCCATCTCTACTAAAAATACAAAAAATTAGCCGGGCGTGGTGGTGGGCGCCTGTAGTCCCAGCTACTCGGGAGGCTGAGGCAGGAGAATCACTTGAACCCAGGAGGTGGAGGTTGCAATGAGTCGAGATTGTACCACTGCACTCCAGCCTGGTGACAGAATGAGACTCCGTCTAAAAAAAAAAAAAAAAAAGAAAGAATAACTATGGAGAACTTTTTTCCTAGTAACAATGCGTCAGTTTGACCATCCTCATATTGTGAAGCTGATTGGAGTCATCACAGAGAATCCTGTCTGGATAATCATGGAGCTGTGCACACTTGGAGAGGTACTGTGATCCCCAAATCTTACCTTCTGGACTCAGCGTTTGATATCTTTTGCTTAAGAAAGGAAAATATAAACAGTTTATATCTTGGATTTTCAGGAGAGTTCTGATTTAGGATGTATGTCATTATGGTTTTGGTTCAGAGAATATGGGTATAAATATCTTCATCATTAAATTCCCAAAGCATCCCCTTATGCAGTACTGGCAGCAATATCTTCCCCAGCCAAGTACTTTATCAGGATTGGTAGCCGCAGATGGCCAAATGTTTGGTTTTATTTTTTCTCTCTGGTGCCATTGCCTAAAAAACTAGCCCAGTGATCTGAGGATGAAGCAATCTTAATGGAGTTTGGGTAAATTAATGCTAAATTTAGGTAAGTCTAAACATTTCCTTTATCTTTTTGGGAATTCACTTTGTAGCATCTCATTTTTTGAGAGACAAAGTCTCCCTCTGTTGCCCAGGCTGGAGTGTAGTAGCATAACCACAGCTCACTGCAGCCTCGACCTCCTGGGCTCAAGCGATCTCCCACCTCAACTTCCCGAGTTGCTGGGACTACAGGTGCATGCCACCATGCCTGACTAATTTTTTAATTCTTTATAGAGACGGGGTTTCACTATGTTGCCTAGGCTGGTCTTGAGCTCCTTGGCTCAAGTGATCCGCCTGCCTCGGCCTCGCAAAGTGTTCTGATTACCTGGCTAGTAATACCTTTTAAACCAACTTATTTAAATCACAGTTTCTTTTTTCTTTTTTCTTTTTTTTTTTTTTGAGACAGAGTCTCGCTCTGTCGCCCAAGCTGGAGTGCAATGGCGCGATCTCAGCCCATTACAACCTCCGCCTCCCAGGTTCAAGCACTACTCTTGCCTCAGCCTCCTGAGTATCTGGGACTACAGGCACGTGCTGCCAGGCCCAGCTAATTTTCGCATTTTTAATGGAGACAGGGTTTCACCATGTTGGCCAGGCTGGTCTCGAACCCCTGACCTCCAGTGATCTGCCTGCCTTGGCCTTCCAAAGTGCTGGGATTACAGGTGTGAGCCATCGTGCATGGCCGTACTTTCTTTTAAAAATGTGAGTAATTGAGTGAATAGCTCTCTCACTTTCTCCAGAATACAGAAACAAATCAGTGCATCACCAACACTTGGAAACTCATTAAACAAGTTCTTGTGCCCCATCCCAGGCCTGCTGAATCAAACACTGGGCCGGGGGAGCATTGTGTGATTTCATCAGCTGAACATCTCTTCCTCCTCCACCAAATCAAATGGAGTGCTTATGTATAATTTCTTGTTCACGGTACTTTTCTGCTTTTGCTTTTGGAGAGTTTGCTAATTCTTCCGGCTCAAAAAATATGGCTAAATATTTCTCTCATCAATTATTTAGAATTAGGGTATTAATTGTGTCTGCCTTTCTTTGCCATGTCAGCATTTACCTCTATTAATGGTGTCAGTGGTAGCATGAACAAGTAAGTACATTGTGATAAATACCCAACATGACTGTTCTGTGCTTCTGCATCCAAAACTTCATGGGGAAGGAAATAAGAGGGGAGATTCCTTCTTGTCCCTGCTTTCTCCGCATTACATTATCCTCATACCTTCGCAGAGCCACAGTAAGGTTTGAAGTGGAGATAACTGACTGTGTATTAGCCTTGTTTGGATAGTAACTAGATCTTTTTTCTTCCAGTTGTTATTATTATTTAGCAATAATTTGTACTGTGCTTTTGTTCATTCCATTGAAGCTTATCTTTCTATATTTTTTAAGAAATTTGTCGTTAGTCAAAAATATTTTAATTTCATGATAGGATTTCAAATAAAAAATAATCTGAATCCAGAGTTTAAATGTTTCATTTATTATGCTTTATTAGAAGAGACTTGAAGCCATTCTAATATTATTAAAAATGCATTGAAAACAGCATTATTGTTGAATGTAGCTTTTTTGCTTTTGATTTCGATTCACTGCCACTAATTCTTTTTTTTTTTTTTTTCTTTTGGTCATTGTTCCAAAAGCTGAGGTCATTTTTGCAAGTAAGGAAATACAGTTTGGATCTAGCATCTTTGATCCTGTATGCCTATCAGCTTAGTACAGCTCTTGCATATCTAGAGAGCAAAAGATTTGTACACAGGTAAGATACAGTCATAAAGCTGTTAAGTTCCCTTCTGAAAAGTAGTGATCAAGAAACAGGGACCCATTTGGACCGTCTTTGGACCCTTTTGGATCCAGGGTCCCCTTTGGTACAGTTTTGTACCAATTCTACAAAATTGTATTCTGTATACCATTGGAATCTATTGTACACAGTTAATAGCAAGTCATGCTGCATTATGTCCTATCAGAGTGAGATGCCATGGCTTGTTAATACACATTTACAGGATTTTTACACACGTGGAGTTTAAAACATTGTGATACTTTCAGGTCACTTATTCCCTACACAAACACTATAGAGAACCTGTACTTGGCAGCAGAGCAGTGAACATGTGGAAGTGGTCTCTAAAACAAATATTGTCCTGGAACTCTCCAGGACAACACAACCTTATGAGTGACATCTGTTGGCATTCTGTGGAATTTCTGTTTATAGCCTGAGTCTCTGTTTGAATGCAAGTAAAGACCCTTAAAATTTGTTTGCCAAGTATCATATTAGAATTGGTGTTTTTGTTATCCGGCATTAATACAAACTTCATCCAAAAAAAAAAAAAAGAAATAGGCCGGGCGCGGTGGCTCATAGCTGTAGTCCCAGCACTTTGGGAGGCCGAAGCGGGCAGATCACAAGATCAGGAGATCGAGAACATCCTGGCTAACATGGTGAAACACCATCTCTACTAAAAATACAAAAAATTAGCTGGGCATGGTGGCGGGCGCCTGTAGTCCCAGCTACTCGGGAGGCTGAGGCAGGAGAATGGTGTGAACCCAGGAGGCGGAGCTTGCAGTAAGCCGAGATCGTGCCACTGCCCTCCAGCCTGGGCAACAGAGCGAGACTCTGTCTCAAAAAAAAAAAAAAAGAAAAGAAAAACTAAGCATCTAAAAAAATAAGCTGCATCAGCAAAATCATTTACAAGTTTTCAGAAGGCAACTTTTATTTAATGATATCTCTTTAGTAATGGCAGTGTTATAGGCCCCAGTTGTATATCACTGTCAGTTAATGCCGTTGGTAGTATGGTTTTATGAACAGTAATAAGGATTTTCATTATTTTAGAATGTACTTTGCCATCATTCAGAATAATCATTGTATTAATGGGTAAATATCTGGCAAAAAGAATATATATGAAGTAAATTTTGTGTGTGTGTATATATGAGATTTATTATATATATCCTATAATAAATATCATATAATCTGCTCGCATTGTATATAAGCTGTCTTTCAAAGTGCCTATTGGTATGTCTTTATATATGAGCTTGTATGTTTGTTTTTCTTATTTTAAGTCTTATTGTCTCAAATTCTTCTTTATCAGGGACATTGCTGCTCGGAATGTTCTGGTGTCCTCAAATGATTGTGTAAAATTAGGAGACTTTGGATTATCCCGATATATGGAAGATAGTACTTACTACAAAGGTAAGAAATCAGAGTAGTACCTAAGAAATAGGCTTGGAATCTTTAACGTATTTCTAAAAACAGTATGTTCTAATATGCTCACCTGATCTTTGACAGAGATATAAAATCAACTAAATGGAGGAAGCGACAGCCTTCTCAGCAATGGTGCTGGAGCAGTTGGACATCCTTAGGCAAAAAATAGACCTCAGTTTAAACCTCTGAATTCCATTTCAGATTAACTCAGAATGGATTATAGACTGCATTACAAAATAATAAATTTTTAGAAAAAAACACGAGTAAATATTTAGCATCTAGGGCTAGGCCAGGGATCCTTAGACTTGACACCAGAAACAAGGATTCATAAAAGGAAAAAGTTGATAAACTGAACCTGATAAAAATTATAAATTTTTGTTCTGCCAAAGACCCTGTTAAAAGGATGAAAAGAGAAGCTACAGAGTAGAAGATTCGTGCCAGCCACACGTATCTGACAAAGCTATTATCTAGAATATAAAAGGAACTCTTAAAACTTAGTAAAAATGACACAAAGAATGCACTTAGAAATGGGCAAAAAAATAGGAAGAGACATTTCATTGAAGAGGATATATGGATTGCACATAAGCATGTGAAGATGCAGATGTTCCACATCTGTGTCCATTAGGAAAATGCAAATTAAGAACACAATGGGATTACAGTACATACCTGTCAGTTGTTAAAATAAAGAATATGCTGGCAAAGATGCAGAGAAACTAAATTGCTGCTGGGAATGTAAAATGGTAGAGGCATTCTGGAAGAAAGTTTGGCAAATTCTTTAAAAATTAAGCATACAAGTGTTATATGACCCAGGAGTTGCACGTCTGGACATTTCTTCTGAAGAAACGAAAACTTGTACACAAAACCATACTCAAATGTTCATTGCAGTTGTATTTGTAATAGCCAGAAATTCAAATCAGCTCCAATGTCTTTCAATCAGTAGACACACCATCATCTTACACCAGATGCGGCTGGTTGTATTGATTGCCTCAGTGAAGGGGATCTGACTGAAAAATATGCAGGCTGCTAACTCCAGCACCTTGGATCTATTAGTTTGGTGGGATTTTTGTTTGTTTGCTTGTTTTGAGACAAGGTCTCACATTGTCACTCAGGCTGGAGTGCAGTGGCGCAAACATGGCTCATTACAGTCTCGACCTCCTGAGCTCAAGCATTCCACCCACCTTAGCCTCCCAAATTGCTGGTACTACGGGCGTGCGCCACCATGCCTGGCTAATTTTTTGTAGAGATGGAGTTTTGCCGTGTTGCCTAGGCTGGTCTTTGATCAAACTCCTGGGCTGAAGCTATTCTCCTGCCTCCGCCTCACAAAGTGCTGGGATTTCAGGCATGAACCATCATGTCCAGCCTCCATTAGTTTTTTTAACTGAAATCTAGCTCATGTCAGTTGTGTTTAATTTTGCCAATCTTGGAATCACATTGAATTGGTTCTTCAAATTGTTACTGAACTAATATTTTACTGAATAATGTTTTCATATTCCTAGAACTTTAGCTAAGGTTTAGATAAATCCATATTGTGCTATTAATACTACTAATTATGACTACCATTTTACAAAGGCCAGTTTCTTTCTTAGGGTATTTGATTTTTATATGGCAACAAAATGAGCCCAGATTTTTACAAGCAAAGCTAGTCTGTTATTTTAATCTTATAACTATTCTCTTTCCATATGTCTTCTGTATATTATTGCCTGTCACTATTTTATTTTTTAAATTCATTTTTAATTTTTATTTATTATTATTATTTTTTTTTTGAGACAGAGTCTCACTCTGTCGCCCAGGCTGGAGTGCAGTGGCGCTATCTGGGCTCACTGCAAGCTCCACCTCCCAAGTTCACGCCATTCTCCTGCCGCAGCCTCCTGAGTAGCTGGGACTACAGGTGCCCACCACCACGCCCGGCTAATTTTTTGTATTTTTAGTAGAGATGGAGTTTCACTGTGTGTGTTAGCCAGGATGGTCTCAATCTCCTGACCTCATGATCCGCCCACCTCAGCCTCCCAAAGTGCTGGGATTACAGGCGTCAGCCACTGCGCCTGGCCTAATTTTTTAAATTAAAACATTTTTTAAGACAGGGTCTCGTTCTGTCGTCCAGGCTGGAGTGCAGTGGCATGAGCACAAGTCACTGCAGCCTCAACCTCCTGGGCTCAAGTCATCCTCCTGCCTCAGCCTCCTGAGTAGCTGGGACCACAGGCACACACCACCATGCCCAGCTAATTTTTTGATTTTTTTGTAGAGATGAGATCTCACTTTGTTGCCTAGATTGGTCTTGAACTCATGGGCTCAAGCGATCTTCCCACCTTGGCCTCCCAAAGTGCTGGGATTACAGGCATGAGCCACTGTGCCCAGCTACCTGTCACTATTTTTAAATGATCCTTTGATATATGAAAAGAAAATCAATTGTTTATTCATTTTAATTGTTTAGTCATTTAACTTTAAAAAGACGAAGTCAACTTTTCATTATTTCTAAATACATTTTATATCCAGCTTCAATCTTAACTGTCCCAAGTCCTAGAATTCCAATAAAGAGCTAAATTCCAAGTAGTATGATGTCCAAATTTTCATATCATTTGAACAACATTTTAAACAGGCAGTTGACAAATTCACACAGATATCTTCTCAGAAAGGTTAATAAGTGTACATTCCATTAGGCTATAGAAATAAGTACAAACTCCAAAAGGTTAGAGATTCTTCAAAATGCTCCTCTTTCTAGGAATTCTGATAGTCTTCAGAGGCAACTCATTGCTTACAGAAGAAAGTCCAGACCCTTGACATGCTGGCAGAGCCCAGCCGCTCATGCTCCATGCTCTTCTGAATCAGGGTGCTGTTCCTGTGCCCTGCTTCCTTGACCAACCCCTTCTCCTCTTATATCCTCTCCCTGCAGCCTTCCCTGGTCATCCTCTCAGTCATTAGTTCCTCTCTACTTTCAGGACACTTGGCATGTATTCACTATCTGTGTTACACCTTGTACCAAATTTGAGTATACTTCTGTCTGCCTTTTAGAATGAGCATTCCTTGAAAAAAAGGACTCGGGATTGTTCATCTTGAGAACTCAGCAGTTGAGGAAATGTTTACTAAGGTTTTGAGTGGTTTGCCTTTGTGGCACAAAGAAAACGTTTAGGCCTGAAAAGGGAGCTGATTTCAGGCTTCCCTAGAGAAGTCCTTCTTATCCCATTGCCCCTTCCTGCTCTTCACATGCCTGATTATTTGTGTAGTCTGCGCTGATGCATTCACCTAGTGGCTAACATGTTTGTAATTCCCAAAATCAATACTCAAGGTGCTTTCATAGTCATTTGAGGACATGCACAAAGCAACAAAAAAATTGAGTATTCCCTAATACCCACATATGCAGCTGAGGTTCAGCAAGGCCGCAGTCTCTCCCTCCTGTCGCAGCCAGAGGAGGGAAGACAGGGTCAGGGCTGGGAGGGGACGGCACAGGGCAGAGCCAGCAGCTCAGGCTCTGGTGGTTGGAGAGGTTTGAATCCCAACTCTGGCACCTGTTAGTGGGGCAGCCTTGGGCAAGTCACTTAACACATCTGAGCCTCCTTTTCTAAAGGAAATGGAACCTATCAGAATGAGTTGTTTTATGAGTGAAGATTGTAATCTATGTGAGATACGAATATATGTGTACATATTTCTCCTGAGAGCAGGGGTTCTGTGTTTGCAACAACTTTATATAACATAACTACCACCAGTGAGGATCGACTATATATTATTTATTATTAGCAGGACATGTGTATAGCGAGCATTCTAACCTACAGATAAGGATCTCTTCTGTAAATTGTGAAATCTTATATACCAGAGCTGCACCTAATACCTGCACCTAAACCCCTGGTAAACCGAGGTTTGCTCTCCCTCCCTGTTCTTTGCCTCTCTATAGAGGGAAGGACATTGGTATTTTATTTATCTACCATCTAACCATTCCTCACCCCTAAGTGACCTCGAAACACCAAGGAAATGAAAAGTAGTTCTCCCAAATAAATGGAAGCCTCAAGGGTTCAAATAGTTAAAGCTTTTTCCTTTGATACTGAAAATCTCAGCTAGCTCTGTTAGATTCTTAAGCAGATAACAAGGAAAATTTATTTTCTAAAATTAATCTTCTAGCTTCCAAAGGAAAATTGCCTATTAAATGGATGGCTCCAGAGTCAATCAATTTTCGACGTTTTACCTCAGCTAGTGACGTATGGATGTTTGGTGAGTACTCTTAAAAGTTTTGTATTCTTTAAAAATTATATTTCATATGTTATACAAAAAAAAATTATCTCTTTTTGGAATATGTAGGTTGATTTGCCTTCCCTAACCTGATCATCTCCTCATCAGACTTCTTTTGATTCATTTGACAGTAAATAGCCTGACATCTACTGTGCATCAGCTTCTGGGCACAGCTTCTGTAAGGGTCCACAGTTCTAATTGCCCAGCTCCTTCCATCACTCTTCCTTTTTGTTCCCCTTTGCTGTCTCTTCTTTCCTCACAGGGGGATATTTTGCTTATTTCCTTCTTTCTTTTCTCTCTCTCCCTTTGCCATCTCATTCGTTCCTTTCATATGAATGACATTAAACAGTAAACACTTGGCCCCTCCAACCCGGAAGTATCTAAAATTCTACCTTGTCTCTTTATTCTGGAGTCCAGCCTCCTTCCTGACCTATCTCAAGACTTGGAAGTTTGATCCTTTGTCTTCTGTAGCTTCTGCTTTTTTGATAATCTCATTTGTTCCTCCTCACCTGCTGCAAGGTCATCATTCTCCTGCTCTATGGTTATTGCAGTTCCTTCTAGCTGGTGTAGAAGTGTGGCTCTCATTTATTCTTTGCTACTTATTTAAACTACTTTATCCAAATTTTTAAATTACTCACTATTTTTAACATGAATGGCACTTCCCTCCACTCTACTCTCCATTTTTCTTGGTGTTATTCCTTCTACCCAGAATACCTTATCCTGATACCTTCTTCTTCCAGTTGAAATCCTACCTAACCCTCAAGGTCCACCTTAAATGTCCTTGAAGGCTTCTTCCTTTCTTTACCTTTCCTACACTTTCTCTCTTTGTCATACCACTCATGTTGATCCTGTGAATAGACTTGTGGACATGTTATCTCTGCTACATTAGAAACTACTTTGGAGGAGATGCCCTGTTAAGATTATGTACCTTTTTTCTCCTATAAATAAAAATAACTTGATCCAGTATGTGTTCTTATTTTTTTCTTCTGTTTACTTACTGTTGATTCTTAATTATCATTTAATGCCCCCATAGATAACTAGGTAAAGGAAAGAACTTTCAAATAGAACAGGATATGGCATGACATGATTAGAAAAAGCTCTGAAGTCCAGTTGATGTGTGTTCAAATCCCAAGGCCTTGATTATTATCTGTGTGATCCACAGAGCAAGTAACTTATCCTTTCAGAGAAATTTCATGTTTCAAAACTTCTAAGATGCCTATTTTTTTACATGTTAACATTTCTGGAACTGGAGTGTATCTTAAAATCAGTGGCATTTTACAGTTGGTAATAATTGGAAGCATTATTTTAATGTAGTTGTCCTTGCTTTCCACTCAAGTAGAGTTTGTTTTGTTAATATTGTTGTTACTGTAATGTCTGAATGACTTTAAAAGAACTCTTTTGGTAAGAATAAAATAAAAATTCTAAGAGGGAAGAAAGAATTGTATCATACTTTAGTTTTCAACATTCTCCTCCCTTTTTTGGTCTTATAAACTAATAAAGTTTCCTAGAATCAGTAGATGTGATTTTTGTCAAATGTGGTAAAATGCAGTGTTTAAAGAAACATAAGGTTACTGTGAGGATTAAGGGTAATATATGAGACTGGGCACGGTGGCTCATGCCTGTAATGCTAGTACTTTGGGAGGCCAAGGAGGGAGGATCACTTCAATCCAGGAGTTCAAGACCAGCCTGGACAACTTAGCAAGACCCCATCTCTACAAAAAATACAAAAATTAGCTGGTTTGGGTGGCGCATGCCGATAGTTTCAGCTACTCAGGAGGCTGAGGTGGGAGGATCACTTGAGCCTGGGTAGTGGAGGCTGCAATGAGCTGTGATGGAGGCTTTGTCTCAAAAATATATATATTTGTAAAATTTCTAAGAAGTGTGCCAGGAACACATTAAGTTCTCAAGAAATTATATCCAGTGTTGCTACTACTGATAATATTGTTGTAACTTCTGGTGAGAAAAGCAGCACTAAGGCATTTTTTTTGTCAGATACTCTTTACTTTGAAATTCTTGGATTCTTGGCTAAGTTCAGAATCTAATTCACATCAAGATGATAATATGCTTTGCTTCTTTTGAGGCAGATTTCATTCTAGGTTCTAAAGATGCAAAAATAAAGTCACAGTTCCTTTCTTCAAGTCATCAATTGTACATTGTTTTGTGATAGAAGTAGACTTGAAATGACAAAAACTTTTCCCAGAGGAAAAGCATTATAAAGAACTACATTACAAATGTACCTACAAAGAAGAGAGCTTGTGAGGAAGGTAAAGGGATGTTTTTGGCGTGTTCCACAGGTAGCAAGAAGCCCAGAATAGCCAGGCGCAGAGCAGTGATGATAAGGCACTAGGAGAAAACATCCATCCTTTACGCCACCAGTTCTTTCCATTTCCTTTACATTGCATTATATGTTCATTGCCAGTTTTAGGTTTCTTGTTTGTTTTAAAGGTGAATTTTTAAATTTTTTTTTTTTTTGAATTTTAGATTCAGAGGGTCCATGTGCAGGTTTGTTACATGGATATATTGCACAGTCCTGAGGTTTGGGCTTCAGTTGAACCTATCACCCAAATAGTGAACATAGTACCCAATGGGTACTTTTTCAACCATTACCCACCTCCTTCCCTCCCTGCTGTTTTATTCCCTGCTGTCTGTTGTTCCCATCTTCATGTCCATATGTATCCAGGGTTTAGATCCCACTTACAAGTGAGAACATGCAGTGTTTGGCTTTCTGTTTCTGCATTAATGCACTTTGGATAAATGGCTTTCAGTTGTTTCCACGGTGCTGCCAAGGACATGATTTCATTCTTTTATGCCTGCATAGTATTCCGTGGCATATATGTACTACATTTTCTTTATCCCATCTTAAAGGTGAATTTTTAAGGATTATTCAGAAGATACTAAGAAAGTATTGGATTTCCCAAGGGTAGAGTGCAAGTAAACTTTTTGAGGTCACACTGTGGCATTTATAGACAAGACGACTTGAAGCCCAAAGAAGTTCCACATCTTTCCTGGGGGAAAACAGTGACCAGTCCATGAATAAACCAGATAATGGTGCCTTTATGCACTCTAGACAAGAAGAGGCCAACCTTGTTAAGGGAAGCATTTTAAGGAATCTGAGTTTTCCAAAAGCGTAAGACTTATCCTAGGATTTTCTTTATTGGACCTCAGGTCAGCTGCTCTAATTATAAATAGATGAGACCAAAGTGGGGCGGATTAAAATTCAGCATTTTTTGAACTACTGCATTAAGCCACGAAGTACCACTGTAGCTAGTGGGTGATTTTCTAATAGAGGATTTCTAGAGAAAAAATAAACCTCTGAGAAAAATTACAGCATTTTTCTTGATAATAATTTAACATTTCATTATTTACATCATGTTAAATCGTTAGGTTATTTTATACTAGAGTTAATATAATGCTGCTTTGGTAGATAATTTGCCCATTACCTCCCAGCTGGTACTCGAGTGCCTAGAAGAACAATGTTCCTGGAACCTGGGAGTTACATTCTTCATACTGAGCTCACTGTTGTGTTTTCATTCCCACTTGACAGGTGTGTGTATGTGGGAGATACTGATGCATGGTGTGAAGCCTTTTCAAGGAGTGAAGAACAATGATGTAATCGGTCGAATTGAAAATGGGGAAAGATTACCAATGCCTCCAAATTGTCCTCCTACCCTCTACAGCCTTATGACGAAATGCTGGGCCTATGACCCCAGCAGGCGGCCCAGGTTTACTGAACTTAAAGCTCAGCTCAGGTAGGAGTTGGCGGGAGAGAGGGCCTGGGGGTGGGGGCAGATTATGCTGCTTCTCCTCCTTGCAGTAATAGCATTTTAAGGTCATTATATCAGTATGTCTAAGGCCGAACTATTTTTCGTTCAAATGCAATTACTTTTAAAATTGATTTGCATTTCTTTGTACCTTGCTAGAGTCTTAAGTAAATTATATCTTTAAAATTTTAATAAAGCTCCAATTATGGTCAAATCTCTCTCCCCTAGCTTCTGACTTAGCATGGCTTACAAGACCCGTAATAACTTAGTCCCGGCTTTCCTCACTAATCTCATCTAACACAACCCTCCATCTCTGTCTCCCTCACACTTTGTGATCCAGCAATACCTACTTATAATTCTCCTAACACAGCTCACTGCGTTTTCACATGCTGTCTTCACTCCCAGAAATCCCTTTCCTGACCTTTGCCACCTATAAACTTTTATTCAGTTTTCAGAACCCAGCTCAGATGTTACCTGCTTCAGGAAGGCTTCCTAATCAACCCTGCCCCGAAAGAGAGAATTACTCCTTTGCCACCTTTTGAATACTTCTGTTTTTATATTTAAAACATCCATTGCTTGTTCAGGTGCCATTTTGTGGCTACTACTTTGTGCCAGGTACTGTTAAACCCCTGGAGGAAGCACGCAGGGACATTAGTGTGCTGAATCCCTCAGAGAAGCATGTGCATACTCTACCCTGTTGCCTGGCCTGGAGAGGTTCTTGTTCGCTTGTGCATGTCCCCAGCTACACTCAGAGCTCTTGACGGGCATCATTGTGTCTTACTGATTTCTGTAGCCCCAATGCCAAGCTTAGAACCTGGCACCATATAAGTGCTCAATAAACATTTGTTGAATTGAATTGAATTGGAGTCTAGAATGAGACTTAATACTGTAATAAACAAGATACTGTAATATAACACATAGGCATGAGAAGCTTTATTATATAAACAATACCATGGTTCAGTGTGTGCTGTGTCACCTGTTTTCACACTTGGGGACTTCCTCCATTTTATGTGAGTTTTTATGGGTTTGTTTTTCATGCTGTATTTTAGTCTTTTTCCTAAAAATCATCAACTGCAGGGTCCAGGCCTTTCACCATCTAGCCCAGCCTTCTCACCACATGTTCAAGCTGTTCAACCTGCTAGACAGGATTCCTTTTAAGGAGAGTATTTCAAAGAAGAATTAAGACCTATAGGTAGAAGCACAAAGGATTCATCCAGTCTGAAAATGTTTGCTAAGCACCTTTGTTATTCTAAGCTAGGTTCTGTGGGTCCAACAGTGAACAAGACCCAATCCCTGCCCCCAGAGAGTTTAAAGTCTGGTGGAGGAGACCGAGGTATCACTGGTTATTACAATACAGTGAGCCCCACATTGGAAAGACCAGCCACGCTCTTGGTCTCCGTCCCCATAACTCTCACACACCGGCCTGGTTCTACTTTTCAAGGCCCCATAGAACAACCCTACTCTGCCTTTCACACGATAGGCCTTCAGGGTAATTCTAAACAGCTTCCTTACCTCCTCTTAGTTTCTTCAAGCCAAAAATCTTCAGTTCCTTAATTAATTCTCATATAACTTAACTGCCTATTCTCTCACCTTTACAGCTGGCTTTTGGACATGCTTTATTGCATGTTGTTTTGCTCCTATTTGTTCCTCCTTGATCTTTCCTCAGGATTTGACAGATTCTGTCCTTGGCATTGTTCCTCTCTGATACCAGTTCTATCACCCCACCTCCCTGGCATCTCTTTCTACCTCATTGACTTGCCATCTCTCCACCTTTACCATGAATATTAACCAAATTTCTGTTTTCAGCCTCTTATTTTCTCCCATTTTCTCTCATTACTCTTCCCAGGATGTCTGACCCATTCACATGGCTTTGCTGCTTACCTCTGTCTGTCTATAGTTCTGGTCCTGCCCTTTTCTCAAGTCCCAAACCTACATTTTAAATTGCTGGCTGGGCATCATGTTTATCCAGAAAGCAAGCTGTTACATTCTCTTCTATGCCAGCCCTTCCTCCTCACTTCCTCCAGGTTGGAATAGTGCCTTTATCTTCGGCACCATCTTGGAGTCATGCTTCACTCCTTGTGCCTGCCCCCCACCCTCCATCCCACGCTCTTTTCCCATCTGTCTGGCATGACCAGCTTAGTCAATCTTCCTGAAATGTCACTGGAAAAATAACTCCCCTGGTCAAAACAACTTTCAGTGGGGTTTTGTCACCTTTTATGTTTGGGTAAAGGCTTCCACAGTAACATTTAGGCCTCATTTCATTATGGCCTGAGATTGTCTTCTCATCCCTTTCACACACAGTAGCTAAACTAACCCTCCTGTCAGCCCAGAATGCCTCCTTCTTCATTTGGGGAGATCTTACCCATCTTTCTCGGCTTCTTTCACGCACTGGGTCTTCTGTGACTTCACAGCTGACTAGCCTTCACCCTCTGAGTCTCCAAAGCTCTTTGTTCTTCTTGTCAGGCTTACCCTATGCTGCTATAGATGGCTGCAACCCGTGTTCAATTCAGTTCGATAAACACTGTTGAGCACCTACAGTAGCTGAGCCTGGTGCTAGTCACTGGGGCAAAGATGACTAAAACACTTTTCCTGCCCTCGAGGAGCTCACAGTCTAGTATGTCTCATCCCCTACTAGACTGAAGCTCCTTGAGGACAGGGATGGTCATACTCACCTCGGTGTTGCCCAAACCTCCAGGCCAGTAGCCTAGCTAGCTAGATACAGGAAGAGTCACCCAGGCACTGAATTCAAGGCTTAGAACATATGAGTGATTCTTAATACTAAGGAATGCTCCACTGAGGTAAATTATCTCCAAAAAGTATCCAATACATATTTTTAGAACTACATATAATTACTTTAAATAGGTACCTGTAGTATAATTTATGGATATCTTCTTATATACTACTAGCACAGGTAGTTGAGCATTCATTCATTCTGCATTGTTCTGTTTTAGAAATGGTGTTTAACTTTGCGTTTTGAACATATACAATTAGGCTACCAAATAGGCCACCATTTTATATTATAAAATGTCACTATATAATATAATTGCTTACTTGGACATTTGCATATAACAGTGTATCACAATAACTAAATAGGTTATTAATTTTTTTCAAAATTTTTATTATTTCCAAGATTTTAACAAAGAAATAATAAGTTTGGATAGCCCTTTGGTCGTTAAAATTATGGTAGTTAAAAATGTTTCCCAAATCCCATTCTTCTTCTTGACCTCGAAAGAATTCTCCTTCCCTACCTTGAAAGAATATTTGCAAGTAGACTCAAATTACTGTGGGATTCCCCTCATCTTTAACTGGAGTGTATGCGTGTGTATTTTATTTTGTTGAGGCGGGGTCTCCTCTGTTGCCCAGGCTAGAGTGCGGTGGCACCATCTCTGCTGCCTGCAACCTCCACCTCCCATGCTCAAGTGATTCTCCCACCTTAGCCTCCTGAGTAGCTGGGACTACAGGCATGCACACCACACCACCACACCCAGCTAATTTTTTGTATTTTTGGTAGAGATGGGGTTTTGCCATGTTGCCCAGGCTGGTCTCAAACTCCTGAGCTCAAGCAATCCACCCACCTTGGCCTTTCAAAGTACTGAGATTACAGGCATGAGCCACCATGCCCAGCCTTGTATATTTGTTTTTGACTATATTAGTTGAGAAGTGATTTTTGGTATGGAACATGTTGGGCAAACTCATAGGAAAATCACCTTGGTCCTACTTTGATGAGGTGATGTCTGTGACTCAAGGAACCTGTCCTTCCTACATCCTGTTTACTTATTCATAGGTATGAATTCATTGAGAAGTAGAATGAGATTAACCTGCCAGTGGCCTATTATCAAGTATAAAAAATTCCTCAATAGGAATACTTTCAATTGATCAACAGTGAAATTTTCTTATAATGCGTACTCTAGCATTTTTGTGCTTTATGACTGTCAGGTTATAAGAGCGCACCAAATATTTTTTGAGTGAAAAATCATTTAGCCGGGCGCAGTGGCTCAAGCCTGTAATCCCAGCAGTTTGGGAGGCCGAGGCAGGTGGATCACCTGAGGTCAGGAGCTCGAGACAAACCTGGCCAACATGGTGAAACCCCGTCTCTACTAAAAATACAAAAATTAGCCCGGCGTGGTGGCAGGCACCTGTAATCCCAGGTATTCAAGAGGCTGAGGCAAGAGAGTCGCTTGAACCTGGGGAGGCAGAGGTTGCAGTGAGCCGGTATTGCGCCATTGCACTCCAGCCCGGGAGACAAGAGTGAGACTTTGTCTCAAAAAAAAAAGGGGGGGGGGGGTTTAATTTAATTCCTGGTTACTTCAGTTAATTCTTTGTTAGGTACTATGACAGGGAAACCATAATAAACAGCTTTATTATTTGCCTTTTTGCAGGTATGTTCAAAAATAATATGTCCCAACAGTACTCTTCTTGACTAAGGTGTTGGTACCACTATTTTAAAAAAGAACATCAGCTTTATCTCATATTAGAAAAATATTTTAGGTTAATGTTAAAATTCTTAAATATATTTTAGGCAAATTAGGGCAGTAAACACAATTATCACTTTAAAATTTTGTGTTATGATTTTTGTATATTTTAAAACTTTTTATTGATGTTTAATAAACACACCAAGAAGTGACAGCTTACTGGATTTCCACCAGTTGGATACAGTCTGTCACCAGCAACCAAAATGAAAATACTACCAGCACCCCAGAAATCTTCCACATGCCCCTTTCTAATCACTGTTCACCCTCCAAGGGTAACCTCTATCTTGACCATAGATTGGTTCTGCCTGTTTTTGAACATGATGTAAATGGTATCAGTCAGTACTTACTTTATATATATAATTTATTTTACTCAACAGTTTGTGGGATTAATCCATGTTATTCGTGTAGTTATACTCAATTCTCATTGTTATATAGTGTTCCATTTGTGAATATCCTATAGTTTATTCCACTGTTGGTGGAAATTTGTATACTTCTAATTTGGGGCTATCAAGAATATTGCTCTGTGAAGTAGAGAGGATATAGTAAGTGTTGTGTAAACAGATTTACCTGAGGCTTTATGTTCTAAAGAACACCAGTCTCAAGTATCACCTTGGAAAGCAGTCCATGATTTTGAACTGGTCTTCTATCATTGAGCTCTTTAGGAATATTTTTAGAACCAGTACCATGTGCATTGATAGCAAGTCTCCATCCTCTGCAGTTAGCTCTTCTAGTTATAACATTGAAATAACTAGTAGTTATAGAGCAATGTCTGTTGGCAGGCATTGTGCCATGAACTTTTATACACTATTTCATCTTAATCCTCACAGTCCTGGGGCATACTACGTATAGGTAGTATCTTCATCGTTAGTTTACGATGATGAGGAGACTGAAACTGTGTGGTTAGGCACCTGATAGAAGGACACAGAGCTGGAATTCAAGCTAGGTCCACCTGAGTCCAGAGCTTGAGCTATAAGCTGTCATGCTCTACTGACTGCCTTGATGTTTATTGGCTAGAAGTCATTAAGTGTGCCTGCCATCTTATGATTTGGACTGGTGAGCAGGTTGTTAATATTGGTTAGTTAAAAAGGAAAAAGAAAGGAAAAAAATACTATTACAGAGAATTCCTGCAGCTTGTTTTCTTACATTGTTTGAGTATCAACCAAAGTCCTTAAAAGGAATGGCAGCATCACTAGCAGATGCACAGAGGCCCTACCCACGGGCTTTGAGGGGGACATGGCTTCCTTTTGTACTTTCAAAGTATTTTCTTACTGGTTTTACTTGTTTCATTGGCATATTTTGAGTGTGTTGTATTTTGCTTCTGTGGAACACAATAATTTCACATACAGTGGGGAGCCGATTTGGAAGTTTTGAACAAGTCACCCAGAGTTGACTTCAAGCAAATCAGAGCCAAGCCATGACACGGTGTCATCCAGAGAGCCTGCTGGGAACCGCTTGTATATAGAGCTTTCACTCCAGCTGGGGGGTGTTGGGAGTTTTTGTTTGGAGTTTTTGTTTTTGATTTTGTGCGTGCGTGTTTTTTTGGTTTTCAGTTTTTAGTTATTTGTCTTAACCATGTGCTGTCATGTTTTGCTTCTTAACTTTATCAAACAAAACCAGCCTTTGGGAGAGTGTTTGGTCAGGGTTATAGCTTAGCTCAGCATGGGTGCAGACAGATTTTCTTACTTTTTTTTTCATATCGCTTCTCAGTATCATACCTAAGTGAAGCTGCAAGGCATCTAAGGAACACAAACTATTTCAGTTGATCTGTGAGACTGCCAGTTCAAGCTATTATAGCAACACCTTGAGAGTAAATGGACATGTGTGCGTGTATCAATTTTTCAAAGAATGTTTAAAAGATTATGTGGCCTTGGGCAAGTTACTAAGCCTCCCTTGTAAGAGCAGGATCACAAATACTACCCATATTCTCAAGATTAAATAAATAATCTGGCCGGGTGCAGTGGCTCACGCTTGTAATCTCAGCATTTTGGGAGGCCAAGGCAGGTGGATCACCTGAGGTCAGGAGTTCAAGACCAGCCTGGCCAACATGGTAAAACCCCGCCTCTACTAAAAATACAAAAAAATAGCCGGGCGTGGTGGCAGATGCCTGTGAATCCCAGCTACTCAGGAGGCTAAGGCAGGAGAATCGCATGAACCCAGGAGGCAGAGGTTGCAGTGAGCCGAGATCGTGCCACTGCACTCCAGCCTGGGTAACAAGAGTGAAACTCTGTCTCAAACAAACATATAAATAAATAATCCATGTCCATTGCTCATGGTAAGCACACACACTGTGTTAGCTAATTTAGAAGTAGGTAGTAGTAACAACAGAGATTTTCCTGAAAATCCAGAAGGGACCTGGTGATCTTAGAGTACAGAAGAGTTACCAGTTATAGTTAGACATCCTTAAAAATATATAGTTATTTGTATTTAATTTTAAGGTAACCAGTAACAGAATCGTGCAAAATTATGAGCTTTGGAATGACAGATCTCACTTTGAATCCTGGCCCCACCACTTAATATCCTTGGGGAACATCTTTAACTTTTCTTTTTCTACTTTTTTTTTTTTTTTTGAGACGGAGTCTCACACTGTCATCTAGGCTGGTGTGCTGTGGCGCAGTCTTCTGCTCACTGCAACCACCACCTCCCTGCTTCAAGCAATTCTCTTGCCTCACCCTGCCGAGTAGCTGAGATTACAGGCGCGCACCACTGTGCTGGGCTACTTTTTTTTGTATTTTTAGTAGAGACAGGGTTTCGCC
Source organism: Homo sapiens (assembly GCF_000001405.40). Classification (NCBI taxonomy): domain Eukaryota; kingdom Metazoa; phylum Chordata; class Mammalia; order Primates; family Hominidae; genus Homo; species Homo sapiens. The sequence goes on along the minus strand of NC_000008.11, from coordinate 140,728,013 downwards.
ATGTTGGCCAGGCTGGTCCTGAACTCCTCACCTCAAGTGATCAACCCTCCTGGGCCTCCCAAAGTGCTGGGATTACAGGTGTGAGCCACCGCGCCCGGCCGTCTTTCTCTACTTTTCTAAAAAGTGTAGTACTCTTTCTACTCAGTAGCTACTTTCTAGGGTTCTTGTGAGATTTGAATGAGTATTAACTATTCTTATTATTCAGATAATAAGAATACCAAGATACTTGTTATCAAAATACCAAGCACATCTTTTTGATGTTTTATAGATGTATTATAGAGATATGAATTTTAAAATATTAATCTGTGAACAGCATCTTAAACATGTTTAACCTGTTTTGGATTCTTCCCTTATCCCACAACACGAACTTTAAATTAGAAGTTCTAGGTTTGATTAATGACATGAAATTGCTTGTACTACTGTGTTTTTTTTAAGCGATTTTGTATTTGCTTCCAAAATTCCTTTCAAAGGTGGTGTCTAAATTCCTCCTTAGTCATTATACCAGTATTTTTTTTTTTTTTTGCATTGCTATCCTATTGGGTCTAGATATTATCTAGAAGACTAAGCTGTTTCACAATTATAGCTACGTACAGTTAAAATGTTCACAGCATGTGAACTTCAGGAGTTTTTTGTTTGTGTTCTGTTTTGGCCCGCAGTCTTCCCAGTGATAAAAAACAAACTGCAAATCTGAATTTAATAGGAATTTAATGTAAAACGTAAATTGTTTCTACTGAAAATTATTCTTAGCTGCTTCATATCTAACAATAATTCTTACCCCTTTTTGGTTCTCACCCACACGTCCCTATCATAGTTCTGTCTTTGCACAATTTGCCAAAGTGCACAATTTGGCACTTTGAAACCAATAACTTAACATCCACCTCTCTTTCTCTGCCTTAACCTTTTTCTCAAACTTGCATTTTAGCAATACCTTTTGTATTATGTTTTCAGTGCTTGCTCTGGGAATTACAGTATACATCTTAACTTTTCATAGTTTAGTTAGAGTTAATCATTGTACTTCATATAAAATGTAGAAACTTTGCCAGCAGGAATGTCCATTTACCACCACCACCTTGGTCCATTATGCTGAAATTGTCATGTATGTTACATTCACATATGCCATTAACCCCACAAAATTAGTTTATGATTTTTATCTTAAATACCATTTTAAATAAAGTAAGCAAACTCACTCTTCTATATTTAACTTCGTACAGTGCTCCATTCTTCTTGAAGAGCTTATTTCCATTTGGTTTCCCATCAGATGAATAATTTTTTTTAGCATTTCTTGTGGTGCAGATCAGTTGGTGGTGAATTCTATTAGTTTTATATTATCTAAAAATGAGTTGAACTTAACTTTGTTGATAGGAATTTTGGGTTGACAGAGTTGTAATTTTTTTTTTCCCCAGCACCTTAAAGATGTTCTTTTACTGTCTTCTGCCCTGTTATGTTTAATGAGAAGTCACTGGCCATACAATTGTTACTTTGTATGCAGTGTGTGTTTTTCTCTGGCAGCTTCCATGATTTTCTTTCTTTGATTTTTCAGCAATTTAAGTAGGATGTGCTTGGGTGTGGTTTTCTTAATGTCAGTTGTGTTTAGGATTTGCTGAGCCTCTTGAATCTATAAACATATCTTTTATAAAATTTAGAAAAACTTAGATCATTGTTTCTTCAGATACATTTTTCTGTTCTATTTTCCCTCTCTTCTGAGATTCCAGTCGCACGTGTGTTAAGACTTCTGATGGTGTCCTTCAGGCTGAGTCCCAGAAGCTCTCGTTGTCACCTTCTCTTCCCCTTCCTCTTCCTCCTCTCCCCATTCCTGACCTTCCCCGCTTCAGATTGAATCATTTTTACTGACTTACCTTCAGGTACCCTAACTCCTTTTCTGTCATCCCCATCCTACTGATCACTTCATCCAATGGAGATTTTATTTCATATACTGTATTTTTTGGTAATAGAATTTTTGTTTGCTTCTTTTTTTTGTATTCTGTTTCTCTGCTGACATTTCCTATCGTTTCATCCATTATGAATAAATTTTCTTTTATACCCTTGAATATAATAGCTTCTTTTAAATCCTTGCTGATTTCAACATCTGAGTCATCTTTAGAATCAGCCTCCTTTAATTTTTTTTCCTCTTGAGAATGGGTCACATTTTTATGGGTTTTTTTTTTTTTTGTATATCAAGGAATGTTAGATTATATCCTAGACATTGTGGCTGATGGGTAGGTAGCAGAGCCTCTTTCCGCTGTGAGCAGCAGTGCAAATCTCTGTTCCATTATTTTAGCCTTAGCTGGGCTGCTTGGAGTCTGCACTGTGTGTGCATGATTCTAGGATCAGCAGAGATGTGTGCAGAATATATACTCAGAATTTGAAGCACTCCTTCTCTGCCTGTCTTCATTCTGGGATTTCTCCCTTCACTTTTTTCCGATTACCTTTTTGCTAGCTATAATTGCTCCAAACTCATTTCTCTGGTTATTCAAGCCAGTAACACTGGCGCCTGCCTTCTCACTAATGGCCACTGAAAAGTGGGGACCCACCCAGTGCCGTTCTCTTCCTTCTCATGACAGCTCCCTCCAGAATCTGGCTGCCTATGGTTGCTCTCCCATGCTGTCACAGTTGTTTCTTATATCCAGAGTATACAGTTCCTGTCTGCAAGAGGGTTGGTCAAATAAGAGCTACTCACACGTAGCAGAAACAGAAAAAGGTGTCAACATTTTAAAGTAACATTTGCGGTGGCTCATGCCTGTAATCTCAGCAACTCAGGAGGCTGAGATGGGAGGATCACATGAGCCCAGGAGGCCAAGGCTGCAGTGAGCCGTGATCGAGCCACTGCACTCCAGCCTGGGTGACAGAGCAAAACCCCAATTCAAAAAATAGAAAAAAATAAAGGTACAGTCTTAGTGGATATCAGGGTTTTTTTAAAAATAATTTTGAGATCGATACAGCACAATAACCAAACAAAAGACTTTATTTACTGCAGTTGGAGAAGCAATGAGAGAAATATGATTTCAATATATCCATGAAGCTGGATTTCCAGTCCACCTGGAGACTAAAGGCCATAATCTCCAGCATCACTGCTTAAGAGAAAAGAGAAAAAGAGCAGAGGCATAAGCAGTAATGCTGTGATCATGGCCTTTAGCTACTAGGTCAGCTACTTCCAGGTATGCCATCCCTAGCTTCATCTCAAACCTCAGACTTGTTTTCTGCAAAGACGGTAGGGTTTTGTTTGGTTTTGTTTTGTTTTTAAAAGGCCAATTCCATTCCTTTGTGGTGAAGCAGCGTTGACTAATTATAAGAAATCATGTTTCAAAACTGGTATTCCCATGAACTTGCCAAAACAAGCCAGTTCCCGCTTGACTTTTTTCCCTTCAAATTTATTGCTGTTCTCTCTCTGGGTGTTTTCTAGATTAACTTAAATAACTGCAAACCCAGACTGATTTTATATCCAAAGCAAATTTTATGATCAGGATCATAAAACAGATCCTTAGTTTTACATGATTCCTTTAAGTATCAAAATCCAATCTTTTTTAAAAAGTTTTTCTTCCCATATTTAATAAAGCAAAAAGTATTTATTACATTTAAAAGGAGAAATGTTTTGTATTTGCAAAGAGAAAAGTTAGTAGTACAGTCAGTCTCAGGGAAAATATTACAGAAATGAAGACAAAAACACAGTTCTTTCCTAGTGGTAAATGAGGCAGGTAAAATACAGAGCTAATTAACGTTTACTTAGAAGTTTACTAATTTTTTATTAATACATATGTTGTTTTTCCATTCTAACAATAGTTAGGGTAGACTGTGATTTTTACTTGTAAATGACAAAACAGGTTCAAGTAGGCAGGATCTCCTCTGGAATTGCATAACTCACCAGAGAAGCAGCTTGTTTATCTATCTGTTGCTTCTTCTGGGACAGCTTGAAGAAAAACACTCAGAATCAATTGGCCTTTTCTACTTCTGAAAATTGCCTTTGTTGGAGCTGTATTTTTGTGTCTTAGCTGTCCATACTGGAAATGAAGGACTACTTTCTTGCTCACCATCAAGTTGTATAGGGAATGTTGCAGGCCAAAAGAAGAAAATCAGAGCAACTGTTTTTATGTCCTTTTACTGTGAACTGATCACTTCAATGATTTTATTTTAAAGTAAGAGAAGTAAAAAATAAAACTAACACTAAATAAAGTACTCCTTTCCCCGCTTCAGGATTCTGTTCCTCAGTGGTGCACGTGGATCAATAAAGTGTAATTATCATTGTGCTAATGTTTGTTAAATGACAAGTCTCAGCTTTCATTGTTCCATCTATTTGCAAGTTTGAGACTTGGAAACCACCATTCTGGGAAAAAACATGAGGGCTCATTTGTTGCCAGTTCACATTAGGCAGCTAAGAGCTTTCAGATGGAATGTATTGCTACTAAAAATATTTATAGTTTGGGAAAATATGCTTCAGTTTGACCTCCTTGATACTCTGCACATTCTAGTTTGTTACTGTGGATTCTTCAGCAGCTGTAAAGAGAAAAGTTCAGTACTGTCTCCTTGTGCCCTCCTACTCCATCTATGGACTAGTCTTCCCATTGTAAAAACAGATATTTTTTATGAGTTATTTATATTCTTGGTTCCTCTGAGCAGCAAATTATGGTTTCTCAGAAACGTTTTGACAGGCTATTTTGGGTATGAGAATGAAGTAGTGAGATTGAAGGAACTTGCTTCCCAGTTGTCATTATGTTCTTTGAGGAACAACTCGGATGTTTAATTAAATATCAAAGTGTCTATAATATGCAAGTGATACTTAGCTTACAAGAGAAATTAGATTCATGTCTGACAACTGTAGGGAGTTTACAAGCTAAATTCCACAACATGGCAATATGTGATTAAGGGCTGAAATGAAACATTCAGGCAGTAAATTCAGTGGGTCAGAGAATAGGGGAAGTGTGTGTAGGTAGAAATATCAGGGCAGATGGAGCCTGAGAGAGTCTTCTTGTGGCAAGGGACTCCACAGGGTCCTTTTAGAGATGCTTGGGGAAAACAGTAAGTAGCCTTAAGATCAGAGTGGCCCATTTCACAAAACAATCTGTGTGAAATAACATTGCCTGATGAGAACCCATTTAAAACTGAGTTCCCGTTGCCTTGAAGAATATGTCCCACTTAGCCTTCTCTTAGCTTGCCTTTATTTTAATTATTTGAAGGAGTAGAAGAAAAGACACTTGTTTTCCCCAATTTTTTTTCTTGATTTTTATGGACTTTTTACCTGTTTAAAACTAAAACTTTTACAAACTCTGACTGAGGGTGTGGTGTTTATTTTAAGGGTGAGGCAATAGAGAGCAGGGCACTGTAAAACCACTAACCAGGGATGTGCTTCTCTCTCAGGCCAGCTAGGCCTTCTTTGCTCCTGGTCTCTGACTGGTCTCCTGCTCCCAGTGACCATTCGCAGGTCCTTTCCTGTTTGGCCAGTTGAGAGAACAGGGGCTGGGCATGGTGGCTCACATCTGTAATCCCAATACTTTGAGAGGCTGAGGTGGGAGGATCACTCCAGCCCAGGAGTTCAAGACCAGCCTGGGTAACACAGTGAGATTTTTATTTATTATTTAATTGTTACAAAAAATAAAAAAGAATCAACCAGGCCTGGTGATGCACCTGTAGTCCCAGCTACTCGGAGGGCTGAGGTGGGAGGATTATTTGAGTCCAGGAATGATCGTGCCACTGAACTCCAGCCTAGGCTACAGAGTTAGACCCTGTCTCAAAAAAAGAAAAAAGAAATTGGCCAGGCACAGTGGATCACACCTATAATCCCAGCACTTTGGGAGGCCAGGGCAGGGGGATCACTTGAGCCCAGGAGTTTGAGACCAGCCTGAGCAATAATAGCGAAACCCTGTCTCTTTAAAAATAAAAATAAATTTAAAAAGAACAGGAAGCTTGGTAATGTGCTCTTCTTCACTAGTCAGTAGACCTGCTCCACTGATAGGGCTTTATTCATCCATTTACCTGTCATTTATTAATTCCTATTATGTTTCAGGGTCTGTGCTAATTCTGAGCATTTGAAAATGGGCCTTCAGGTAACAACTTTTGGCCTAATGGGAGCAAAAGTCAAACAAACAGATATTTACAATGCCTTTTGGCAAGAGTTAAGAGCAAGTTAGGCACTAGTTTCTTTGGAAGAGAATAAGGAGAGTAATGTAACTTAGCCTAAAGGGAGGAGGGAGCTTCAGGGAAGATTTTTCTGGAGGAACTACTATTTGACACTTGAAATACAAGTAGGAGTTGGCCAGAGAAAGAAGAGAAAGGTGTTCCAGGCAAGAGACACAACATAAAGAGGCATGGGAGAGCATAATGACTTCGGAGAACTTGCCAGGACATAAAGGAAGAAGGTGTATAGGTGAGGAAAAAGGGAAGTGAAGCGAGATTAATCACTTCACTTTTAAAAGCAATGGTAGTTCCCGCCATGTGTGCACATGCCCTAGCTCTAAAAAAAAAAATACATATTTTTAACTCCTTTAGCAGCCTTTTGAGGTATGGATTTACTGGTGTTTTATGATCTAGAAAGTTAAGATATACCTTCCCACATTTTCATTGGTAAATTCTCAGGACTGGGTGAAGCTATATTACCTCATACCAAAGTATCAACTCCTATTCCTTATAGTTGTAACATCTTTACATTTGTCAAGTTCAAAGACATTGTATATCAGTGACTGTTTTAGCAGGCATATTCTTGATCTGTTGGTTTGATTGATAGCCAGTCTTAGTAGTTGTATTGCTAACACTTCATAGGTGATTAGATGGATTTGTAAAAAGACATGGTTGCTCCTTTGTATCTCAAGCTCTACTTGGATATTAACTCATTTGAAATACTTGCACAGGCATATGGTGTAAGCCTGTAGTCCCAGTTACTCTGGAACGCAGGAGTTCAGGACCAGCCTGAGCAACTTAGTACCATTCCATCTCTTTTAAAAAAAAAAAAATAAAGAAAGAAAGGTAGGAGGCCAGGCATGGTGGCTCATGCCTATAATCCCAGCACTTTGGAAGGCCAAGGCGGGCGGATCACTTGAGGTCAGGAGTTTGAGAGCAGCCTGGCCAACATGGTAAAACCCCATCTCTACTAAAAATACAAAAAATTAGCCAGGCATGGTGGCACATGCACCTGTGGTCCCAGCTACTTGGGAGGCTGAGGCAGGAGAATCGCTTGAACCTGGGAGGTAGAGGTTGCAGTGAGCTGAGATCGTGCCACTGCACTTCAGCCTATGCAACAGAGCAAGACTCCGCCCCAAAAACAAGAAAGAAAGAAAGAAAAAGACTTAGAGCTCTTTGTGGGAATGGTAGCCATTAGTTACACAGGATATTATCTGATGGGGAATTTCTAATAGTTCCTTCTATTTTTTAAAAGCTTCTTGCATTTCAGAGCTCGTCACATAGGTTGTCTAATTTTCATTTAGATATTCGCAACAACCCTTCAAGATAGGTAGTTAGGGAGGTACCCCATTTTGTGGATGAGGCTTGGAGGGACAGAGTTGTCCATGGTCATCTAACCTGTCTATGGTAGAATTTAAACCTGATGTCAGTGTGACTCAAACTCCTTGAGTTTGATTGAGCCTTGCTGTTTTCCCATCCGGTTTTTTTTTTAACCACTAATGATCCCTGAATTTACTCAGCTTAGTTAAACATCTAATAGATCATGATAATGCATGTATTTTATCTATATGCAGTATTTGTTCATTTAGCAAATATTTAAGTGTCAGCTATGTGCCAGGCACTGTTTCAAAGTATAACAGAAGGTGTTTTTTTAAGTCATAAATTAAAATAAATAAGGAAAATTGAAATATAAAGGTATTTATTTTCACATAAGAAATGGACAGAAAGCATTGCTGTGCTTTGGTCATGTAATGCTCGTTACATTTCCAAAAGCACACAAACATTATGTGCTTGGTGTGAGTCTGTAACTGTGACCTGCTGAGATGCTGTGACTCTTCCTCCCAAACCACCCCCAGTGCCTGGGACAGTGTCCTCTCCCGCTTAGTTCTGCAGCTAGAACGTACCAGGCCGAGCTCTTCTCTAGTGCTCATCACAACATTTGTGTCCTGTTTCAGGGTGTTTGTTGTTGTTGTTGTTGTTGTTGTTGTTTTTGATTTTTTTTTTTTTTTTTTTTTTTTTTTGGTGAGACAAGTCTCACTCTGTCACCCAGGCTGGAGTGCAGTGGTGCTATCTTGGCTCACTGCAGCCTCCACCTCCCGGACTCAAGCGATCCCACCTCAGCATCCCAGAATGCTGGGATTACAGGCATAAGCCAACTTGCCTGGCCCTGTTTCAAGGTTTTGAGTTTTCTTTTCTGTTAGAGCACCTCAAAGACCTCGTCACGTGCATCTTGCACAGAGCAAGTTAGCAAAGTTAACAAATACTTGCTGAATGAGCAGCCCTCAAGTAAATGCCATCAGAAATACCCACTGATGACAACTAACGCTTATAGCAGATGCTCTCATAGCCATGATCTCCCTTAATCCTCCCAGCAGCGGAGGGGAGCGCTCTTCTGATTGGAGGGGCAGGGCAGAGAGAGTGGCCCTCTCAGGACCCCTCTGCTCCTTCCCCAGACCTGGCCCCAAACTTCCCTGCACCACTCACCAGGACTCACCTGGGCCTGGCACATGGGACCAGGTTCCCAACAGTGCTGGCACCCAGTGAGCATCTTGCCTGTCTGTCAAGGCTGCTGCAGAATTCTTAAATACTGTGAAGAGTTTTGTGGTGTTTGCTCAGCCATGATCATCTAACTGGAGCAAGAAAGAAACCAAAATCGTATCTTGAGAATGGAGTGGGACTTTTGATTAAAAGCTTTTATGTAAAATGCTTATGTGATTTTGGGGGTTTTTTTTTGAGGTGGAGTCTCATTCTGTTGCCCAGGCTGGAGTACAGTGGCGTGATCTCAGCTCACCCCAACCTCCGCCTCCTGGGTTCAAGGGATTCTCCTGCCTCAGCCTCCCGAGTAGCTGGAACTACAGGCACGCGCCACCACACCGGGCTAATTTTTGTATTTTTAGTAGAGGTGGGGTTTCACTATGTTGGCCAGGCTGGTCTTGAACTCCTGACCTCGTGATCTGCCCACCTTGGACTCCCAAAGTGCTGGGATTACAGGCGTGAGCCACCATGCCCGGTCCTGATGTGATCATTTCTTGAGGCAGACATTCCCTTTTGTTTTGGGGATGAAAAACGTCTTAACATCTGTAGTGATGGTTTGCTGACTTGGGGCAGTTATGAAATACATTTTGTCTCTTTTCCTGACTCAGAAGGTGACTGTGTAAGTTGAGTTGTGTGAGAAACAGCACATTCTAGCCTCCAGCCAAGCAGGAATGTCTTTTTAAACAGTTGAGCAAATTCCCAGATTAGAAAGTCTGGTGCACTGATGTCACTCTTTCCTGAGTAATTTTTGGGTGGTTGTTTACTGCACACTATCTACCAGGAGCCTAGAAACTTTGAATGAGTGTCATTATTAGAACTCTAGAGTTGTAGGAATGTAGGAAGAGCTGTTTGCCACAGTTAGGACGAGGGTTTCAAACTGTCTGCTGAGCCCTGGGGCATCTGCGTGGAATGGGAAACTAGCAAAGTCTCGCTTTGGCTGCATTCTGAGGGGTTTATGTGATGGCAAACAGCCAAGATGAAGAAGCTGCCTAGCAGTCGCTGCAGCGGCTGCAGCGTTATGTGGGACTTCAGATAGCTTCTGAGTAGTCAAGCAGTGGTAAGTAGCAGTGTTACCAACTTATGGGGTTTCCAGCTTAAAGCAAGTAGTATTTTCAGAAGCACTTGTAAATACTGTTGTGTTTTTGCTTATTTTCCTGATCAGATAAAGCACTGGTTAAGCTGAACGATAGGAAGATTGTATTGAGCAATTTAGGGAGATTATTGGCCAGATTGCTAATTGATCACGTAAGTGCTGGCGTGATCACATTAGGTGTGAAAAGAATCTGTCCTCAGACATGTATATGCTTGATAAAGTGCTGCGTGGGATTTCTCAGAGGAATTCTGTTCTGCTCAAGATAAACTTTGGCATGCAAACATTTCATCTTGGCCCATCCTTCATTTTCTGCAACCTCTTTTTCTTACCAGCTGTCTTTTTCTTACCTATGGCTGTGCTTTAAATGGACTTGCCCATTTGGACCAAGGCTATTCTAGAATCATTTCGTGGAGAGTTAGAAACCTGATCCTTCTTTCCCCTGTGTATAGGATCCTTTATTGTTATCATCTACTGTTAGCCAACTGGTGTTCCTTAGATAACTCAGGGTGGGGTCTAGTGTGTGCTAACTCTGGGTTGTCAGCTCCCCTAAGACAATGTGTTGTCTCTCTAGCACAATCCTGGAGGAAGAGAAGGCTCAGCAAGAAGAGCGCATGAGGATGGAGTCCAGAAGACAGGCCACAGTGTCCTGGGACTCCGGAGGGTCTGATGAAGCACCGCCCAAGGTAGCTACAGTCCCCACCCCAACTTTGGGGTTACTCTTACTAACTTTCAAGATTTACAGTTAGGCAGCTGTTTTCTATGAGGAGAAAGTCAAATATCAGGTTATTCTAAGAGTAATAGTTATAACACCAACTAATTGTTTCCTTTTTGCTCGTCTTCTCGTATTACCCTCATGTGCACTCACTTTCCTCATTTGTATTTCAAGTAGGGGCTCTTTGAAGCCATGAGCAGTTGGACAGATGTCATCTTAAAATGCTTTTCCTATGCTGCCCTAACTTGGAGGAGGTTTTTCCTTTGTTGATTGTCAGAGATCTCCCTAATGATCAAGTCTGGATTAAAATACCAGACTAGGTCACAGATGCTTTGCATTTTGCTTTATTTAAAAATGAGTCTGTCTCTACCTGACCATATTCCTTTGTTTTGTTTGTTGAGAACTCTGCACATTTTTTGCCTTTTTCTTTCGTAGCTGGTGGCTGGGTTGTTTGTTGGGAAAGAGAGCACATTGCAGTTGCTTTTGTTTCCTTAATAAGATCTTCCGGCAGCATCCTTAGACCTTACTTGCCCGCTTATGTTCTTATCCTTTACTGGTGCCCTCTCCTGCCTCGGAGAGGTCAGCCCAGGCCTTTTACAGTTGCTGGGCCATGCCATGGCTGGGGGTTTTAGCCAGAGTAACACTTGCCCTAGATTAATAAGTCTTTATATACCATTGGCTTTTGACAGGATGCTATTTTCACACACTGGGTTACTTGCCATGAATACTCCAGTTCTGTTCTTTTTCTCAAAAGTTAAAAGATAATAGGATTTTTTGTAGTTAGTAGTTATTAACTACCACCATTTGATATTTGACTAGTTAAAAAATATATTAAGAAACTTTGACAATTATTTTCTTTATGAAAAGTGTTCAGAAACCTGATAAGACAAAGTACTATTTAAATATACCAATTTTTTTATCTTGAAGGCTGAAAACTTTTACTTTCTTGGTCATCATTTTGAGCTCTGTAACAGTAAACGTACACTGAAAGTGAAAATAAGTGATTAACACAATTATGCAGAAGTTTAGAGACAGAGGGTGCCTCAGACCAGCCCCCTCTACAGAGAGAAGGACCGAGGCCCAGAGAAGAAACACATACCTGTCTGATGGATGTTACATTGAACGAGGCAGTGAGAACACCTGTCGTTTCTCTGTCATTCCCAGCTTAACAACAACAGGAAATCCTTAGTTACCCACAGAAAAAACTAGCACGTACCCCGCATCCCAGCATCTGAGGCCCTTCATGTTCTGTTTACAAGTTTGCCTATTTTTAAATTTGTTTACTACTGCAGAATAGTCCAGTACTGAGAGTCGGGAGAATCTCATCATTAACTTCTCAGGCCTTGAAGTCAAGTGGATTCATTCACATGGGGGTCTGCTATTTACATTCTGATGACTGAGCAAGTCACCTACCTACTCCAAATCTCACATTCCTTATTTACAAAATGACTATTTGTATTCCCTACCTCTTGGGTGGGGATGTTAAGAAGATAATTCACTGTACAGCACTTTATTTAGTACACAGAAGTGCAAAGTAACATAAGTATTTGGTAATGAGCACCAAAGAATGCAACACTTCCCTAAAACTCACAGGATTAAATCAACTCTTCATCTACACATTTTTCTATATCCCAATCTGTTGGATTTTTAGTGAGTTTAATATGACTAATTTTCCAAATTAGGTTCATGGGCAGTGGTGATGAGGCTTCTTGGCTTCTTTTTTGGTTTCAGAGTACAAAGACTAGATTGGCTTAAATATTTAAATATCCTTACACTTTTTTTTTTAAAAGATATTTTCAAAATATATATTTTGAGATTCTTTTCTATAAGCAGATTGCTGCACTCTACACAAAGGTTTATTTGTTAAGTAAACAGATGAGGAAACTATAGCCCACTGTGTTTTTGTTAGTTTTATTGAAACACAGTTTTATTGGAACACACTCATTTATTTGTATATTATCCACAGCTGCTTTCACCCTACACAGGCATAAATGAGCAGTTGTGGCAGAGACAGTATAGCCTACACAATTTAAAATATTTACTCTTTGACCTTTAAAGAAAAGATTTGGCAACCCCCAGATTAAAAGTTTTAATGGCGGCCGGGCATGGTGGCTCACCCCTGTAATCCCAGCACTTTGGGAGGCCGAGGCGAGCAGATCACCTGAGGTCAGGAATTCGAGACCAGCCTGGCCAACATGGTGAAACCCCGTCTCTACTAATATACAAAAATCAGCCAGCCATGGTGGCCGGCACCTGTAATCCCAGCTACTCAGGAGGCTGAGGCAAGATAATTGCTTGAACTCAGGAGGCAGAGATTGCAGTGAGCCGAGATCACGCCACTGCACTCTAGTTTGGGCGATAAAGTGAGACTCTCTCAAAAAAAAAAAAAAAAAAAAAAAAAAAAAAAAAAAAACGGTTTTAATGGCTAGAAAATCATCTAAAGTAGCATAGATATACAGATGCTTGATGATTATTAACAAATACTAATATGTTAATTGTTGAACTTTCATGCCAATCAGAATCAAGTCCTGTATGCAGTTTTTACCTTCTCAGTGTCCATCGTTAGAATCAAATTCTGCTTCTATGGTCACAGTATTTAGCACGTCTAAAATGAGTCTGTGATTTCCAAGATGGTAGGCCAGTATTTCCTCACTTCCTATACTTTGTGAAGTGAGAATTCAGTAGATTCTGGTGAGTTTTCATAATTCTGCTTGTGATATATTAGAATAAGTAAGTCTTACTTAGATTTTTTTTTTTTTTTTTTTTTTTTTTGAGACAGAGCCTTGCTCTATTGCCCGGGCTGGAGTGCAGTGGCGCAATCTTGGCTCATTGCAACCTCTGCCTCCTGGGTTCAAGCAATTGTCCTGCCTCAGGCCCCTGAGTAACTGGGATTACAGGCACCTGCCACCATGCCTGGCTAATTTTTGTATTTTTAGTACAGACAGGGTTTCACCATGTTGGCCAGGCTGGTCTCAAACTCCTGATCTCAGGTGATCTGCCCGCCTCAGCCTCCCAAAGTGCTGGGGTTTCAGGTGTGAACCACCACGCCCGGCTGTCTTACTTAGATTTTTTTTTTTTATTTCTTCCTTCCTTCCTTTCTTTCTTTTTTTTTTAAATAAAGATGGGGTCTTACTATGTTGCCCAAGCTCTCTTGAGCTGCTGGGCTTAAACAATCCCTTTGCTTCGGCCTCCAGAGCCACTTAGATTTCTGAAATTTAGATAGGATCTCAGGCTTCTGTAGATAAATTTTGTGTTATTAATACTAATATAGAAAAATTTTAATGTAGCTTAATTAGTTTTATAAGTGAAAAGTTTTGTAAGTTTTATAGGTGAAAAGTCTTTCTCTTTCCCAATCAAGATTCAAAATTAAGTTCACTTACAGGCCGGGTGTGGTGACTCACACCTATAATTGCGGTGCTTTGGGAGACTGAGGTAGGGGGATCACTTGAGCCCAGGAATTGGAGACCGGCCTGGGCAACAGGATGAGACTGTCTTTACAGAAAAATTTAAAAATTAGCCAAATTTAGTGGCGTGTGCCTGTGGTCCTAGCTACTCAGTGGACTGAGGCAGGAGGATCGTTTGAGCCCAGGAGGTCTAGGCTGCATGGAGAGTCATGTTTGCACCTTTGCATTCCAGCCTGGGCAACAGAACAAGGCCTTGTCTCAAAAAAATAAATCAATAATGAAATTTTAATTTTTTTTAAAGCTTACTTAGTTAATAGTAAAAGCATTATAACCACAAAGCCAATTATTAAGAATATGTATGGATCACTTCATCATACTTAATACCAATTTTTTCATATAATAATAATATTTAGAGAACTTTCCCTGAGACAAGCCCTGCATGGGAGTGTCCCATTAAATGCTCATTTTCATCTGTGCCTGTTGCTTTCCTGCAGATTCCCATTGGATCAATAGAGTGCCTCAGGATAAAAGTATCCTAGAACAGCCATTCTCAAAGTGTAGTCCTTGGACCTCTGTAGGTCCCCGTGACCATTCCAAAGGTCCGTGACATCAGAACTCATCTGATAATTATGTTAAGATATTATTTGCCTGAGGCAGGTGGATCACTTGAGGCCAGGAGTTCGAGACCAGCCTGGCCAACATGGCAAAACCCCGTTTCAACTAAAAATACAAAAATTAGCTAAGCAAGTTGGTGCCTGCACTTGTAGTCCCAGCTACCCAGGAGGCTGAGGCACAAGAATCACTTGAACCCAGGAGGCACAGGTTGCACTGAGCTGAGATCGCGCCACTGCACTCCAGCCTGGGAGACAGAGCAAGACTCTGTCTCAAAAAACAAAAGGATGTTATTTGCCTTTTCCGCTAATAGAGCTGCTGACACCTTAGCACAAATCAGGGCAGTGGGATGAAATTGTACTAGTCATCACTGTGTTCTTCACCCCTGTGCTCACACAAAAAGAAAAAAATGCTGTTTTACAGAAGAATGGCCTTGATGAAGCAGTGAAAAATATCTGATGTGAAGACATGGGAAGGGCATGTTAGCCCTGCTGCTGCACACCTAGACACGATGTCTTATCTTGAGGAAAGCACTATACAGTTGAGTTGCAAAGCTGGACTAAACACTTTTTTTCATGGAAGACCAGCTTTACTTGAAAGAACAGCTGGCAGACATACTGTTCAGAGTTGCATATTTGGTAGACATTTTCTCAAAAGAGAAAGAGGTGAGGCTGTGACTTTGAAGAAAACAACTGTTTGTTACCGGTATAAAATTCGAGTTTTCAAGCAAAAATTAGAATTTTGAAAAACTTATTACCGTGATCTTGACAGCTTTCTAAATTCTTAGACTGTTATAGTAAGCTCAGGATGGTATTAACATGTGATATTTTAAAAATATATGTTGTTTACTGAAATGTGTTAACATTGGGAGGATCTCTATAGCTCAGTAAATCAGTATCTTCCAAATGACCTACACAGGATGTTAAAAATCACACATGAGTAGAAGTTCCATTGAAAGTACAAGATAAATAGTGGATTTTTTTCTCCTTTTTTCCCCCCTTAATTCTATGGATTTTAATGTAACAGATGATACCATTGTAAATTCCACATTGCAACTCACCTTTAAGAAGCTACCACTTGCATTTTGGTGTCAAATCAAAAAACAATACCACAGTTGTGCCCAGAATCTACCAAAATACTCCTCCCTTTTCCAGTTGTACAGCTGTATGAGTTTACTTTTTTTCCCCTCATATATTGCAACAAAACAGAACATCGTAAGACTGCAGAAACAGATATGAGAACCTGCTGCCTTCTGTTAAGCCTAACATTAAAGCAGATTTACATCAGTGTAGATGTACATGTGTCCTTCTTCTCAGTTTGGTTTGTTTGGTTTTGAAAAAGTAGGTTTTTTTTTTTTAGTATGTGATGAGCTTATTCTTAAGTGAATTAATAAATACTTTTTAGTATCTGTTTTAATTTCTAACAGTATGAGTGTTGGTAGTTACATTCCAAATAAACAAAAACTCTTAGAGTCCTCAGTAATTTTTAAGACTGTAAAGGGGTCCTGAAAATGATTAAATGTTTGAGAATAACTGCCTCAGAACATTGTTCTTCAACCCTAATCAAACCCAGCACGGCATTTATATAAAAAATGATTTTATAATGTCCCATTTGCTAATCCTGAAATAAAATACATAGGTAATAGAATGACTTAGCAATTTCAAAATATCAATGGAGGAATACTAGTGTTTGGAGACCTAACTATACAGGAGAAATAAAAGGAAAGTCATTTTTTATAACATTATGCATGCATGTATAAAGCACTCAGATCTGATGACATTGGGAGACACGGTGGCATAGCCAGATCCTTACACCTGTTTGTGGACTCACCATGAATACAGCAGTGACAAAGCAGACCCCCACAGCTATAACTGATAGGAATTTCATTGGTCTTGGTGATGTCATTTTCTAGAATGGTAAGAAAATCTTGGTAAAGTTTAAATGAAACAAAATAAAATTGCCCATCAGTATACACAGTAGTTGCTGTTCTGGAAAGTTCAGTGCCTCATAAACTATACAAAATATCTATACAAACTATACAAAATATATAAAGCAGAATTCATTCTGTGTTCAAGTGACAGGGATTTTATTGTTGCTGTTGTTTTACTTACATAAAATTGAGAGAAACAGCAGAAAGTCCTGCGGGGGCCGGGCATGGTGGCTCACGCCTGTAACCCCAGCACTTTGGGCAGCCAAGATGAGCTGATCACTTGAGGCCAGTAGTTCGAGACCAGCCTGGGCAACATGGCGAAACCCTGTCTGTACTAAAAATACAAAAATTAGCCAGGTGTGGTGGTATGCACCTATAATCCCAGCTATTTGGGAGGCTGAGGCACGAGAATCGCTTAAACTCAGGAGGCAGAGGTTGCAGCGAGCCGAGATCACGCCACTGCACTCTAGCCTGGGCGACAGAACAAGACTCCATCTCAAAAAATAAAAATATAAAAATTAGCTGGGTGTGATTGCACATGCCTGTAATCCCAGCTACTTGGGAGTCTGAGGCATGAGAATCACTCAAACTCGGGAGGCAGAGGTTGCAGTGAGCCGAGATCGTGCCACTGCACTCCAGCCTAGGCGACAGAGCGTGACTGTCTCAAAACAAAAGAAAGAAGTCCCGCGGGATATGAAACAAATCCTGCTGTTCAGGCCTGTCCTTCTCATTGCCAGAAATCTCACATGCTGACCTCTACCTTAATGCCAATTGTGTGATCATGGAAAGCACCCTCACTAATACAGTTCTGCCTTGATATCTGCAAGGGATGGAGATTCAAATCCACAGATGCATAAATTCCTTATATAAAATAGCACAGAATTGCATATAACCTACATACCTCTTCCAGTATACTTATTTTTGTTGTTGTTGTTGGCTTGTTCTGTTTTTTGAGACAGAGTCTCACTCTGTTGCCCAGGCTGCAGTGCCATGGTGCGATCTCGGCTCACCGCAACCTCTACCTCCCGGGTTCAAGCTATTCTCACTCCTCAGCCTCCCAAGTAGCTGGGATTACAGGAGTGTGCCACCACGCCTGGCTAATTTTTTTGTATTTTTAGTAAAGACAGGGTTTCACCATGTTGACCAGGCTGGTCTCAAACTCCTGACCTCAGGTGATCTGCCCACCACGGCCTCCCAAAGTCTTGAACCATCACGCCCGGCCCATCTTCCCATCTTTCAGTATACTTTAAATTATTTTAAATATAGATACAGATTTTTTTTTTTTTTTTTTTTGAGACAAGGTCTCGCTCTGTTGCCCAGGCTGGAGTGCAGTGATATGATCTCAGGTCACTGCAACCTCCACTTCCTGGGCTTAAGTGATTCTCCAGCCTCTGCCTCCTGAGTAGCTGGGACTATAGGTGCAAGCCACCATTGCCCAGCTGATTTTCATATTTTTTGAAATATGAAAATCTTCTCATATTTTTTTCACCGTGTTGCCTAGGCTGGTCTCAAACTCCTGAGCTCAAAGCAATCTGCCTGCCTCAGCCTTCCAAAGTGCTGAGATTACAGACATGAGCCACTGCACCCGGCTTACATAGTTATTATACTTATCTTTTTGTTTGTATTATTTTTTATTGTTGTTTTTTGTTTTTTTCCTGTATGTTTTCAATCTGCAATTGGTTGAATCTATGGATGCTGGGCCTTTGGATATGGAGGGCTGACTGTACCCTAAATGCTTCTGAAGGAACAGTGCCATCCAGTTGAGGACCTCTGGTTTAGAATACCAGTGTCTTCCTTTCTCTCCTTCCTCATTAGGGAGAATTTCAGCAAAACTTCCCTGTTCCATATTTTGCTTCATTAAAATCCAAGTTTCTGTCTTGGAGGAGGAAGTGTCATGACCTTGCTAACTCATCGTACTTACCAGCAGTTGACACTTTTGGACTCATATGAAAGCCATTTTCAAAGATCTTGACATATATTAACATATTTAATCTTCACGGCAGCTCCAGGAGGTAGCTGCTGGTTATTGTACTCCTTTTATCATTGACAATAGGGAGACACAGAGAGCTGAAGCACCCTAACTGTGAACACTGACAGTCTGGCTCAAAGCCTGCCCTCTTGACCACCATGCTAACCTCTGATTTGTAGAGAACAGAAGTAGAGCTATTTTACCAATACATTTGCACTCTCCATGGCTGTTGGTTAGCAACATTTGATTTTGTGTTGTCCTTTGTGCAAATATTTTGTCTATCATAAAACATATTTTCAACTTTTTACCTTTTATTTTTATTTTGAAATGGAACCTTGTGTTATCATTTGCTACCCAGTTAAGTCTTTGCATCACTGTGAGATATTTTACATTGGTTTTGCCATTCTCTGATCTATTTGTTTTGTATGTTCCTTTTTATTTGGTGAGTCAGAAGTATGCTTGTCATAGAATAGCATCATGGCACAGTAGATTTTGGAGTCATGCAGTTCCACCATTACCACCTATATGCCCCTATTTAAATTGCCCAATTTATTTGAGACTGTAAAATAGGGGTTATAATATTGCTTCATAGCAATGTGGTGATCAAAATTATCAAATTGTATGTAAAGTAGGTAGTTCAGTACACACAGAATACACAGTAAATTGTAACTTTTTTTTTTTTTTTGCCTGAATTTATCAAGAGTACATCACTGTGCAACTGTCAGCTCTGTTTATTGTTCTGGTCCCTGGCTCTGCCTCCTTCCATTCTTGGACTCCAAGAGCATTTGATTCAGAAAACCCTTTCCCCTGCAACCATCATTAATGCGTATATATTAACACATATCTTTAAAACAAGTACCAAGGTAGCCGAACTCTTTTTTTTAACCTCTTTTAATTCAGCACAACCACTTTGTAGAACACACTTTGGAAATTGCCACCCTAGCACACACAGTAGAGAAAAGCCTAGAATGCTCTCTTTATACCCTTTTCCTGTTTGGGGTGTTTTTGGGGGAATTCATGTTGTTATTTAGTTAAGTTTAGAGTAGACTCTTTCTGGAACACTGTTTGAAACGTGACAGGGTTAAGCCAAAAGGAAGGATTTTTCACCCTCAGGAATTTAACAGCTCATAATAGCAGGGCTAGAGCAAGTGCAAAAGTACCTGCAACCGAAGGTAGGGTGTGAAAAAGGCCTCCTTAGGAGAGCAGAGGACATATGTTTATGTTAGGCTGGCAAAATCACGAGCTGTTGCGTGAAAGAAGTAACATCTAAAAGACTGAAAGGATCAGAAGTATACTACAGATGGAAGGAGGAGACATTCCAGGCAGAGGGGACAGTATAAGCAAAACTGAGGGGGAAATGAGACAGATTTTAGAGACCAAAACATACTCCGGACCTAACTAGAGCAAAGCACGTGTTCACCCAGCACTGTGGGAGAGAGAGACAGACACTAAGGCGTTTTCTTTCCTAAGCTTGTTGGAACTTAAATCTATTTCCTTTTATTCTGTACTTAATTTGGCTAGACAGTAATGGGTTTCCACCTTGTTAAACCCCCCAAGTTTTAAAAGACTTTATTGACTTCTTTCAGACTTCTGTTTCAGACTAAATTGTTCTTTCACTATGAACTTTGAATTCATTTATCCCACAAACAAAATGAGAATTTAAGACCTGGAAGTGACTTTAGAGATCCTGTAGCTCACCCCCATCTTATGGGTGAGGAACTAGAAGCCAGTCAGTTTCGTCACTTGATCACAGTCACGCAACCGGGAAGTAGTCAAACAATAGAACACAAGTGCCTTCTCTCCAGGTCCCAGACTACTGGACAGAGAGCATTTGGGTCCCTCAGGCTCAGAATATTCAGTATCCCATTTTGTTATTAATGATACTTTAATAGCTTTATTAAGATACAATTTACATACCATACAATTTATCCATTGAAAGTGTGCAGTTCGGCTGGGCACAGTGGTTCACTCCTGTAGTCCCAGCACTGTGGGAGGCTGAGGCAGGCAGATCACTTAAGACCAGGAGTTCAAGACCAGCCTGGCCAACATGGCAAAACCCCATCTCTACTGTAAATACAAAAATTAGCCTGGTGAGGTGCCGCTGCCTGTAATCCCAGCTACTTGAGAGGCTGAGGCACGAGAATCACTCAAACCCGGGAGGCAGTGGTTGCAGTGAGCCGGGATTATACCTTGCACTCCAGCCTATACGGCAGTCTCAACTCAAATAAATAAATTGTACAATTCGATGTTTTTTTAGTATATTCAGAGTTGTGCAACCATCGCCACAACCAGTTTTAGGACTTTTGTTTTGTTTTTAGTAGAGACGGGGTCTCACCGTGTGATCCACCTCGGCCTCCCAAAGTGCTGGGATTATAGGCGTGAGCCATAGCGCCCAGCCTATAACATTTTTATCACCCCCAAAATGAAATCCTTCACCCATTAGCAGTCATTCCCCATCTCCTCCTCCTTCCAACCCCTGGCAACCACTTATGTACTTGCTATCTATATTAATCTTTCCTATTCTAGATATTTCATTAAAGAAATCATATGTTCTTTGTGACTGGCTTTTTTCACTTAGAATGTTTCAAAAATTCATCCATGTTGTAGCATGTGTCAGTATTTTATTCCCTTTAATTACAAATAATGTCCCTTTCGTAGGTATACAGCATTTTGTTTATCCAGTTATATCAGTTGACGGACATGGACTGTTCCCCCTTTTTATCTATTGTGAATAATGCTGTTAAGAACATTCATGTACATGTTTGTGTTTACTTAATTTGTTTTTTTCAAAGGTACAGTCTTGCTACGTTGCCCAGGCTGGCCTCTAATTCCTCGGCTCAAGCAACTCTCTCACTTTAGCCTCCTGAGTAGCTGATCTACATGTTTTTGTGTGGATATATATTTTCATGTCTCTGGACTTTACATATACCTGAAAGTAGAATTGCTGGATCATATACTAATTCTTTATTTAATTTTTAAGGAATAGCCATACTGTCTTCCATAGTGACTACACCATTTTACATTCCCAACAGACTGGCCTGATTGGTTTTCAACTCCTGGCCTCAAAGGATCCGCCCACCCCAGCCTCCCAAAGTGCTGGGATTACAGGCATGAGCTACCATGCCCTGCCCAAGATATACTCTTAAGTTTTCTTCTAAGAATCTTAGTTTTTAACTTTTACATTTAGACCTGTACCTGTAATTCATTTTGAGTTAATTTTTGTGCATGTGGGAGGAAGAGGTCAGACTTCAGTTTTTCACATGTAGCTATCCAGTTGCCACAGCATCATTTGTTGAAAAGACTGTTCTTTCCCTATTGAAATGTCTTAGCATCTTTTTATCATTCTTTTCAAGTAAGCTCTATTAGGAAAATGTCTTTTTCGATTCATAAAGTACAGGTTTGTCAAAATCAAAAGGTTCATTCATATGATGCTCTCTTGATTTTACAGCCCAGCAGACCGGGTTATCCCAGTCCGAGGTCCAGCGAAGGATTTTATCCCAGCCCACAGCACATGGTACAAACCAATCATTACCAGGTATGCCAGTCATTACAGATATAAACTGTGTTATTTTATTATTTAGCGCTTTTGGGGTAGAGCGGTACATTGTGCATATTTTTATTTATGTACTTATGAGTATGATTTGGCCGATAGAAAGCTGAGAAAGTGGTTACCCTAATCATTGAATGATGTTGTCTTGACACCCCACGCAGAAGGCGTTTGTTTTTCACTCCATCTTCGAGTGGGCAGGACCAGGGCCTGCTGCCATTCTTAGGCACGTTTTCATCCACTTGCTGTGGTAAAGGGCAAGGTGAAGCCAGTGGGCACACACACTGCAGAGGGAGTACTGAACTGGACAGTTTTTATGGAAGGCAAGAACAAAATTCAAAATTAACAGAACCCAGATGAAATACCATATGGACAAGTGTGAAAAGTGTTAGATTTATAGATAGATATCCTGTGCAAATTAGAAAAAATTATCCTTCAAAGAAAAGGACTTGACACAAAGTAAACAATTCATTTGTTTTTGAGAAAAAGTTATTAACTTTTACTGGGGTATACCTTACAATGCACAGGTCTTTGTTCCGAGAGGTGCATACCCCAGTGCATCCCATCCTCACTTCAGGATATAGAGCGTGTCTGTGACCCCGGCAGTTCCTTTGTGCCCCTTCCCATCAGGCACCTCCTGCCCCAGGAGCAACCATTCTTCTCACTTCTAGTATCAGAGGTTTCTGCCTGTTCTAGAATTTTATATAAATAGATCATATAGAGTGTGCTTTTTAGGGCTTATCTTTTTTTACTCGTAATGTCTGTAGAAGTCAGAGTCCTATTGAAGGTGTCAGTACTTAACCTTTCCTACTTCCTTCACAGAGTTGTTGAAAGCGTGGTTTAAATTAAGGCCTCTTGGGTCAAAATGGGCAAAAAATCTTAACTATTGGTACTTAACTGTCAGTAATAAGGGAGAATGTAAGCACTTTCTTATTGGAAAAGATATGTCAGTGGTAGTTTAGAACAGCAAATTTTAGCCTCTTTATCTAGCCGCCAGATTCTAATGTCTAATTCTGGAGCCCAAGAATAGCTTATTGTTAACAAGCAGCCTCAGTAGGTTCTGAGGCAGATGACTCAGACCTGTGTTTTGGGAGACACTGTTCTGAGATGGCCACTTGCCTGGCAGAGTCAAGAGTGAATCATTTGAGTTTTCGAGGGCACCTGTCTGTTCATTCAGCAAGGTTGCACTGAATGTTCATCTACTCTGCCTGGTACTATTCTAGGGACTGGGAATATGAAGACAAATAAAGTACTCTTTTTTCTCATGGAAGGAGCTCACAGGGCCCTTTGTCAGTTTGGATTACTACCATTTCCATAAGTGAAGAAGCCAAAACCCTGACCCAGCACAAGGGTCAGAGCAATGGGAAGTACGTAGGTGGCCTAAAGAAAGAAACCCCACCTCTATGATTGCTGAGAGACCCTGACCTCTGGCAGACAAGCAGATGGGCCCCAGGGGAACAGCCCGAGTCTGTGCCTGGCTGGTATGGAAAGTGAACTGGCCCTGAGTGGGAATTGAATACCAGCATTGTTTTGAGAAAACATGCAGCACCTGCTTAATGAGACAAGCTGTTAGCAGAGAGACAGTTCTCTTTGTGTCCCAGCAGGCCTGGTCTGCGGCACTGTCAAGATTTGAAACTCTAGTACGTGTTTGTTAGTGGCTGTCTGTCACCAGTGCAGTGGAAGCCCCTGAGAGTGGGGACTTGTCTCTAAGGGCTTAGAACGGTGTGTAAAAATGAGTAAATAGAGAATTAAGTAAAACATTGATTTTTTTCATTGAACTAATGTATGATTAACCTTTCCCAAGCCCAAATTCTCCTCTCTTGTAAATGAGACCAACTATGAGACATTTCCTGATGTTACTTCATTTTTAGCCTAAAGTGATCCTTCTACATGGTTACTATTATGTAGAAAACTGCCTTAGACCATTTTAAACCTCCTTGTTGTGAAAATTCCTAAATGTTTTCTGGCAATAATACATCCCTTTTCACCAGAAATCTTGATAGAGCATTTTGCATTTAGTAGCAGTTTTTATTATTATTTTCATTCAAATAAACTGTGAGAACTAACTATATGTCTTACTTGAAGATTCATTAATTTCATATTGTCCATATGAAATTTTGGTATAAATTAATGCCTAGAGACCTAATAAATGCACAAAACCTTTGTTGAAGGATGTGTTGATATTTGGAAATACGGTTTTGGCTGTGCTTTATCTCACTAAAAAATTAACTGACAACACCCACCATACAACACTAGCCTAATGAGGTGTGGAAACCAATACTGATTCTGTTCTCTTTCTCTTGATTGAGAGAAGGAACCATGTAAAGAAACCCATCTTATTTTCCCTCTGCCTTGAAATTTTTCTCTATGTCCAACTGAATGTCTTCTCTCTGCCTTAGTCATCATTGTTAGAACTTAAAGGTACGACTTACCCTACCATCAGCTCCCAGGTCATTAGAGGACAAACATTTGGGGGATTTTTTGTGTATTTTTGTTGTTGTTGTTATTCTTGTTGGGGGATAGTGGTTGTTGGGCAGGAAAGGGGATTTCTAGAGCAAAGTATGGCACAGACATTTTTGTGGCTTCCTGTTGCTTTTGCATCCAAGGATGGCCTGCCCTCATTATTTTAGTAAATGTGAAATTCCAAAGAAACAGTTTCTTGTTTTCTAGTATATATTTGCACTAGCTCTCTAATGCAGCCATAACAAATGTCCTTTCTTGAGATTTTAGCTGAGAGTCCATTTCCTTGCCTTATCAGCTTCTACAGGGCACCTACATGCCTTGGCTCATGGTCCCCTTACTCCATGTTCTGAAACCAGAAGTTTTTATTTTCTTTTTTTTTTTGAGACGGAGTCTCTCTCTGTCACCCAGGCTGGAGTGCAATGGCCCGATCTCGGCTCACTGCAAGCTCCGCCTCCCGGGTTCATTCTCCTGCCTTAGCCTCCCAATTAGCTGGGACTACAGGCTACTCCTGACCTTGTGATCCGCCTGCCTCGGCCTCCCAAAGTGCTAGGATTACAGGCTAGAGCCACCGTGCCTGGCCCAGAGCCAGCAGTACTAACTCTCTCTGACCCTTCTTCAGTGGTCCCATTGTCCCTCCCTCCTCTTATGCTTCCCTCTTGCACTTTTAAGGACCCTTGTAATTACACTGGACTCACTCAGATATCCCAGATACCCTCCCATCCCAAGGTCCTTGACTTATAACCACATCTGCAAAGTCTCTTTTGCCACGTAAGGAAACATATTCACATGTTCAAGGGATTAGAACATGGGTATCTTTGGGGGGCCATAATTCTGCCTACCACAATATTCTCTGTAATTTTAGTTTCCTTTGTGTGTGAAGCAGAACTGTGCAGATGTTATAGTTGAACATTACCTTGCCTCCTTACTCATTCACAGGTTTCTGGCTACCCTGGTTCACATGGAATCACAGCCATGGCTGGCAGCATCTATCCAGGTCAGGCATCTCTTTTGGACCAAACAGATTCATGGAATCATAGACCTCAGGAGATAGCAATGTGGCAGCCCAATGTGGAGGTAAATCGGGTGTCTTGGGCTTCAGTTTGTTAACTTATAAAGCATGGCAAAGCTGGGCATGGTGGCTTACACTTGTAATCCTAGCACTTTTGGGAGGCTGAAGTAGGAGGATTGCTTGAGCCCCAGAGTTTGAAACCAGACTGGGCAACATAGCGAGACCCTGTCTCTACAAAAAATAGAAAATTAGTCACGTATGGTGGTATGTGCCTGTAGTCCCAGCTACTCGGGATGCTGGGGTGAGAGGATCATTTGAGCCTAGGAAGTCGAGACTGCAGTGAGCCGAGATCATGCCACTGCACTCCAGCCTGGGCAACAGAGCAAGAGCTTGTCTCAAAAAAAAAAAAAAAGGTAATAAATAAAGCATGGCCTAAGGTACCTTTTATTTCTAAATCCTAAGATTTATTGATTTTAATGACTTTTTTTTTTTTTTTTTTTTTTTTTGGAGACAGAGTCTTACTCTGTCTCCCAGGCTGGAGTGCAGTGGCACGATCTTGGCTTACTGCAACCTCCGCCTCCCACGTTCAAGCAATTCTCCCGCCTCAGCCTCCAGAGCAGCTTGGATTACAAGTGCGAGCCACCACGCCCAGTTAATTTTTGTATTTTTTAGTAGAGACAGAGTTTCACCATGTTGGCCAGGCTGGTCTCGAACTTCTGACTTCAAGTGATCCACCCACCTCACCCTCCCAAAGTGCTGGGGTTGCAGGCTTGAGCCACCACACCCGGTCATATTTTAATGACTTAATTCAAAGATCAGGATACCCCATCTACTCAAATGCTTTCAGGTTTAATGAACTTTTTTTAACTAAAAGAACCCAGGGAGAAATACTAAAATCTTTAGTCCATTTATTTGAAAGGCAAAGCCCTAAGTGGACTATCGTCAGCATGTACATGAGGCCAACGAAGAAACAGGAAGACAGAGCATTCAGTTCTTTGGACCATGTTAATTTTTACTAAATTTTCTTGGTAAAACCAAGAACTACTCCTATAGTTTAAAAATTTATTTGACCTAGGTACAGTAACACAACCCATAGTTGCATCTACTCAGGAGGCTGAGGTGGGTAGATAACTTGAGCCTAGGAGTTTGAGGCCAGCCTGGGCAACATAGCAAGACCCCATCTCATTAAAAAGACAAAAAATTACTTATTTGAATGAAAGAGCATCTATAGTTGTCTGCTATTTATGTTCTTTTATTTAATATTTAATACTCTGTAATATGTATTGTATTTCAGCCTTCTATTACTTCTAGATTGTTTCTACTTTTTTACTATAAGTAACAATGTATTCTTTGCACATATCTTGTGTTATTTCTTTAAAATAGACCCTTACAAGTGAATCTGTGAGCTAAAGGATTGCATACTTTTTAAAGATGCTTGATGCACATTAAATTGCCCCCTACAGAAAAGTTATTCCCACAAGCACAGTATGAGAGATCCTGTTTCTCATACTTGCTGTTTTGCTTATCTTTTCTTGAAAGACACATAAAACAAGGTAAGAGCATAGGAATAGACTTATGAGACTGAATATGCTGTTTTCAACCCTTCTTCCAGGACTCTACAGTATTGGACCTGCGAGGGATTGGGCAAGTGTTGCCAACCCATCTGATGGAAGAGCGTCTAATCCGACAGCAACAGGAAATGGAAGAAGATCAGCGCTGGCTGGAAAAAGAGGAAAGATTTCTGGTAATTGTGTTTCTGAAAGGCTTCTTTGACTTTTTAAGCCCTGTTAGAGTCTACTATATTGCAAATTATTGCAAAATGTTATCTTTCAAAGCAGGAGAGTTAGTTTTACAACTACTTCTTAAAACTTGGAATAGGCCAGGCATGGTGGCCTATTTGGGAGGCTGAGGCAAGCAGATCACCTGAGGTCAGGAGTTCGAGACCAGCCTGGCCAACATGGTGAAACCCTGTCTCTACTAAAAATACAAAAAGTAGCCGGGTGCATGCCTGTAATCCCAGCTACTTGGGAGGCTGAGGCAGGAGAATCGCCTGAACCCAGGAGGTGGAGGTTGCAGTGAGCCGAGATCATGCCATTGCATTCCAGCCTGGGCGACGAGTGAAACTCCATCTCAAAAAAAAAAAAAAACTACTTGAAATAATATGGCTGGATGTGGTGGTTAATGCCTAAAATCCCAGTGCTTTGGGAGGCCAAGGCAGGAGGATCACTTGAGCCCAGGAGTTCAAGACCAGCCTGGGCAACACAGCAAGACCCTGTCTCTACAAAAAATAAAAAAAAAAATTAGCCAGGCATTGTGGCTCACACCTGTAGTCCCAAATATTTGAGAGGCTAAGACTGAGTCCAGGAGTTCTAGATTACGGTAAGCTATGATTGTGCCACTGCCCTCTAATAGATCCAGAATCCTATATCCAAAACCCTTAAGGGCCATGTGTGTTTCAGAATTCAGTATTTTTTAAATACTAAAAAGTTAGTGTAGTATGCTGAACATTATACATTATTTAAGACTCTAATAGCATCCCAGAGTTAAAACCACTAGTGTTTCTGCAGCAGAATGCAAATAATCACATTAACAGTTAAATGAAGATTATAAGATGCTTCATCGGTTCAGGTTTTACTACCATATTAGTTTGTTTCAAACATAAAAAACACACTTAACATTTTCAGCACTTTTTAGGTTTTGGAAATGAGGATAGAGGAATGTGGACCTGTCCATTTATTATCTTCATTTTAACAGAACAGGAAATAGAGATCTAGAGAGACCCTGGGCCACAGAGCAAGACTCTGTCTCCTAAGGAAAAAAAAAAAACTTGCAATAATGGGTTATTTGCTTTTTTAATTATCTTTTAGGGATAAATTTCTCTAAAATTTTAGTAGTGTCATTATGGGCTCAGAAATATGAGCATTTGTTTGGTTTTTGCATTACCACATTGTTTACCCAGAAACAACTCCTGCTTCCATGTCAGCTTACGTATAAACTATTGCATCTTGCTACTGCAGGCTGTATAACAAGACAGCTAAGATTTGCCTTCCTGGCATTTATGACTGATGTGAACCTCCTCCCGGATGTGTCTGGACATATGCATGGGAAATGTCTTCTTTCAGGCAACCCTTATTGAAAACCACTTCAGAAGTCCCTTGGGGACAGAGAGGAAGTGGTGGGACAGAGCAATCTCTGTATGTTACTTGACACAAAGGTCCTTTTAGACTCCTGGTCCCTGTTGCCAAGCAGTTCTATGCCCTCAGCCTCAGAACTAAGGACTGTGAGAACCCATTCCCCACTCTCCTTGAACCCAGAATAGCTATTTCAATCTTCCTGTAGTTGCCTCAATCGTATTATGGCTGAAAGAAGCCAGGATTCATAATTTTGAGCCAGTAACTTTACCTGGTCTCTCATGCTTTGTATCATTAAACATTCACTGACACTAACTTTGTGTTAAATTTAACTAATTTAGAATTTCGAAAGCATAGGATAAAACTTTCCTTCTGAATTAAAGCAAATCTTGAGATTGTAAGGCAGATGGGAAAAAAAAATTGTTATTTTTGGCCTGGCACGGTGGATCACACCTGTAATCCATCCCAGCACTTTGGGAGGCCAAGGTGGGCAGATCACTTGAGGCCAGGAGTTCGAGACCAGCCTAGCCCACATGGTGAAACCCCGTCTCTACTAAAAAAAAAAAAAAAAAAAAAAAATACAAAAATTAGGCAGGTGCAGTGGCTCATGCCTATAATCCCAGCACTTCGGGAGGCTGAGGCGGGCTGATCACTTGAGGTCAGAAGTTCGAGACCAGCCTGGCCAATGTGGCAAAACCCCATCTGTACTAAAAATACAAAAATTAGCCAGATGTGGTGATGCATGCCTGTAATCCCAGCTATTCAGGAGGCTGAGGCAGAAGAATTACTTGAACCCAGGAGGCGGAGGTTGCAGTGAGCCAAGATGGCGCAGTGTACTCCAGCCTGGGTGACAGAGTGAAACTCCGTCTCAAAAAAACAAAAATTAGCCAGGCATGGTGGCACACACCTGTAGTCCCAGCTATTCAGGAGGTTGAGGCATGAGAATTGCTTGAACCCAGGAGGTGGTGGTTGCAGTGAGCCAAGATGGTACCACTGCACTCCAGCCTGGGTGACAGAGTCAGACTCTGTCTGGAAAAAAAGAAAAAATATGTTATTATTTACTACCACTAATCTGAGTGAATTAATTTGGATATTATATCTATTCTAAGAACATATCTACTGTTCTCTAGTCCTACATTTTAAACCTATTTTTTGTCTAGATAGCCTCTTTTACCAGACAGAATTGATTTGTGTTTTTAAAAGTAGATATTATAAATTCTCCAAACTAGAGTTCTTGTATTTCAGTCCCACGTATGACTGCATTTGGACAAAGGGTTTGCTACCAAATGTTGTGGTACTGCTGTGATGTTGCTCTGACAAAGAAGAACATAAGGAAGAGCAGAAGAGGACCCTGTGTGTCACTAGGGGGACTTGGGGGAGGCAGCAGAGTATAGATAGCATTTGAGCCAAAGCTTAAAGGAGAAATTGGAATTTTTAGGGCAGACAGGCTCAGGAAATACATTCCAGGAAGAGCGAAGAGTGCGGGTAATGACATGGAGTCAAAAGGCTATATTCCAGCCAGGCACAGTGACTATAATCTCAGCTTCTCGGCAGGTTGAGGCAGGGAGATCGCTTAAGTCTAGGAGTTTGAGACTAGCCTGGGCTTAGCAAGACCCTGTGGCAAAAAAAAAAAAAAAAAAAAAAAAAAAAACAGTAAACCCTAAAGGGAGGAGGATCAAGTACCCAGAATTCCTACAATATATTATCTAAAATGTCTAATCTCCAACAAAAAATTACAAGACATACAAAGGAACAGAAATATATATGAATGATAGACAAAAGAAAAAAAGACTGTTCTGGCTGGGCACAGTGGCTCATGCCTGTAACCCCAGCACTTTGAGAGGCAGAGGTCAGGAGTTCGAGACCGGCCTGGCCAACATGGTGAAACCCCATCTGTACTGAAATACAAAACTGGCATGCCTATAATCCAGGCTACTTGGGAGGCTGAGGCAGGAGAATCGTTTGAACCCGGGAGGCGGAGGTTGCAGTAAGCCAAGATCGTGCCACTGCACTCCAGCCTGGGCAACAGAGCAAGACTCCGTTTAAAAACACACACACACACACACACACACACACACACACACACAAACCGTATTCTAAGAACTTCCTGTAGCTAGATGTGAGCAAAGCAGAGCATGTTTGTGGGGAAATGGAAAATACTTCTCACTATGTGGTGTTTTTTTTTTTGTTTGTTTTTGTTTTTAACTTAATAACCATGTAATTGGAGCATCTTCATTTGGTCCTAAACCTGTCTGTTGGGTAACCTCTGAGATAGTTTGCCTGGTGCTAAACTTGGAGGCCATGATGGCATCGAGGCACTTTCCCACTCAAGTACCTTTCCTTTTTTTTTTTTTTTTTTTTTTTTTCCCGGAAACAGGGTCTCACACTGTCACCCAGGGTAAAGTGCAGTGGCACAATCACGGCTCACTCCAGCCTTGACCTCCTGGGCTCAATCTGTCCTCCCACCTCAGCCTCCCAAGTAGCTGGGACTACAGTCACGCACCACCACGCCCAGCTAATTTTTGTATTTTTGGTAGAGTTTCATCATGTTGGCCAGGCTGGAACAAGTACCTTTCTTAATGCCTGTGAGATGGTATTGTATTTTTCTCTTTGCTTGTTTTCCTTACTTAGACTGAGCACCCCATGAGTGCAGAGACCATGGACCATGTCTTTCCTATTCCCCATTCAGTCCACCATGCCGAGCATATGGAAAGCTGTCAGTGTTGACTGATTAAATGAAAGTTTCTTTTTTCTCTTTTATGAGTTTATTTTTTTCTTTTTGTAAATGAGTGTTTTTTAACTCATGCCTTTTCTCATGCTGCTGTGTCTGCCTGGAATGCTCAGGGAATCTGCCTGAGGAACACCTTTTTGTCTTTAAAGATTATTTTTGTGTCATCTCAAGGACGACACATTCCCTACACCAGGGTTTCTCAGCCTGGGCATTGTTGACCTCTGGGGCTGGGTAATTCTTTGTTGTAGGAGGCTGTCCTATGAATAGTAGGAGTTCTTAGCAACATCCCTGGCCTCTACCCACAAGGTGCCAGAGAACCTTACTGAGCGCCAAGCGTGAAGCTTGAATTAACTTATTTTATTATGATGTGCACTACTGCGTTCTCTCCCCCAACCCCCTGCACTCTCACACATGCTCACTCTCACTCTCTTTCTCTAATAAAACGTAAGTTCCTTAAGGGCAACAACTGTGACTTAACTGCCTTTATCCTGCTTCATTTTTCTTCTAATGTTTCTCACTGTATGACAATGTCTCACTTGTTTTCCTGTCTCCTCCACTAAAGTGTAAGCATCACAAAGATGGGAACTTTCTTTATTCAGCACTCTCCCCCAGCTCCCATCGTACCGTTTGTTCAGCAGTAATAAGGCTCAGCCAGCATTTATTAAGCGAATGAATGAATGTACCACCGTACAGTGTTAAGCATCTAAACGTTAGAGGCCCAGAGGAAGGAGGAGTCCCGGACAGGAATCATAGCATTGGTGTCACTGTTTTTCATCTAAATGAAAAATAAAAACAAGTCATACATGAACCCTGGGGAAGTAGATATTATAATTATTTTAGAAATGAATAAATTAAAATTTAATATACATAAAAGTCACAGGGGACCTTTTAAAATTCAGTTCCCCAGGACTAGAGAACTGCAGTGGATCTGGAGAGGCCAAGGACCTAGAGAGATAACAAGCACCCCAGTTGATTGTTGAGACGTGGTCCCAAGGTCACTCTCTGATTACTTAGGCTTGGCAATGCTTTTCAAGATTTGAAGCAGATGGCATCTCAGAAAGATCACCTTAGGGCTGGGCACTGTGGCTCATGCCTGTAATCCCAGTACTTTGGGAGGCTGAGGCGGATGGATCATCTGAGGTCAGGAGTTCAAGACCAACATGGCCAAACCCCATCTCTACTAAAAATACAAAAATTAGCCAGGCGTGGTGGCACTCTCCTGTAATCCCAGCTACTCAGGAGGCTGCAGCAGCAGAATTGCTTGAACCCAAGAGGCAGACGTTGCAGTGAGCTGAGATTGTTCCACTACACTCCAGCCTGGGTGACAGAGTGAGACTCTGTCTCAAAAAAAAAAAAAAAATAGGACCACCTTAGCGTTGCTTGCTGACTGATGGCTCAGAAGGCAAGATAGGAAATGCAGAGATCCAATAGGAAGTTGAGTGGTCATTCAAATAAATGACAGCAGGGTCTAAGCTGGAAGAGGCAAAGTGGGAAGGAGCAGAGAAGACGGACTTAAAAGGGACAAGATTTGGTGAATTGGTATAGGAGGTCAAGAGGAAGGAAGAATCCGGGACAGGAATCATAGCATTGGTGTCACCAAAAATAACATTGTGCTACCAAATGAAATAAAATTCAGAATGAGGAGTCCATGTCAGGGAAACATGATGATGCCAGGTTTGGACATTTGGGATATGCAAATGGGAATGCAGAGGAGGCAGCTGGATATAGGGCATAGAGCCCAGAGGAGGTGGTCTGCGCTGGAGATGCAGATTTTTAGACAGCCGCATGGAAAGCTTGGTGCACTGGGAATAACGCCTGGTGCGGTGTAGTGTGAGGGCCACCCTGACCCTCTGTCAGTTGGAAGGTAGTGTGTGTCGGTTGTAGAAGCTCTCGTGACACTGTCAAGTGGTGATGGTGGCAGCTAGGTCTCTGGTTATGAGCACACGTGCTTTATGGTCCTTAATTTGGTGAAGAGACTCTAACAATGGTAATTATATCTCGTTGTGGTCCTTTTTATGCTGTGTATGTGTAAAAATTACTGTTGGTTTCCATGGTATCTGCTATTTACAAGCTTGTTTCTGGGTCTTGGCCTTTGGCATGAGCTAGGCCCAGAGCTATTGGTCTGTGTCCTTGCAACCACCAGGCCAGGCCGCTGCACCTACTTTTAGGTTAATCAGGTCATTGTTGAAGCTGTGTGTCAGAAGTCTTTCTCTCCTGTTAGGCCAAGGAAACTTCCAATACAGGGCTTCTCAGACTGCATGGAAGGGCCAGTTTGTATCTTTCTTTCTAAACCGTTGCAGACCAATACTCTTGTAAAATAAAATTTCAAAATCATTGACTAGAAAAAGACATAAAAATATAAGCCAGACTTTTTTGACAGCCCAAAAATTACTGTTTCAAATTGCTATAAAAATGTCTAAAGATGCTTACCAGGCCGGGTGCGGTGGCTCACACCTGTAATCCCAGCATTTTGGGAGGCCGAGGCAGACGGATCACGAGGTCAGGAGATCGAGACCATCCTGGCTAACATGGTGAAACCCCGTCTCTACTAAAAAATACAAAAAATTAGCTGGGCGTAGTGGCAGGTGCCTGTAGTCCCAGCTACTCAGGAGGCTAAGGCAGGAGAATGGCGTGAACCCAGGAGGCGGAGCTTGCAGTGAGCCGAGATCGCGCCACTGCACTCCAGCCTGGGCGACAGAGCGAGACTCCATCTCAAAAAAAAAAAAAAAAGAAAAGAAAAGAAAAAAAGATGCTTAGCTTCTGTTTTCATCTTCATAAACTGGTTCATTCCTAGACCCACCCAGGCCTACTGCTCTGGCCCTGCCATTTACTTCAGTAAGGTCAGCTGTGCACCCTATTAGATAAGTTCTGTTCTTGTTTGAAAAATTAACTTGCTTTGTCAGTAGTATTACCCAAATTTTAGATGTCAGAAGACATCTGTTTTGACATCTGTTTTCAGAGATCACATCATCACATCATTTTTTATGGTTGCTACTGCTAGTCACATCTCTTACTTTTTGAGTACTTCAGTGGGTCAGGAGTCCCTCCTCTGGATCTCTGCATTATCTCAACAACCCTGCACAGAATGTGTTTTATGATAGCAGCCCGGATGCTCTTGCCCAAGGTCACATGGCCCCACAGCAGATACTCTGTACTATACCTAGTGCTCCTTTTTTTTTTTTTTTTTTTTTTTTTTTTTTTTTTTTTTAATTGAGACAAAGTCTCACTCTGTGGCCCTGGCTGGAGTGCAGTGGCACAATACTAGTTCACTGCATCCCTAACCTCCTGGGCTCAAGTCATCCTCCTGCCTCAGCCTCCTTCCAGAGTAGCTGCGACTACGGGCATATGCTACCAAGCCTGGCTAATTTTGTTACTTTTTTTTATAGAGATAGGGTCTCACTTTGTTGTCCATGCTGGTCTCAAACTCCTGGGCTCAAGCAGTTCTCCCACCATGGCTTCACAAAATGTTGGGATTACAGGCGTGAGTCACCACGCCTGGCCCCACACTCCCTTTTCTTGTTCCCAGATCAGATACTGTCCTTTCTGAAATAGTTCTGTGCCTGCAAATATACTCTGAAAGCTGTCCTACAAAGTGAGTGCCAGAGATTGCTGGCAACCTTAGTTAGAACCTCAGTTGGTTGAAAGAGCTTTCTTTCCCATTGGGCATTGCTTAAAAATAGAGTAACTTTGCAACTTGCTTTTTTTTTTTATTACTGCATGCACAATAATTTTCTAATGTGATACTATGCTTAAAACAGGATTTTAATTTTAAATGAGAAAGCCCTATCTATATAAAGCCTACTTTGTGTTTTGAGAAAGAAATATGTGAGCATTTTTCCCTCACATAGCAGATCCAGTCAGTCTGAATGAAAGATGAATGCCGAGACGGGGAACTAAAGAGCAGTGGCAAGAGGCTGTCTGTCTGAAGCCAGGCTGCTGTCCCTGCTTCTGCTACGCAGCAAGGCCAACAGCTCTCCTATTTTTTCCCTCATACCAGATTCCAGATTTGAAAGCAATACAGTATAGTGAAAGGAGAAAAGACTGAGCTATAAACCTTAAATTTGAAGTTTTCTAGAGCCATACCCACATGAAAGTAGAGACTGTAGCTAAGCCGAACTGTTTTTTTTTTTTGGCTTGTTTGTTTTTGTTTGTTTTGAGACGAAGTCTTACTCTTGTCCCCCAGGCTGGAGTGAAATGGCGCAATCTTGGCACACTGCAACCTCCGCCTCCCGGGTTTAAGCGATTCTCCTGCTTCAGCCTCCCGACTAGCTGGGACTGCAGGTGCCTGCCACCATGCCCGGCTAATTTTTGTATTTTTAGTAGAGATGGGGTTTCACCATGTTGGCCAGGCTGGTCTTGAACTCCTGACCTCAGGTGATCCACCCACCTCGGCCTCCCATAGTGCTGGGATTACAGGTGTTAGCCACTGCACCTGGCTGAGAATCTATTCTTTCTGATTGGCTGTCTTTGGCTGTATTGCTCTTCAGTTCCCAATAGGCACTCATCTTTCATTCAGGAGGTCCGTGTATGCTCTATGAAAAGAAAAAGCTCAAGTATTTATTTCATTCACAGAACACAAGTAGATTTTATATGGATAAGCCTTTCTCATTTTAAAATTAAAATCCTGTCTTTAGGAAAATACCACATTAGGGAATTATGCATTAAAGAAAGTCATTTCATGAAATGTATATGGAAATAAAAATAGATTAATTCATGTAAACACATGAAACAATACCTTATTCTATAGGCAAAAATATGAGTTGCATTTTTTGTTTAAGTAAAACAGTAAATATTTCCTGCCTGTAGAAGGTTCTTATTATCTGTTGACTGATTGAAGCCCACCTCCACTGTTTAAGAGCTGTGTTACCCCAAGCAACTAAATCTTTCTAAGTCAAGTTCCTCGTCTATAACATATCTCTTGTGCCTTGGATATTAATTGAAGCATTCCTTCAGCAAATATTTACTACACATCTATGTGCACAATGCTGCCAGGCACTTCTTTCATTCTGATAATGACTGACTGAGGTATTATTCTGCCTATTTTACAGGTGAGGAACTGGGCCTAGAGAGGTTATATGCCTTGTCCAAAGAGGCATGGACAATCAGTTCACTAGAAAAATGCACAGGGCATTCATTTCCTCCACCTGTTTGTCCGGTGTTCTAGCAGGTAACAGAGACGCAGCGGTGAGGCAGACAGCTTCATAGCCTCTGTCTTCATGGAACTTAGCATCTCATGATAAGAAACAAAAATGGTCAACTATTTGGGGAAAGGGAGGAGGAGAGGAGCAAATTACAACAATATATTATACAGTATTTTCTTTATGAATTGGTTGAGAGTTTTAAAATGATAATACAGTGGTGTTAGGGTACAGTGAGAGAAATGCTATCACATATTGCTACATAGATGAAAATCAGGACAGCCTTGAGCAGTTTGGAAACTTATACCAAGATTTTTCAAATGTTCAAACTCTTTGACTTAGTAATTCCTTTCTTAGAAATCTGCTCCAGAGACAGGAAGATCACTTGAGCACAGGAGTTTAAGACCAGCCTGGATAACATAGTGAGACCCCCCACCCCCAACCATCTCTAAAAGAAGAAGAAAAGAAATCTGTCCCAGGGAAATAATCAGGGACTTAGTCAAAGATTTGTATACAAAGGTGTTCATCTACAGCCTATTTATGAGGGATTTTGAAAATGACCCTAATATCCAACAATAAAAGAACTATTTATTTTAACTCTTGTGTGGCACCAACTTAGTACTTTGCAAATATTAACTCATTTCATCCTCCTAACAATCCTATGTGTTGGTTACAATTACTGTTCCATTTTAGAAATGAAGAAATTGAGGCCCAGGTCACACAGCTTGTAAGGACTGGATCCTCATTAGAACCCAGGCCACCTGGTGCCACAGCTCCCACCCTTCACTACCATTGTCTATTTTATGATGATAATCATGCAGTGGAACGTTGTGCAGCCTTAAACATTGTTTTGTCAGTTTGCCCTATATAAATGTTATGTGAAGGCTGTAGAATCATATGTTGTGGTTCCATGTTTGTAAACATACATTTACACCACAGTATTAACTAATGATAATTACTTTTACATTTTAATTACTCCATAATAACTAATGATAATTACTTCCAAATGGTAAGGTTGAGTGATTTGTAATTTTTTCATCTATTTTTGCAGTATCTTAATTTTTCTACAGTAAGTGCATGTTTCTTTTGTTAGATTATTGACAAATGAGGTATACAATATTTTAAAATAACCAAAATCATGTAACTATTAAATGACCACATCGTAAGTTGGGCCTGGTGGGTCTTTTGTTTTCTTAGACTATAGCTCTAACTGGGCGTGGTGGCGTGCATGTATAGTCCCAGCTACTCCAGAAACTGAGGCGGATGATTGCTTGAGGCCAGGAGTTCGAGGCTGTAATGCACTATGATTGTGCCTGTGAATAGTCGCTGCACTCTGACCTGGGCGGCAGATCAAGACCCTGTCTCTTAAAAATAGAAACTGTTGGCCTGGCGCGGTGGCTCACGCCTGTAATCCCAGCACTTTGGGAGGCCGAGGCGGGCAGATCATGAGGTCAGGTGATCGAGACCATCCTGGCTAACCCAGTGAAACCCCATCTCTACTGAAAATACAAAAAATTAGCCGGGCGTGGTGGCGGACGCCTGTAGTCCCAGCTACTCAGAAGGCTGAGGCAGGAGAATGGCATGAACCCGGGAGGCAGAGCTTGCAGTGAGCTGAGGTCATGCCACTGCACTCCAGCCTGGGAGACAGAGGGAGACTCCATCTCAAAAAAATAAATAAATAAAAAATGAAAATAAAAACTTGTCCTTTCTGCTACAGTAGAGTCAAACCTAATCACCTCCACTCTCTGTTTAGAGCCCTTCAACAGAACCCCTAAGCAGAACCAGCTCCCAGCTGGTCCCTCAAGTGAATGGGCAGAAGAGGAAAGGATAGTTTCAGAGTTTTTTAAAGTTACAAGAATGGTACAAAGAATTCCCATGTTCCCTTTACCTAGAGTCTCCAGTTGTTAACATTTGACCTCATTTGCTTTGCATATTTGTACATACCATTTTTTCTGAACCATTTGGAAGTAAATACCAGATATCCTGCTTTTTAACTCTTAAATAGTTCAATGTGAATTTCCTAAAAATAAGGATGTTCTCTTAAATAACCATAGCTGAGTTAACCAATGTCAGGAAATTAACAATAATACAATACTGTTAGCTAATCAATGGACTATTCATATTTTACCAGTTGTCCACAGAATGCCCTTTCTAGAAAAAAGTCCTGGATCATGAGTTATATTTAGTTATCACATCTCTTGAGTTTCCTTTAAGCTTGAACAGTTCCTGGGTCTTCCCGAAATCTTTCCTGACCTTGATATTTACATTGAGTAATGTTCTGTGAATTGTCAACCTGGAGTCTCGTCTTCTCAGGTACTTTTTCTCAAAGTCCATTGTGTTTTGGAATATTTTTTCTTAAGCATATCTGGGATGTTTGGGCCCCACAAAGCTGCCTCTTCATTCAGGCAGTGGCAGAACCTCAGCATTCCATGGAATAGGATCTGTGAGTTCTGCTACATGGAATAGGACCTCCCCAGTGAGTTCCCCTTCAGTTGCCAGTTGGAATCAATGTATTACGTGTGTTTGCTTGGTTTCCTTTCTGTCTATTCATGTCTATCTTACCTGTCAGAGAAGATTCTATCCTAGAAGTCAGGAACTACCTACCTCTGAATTTTCTCTTGAGCTATATTTCACACCCAGCCACAGCTGTCTATATCTAATGGGATAGTCCTCTCTGGTAAAAAACACAGCATACTTTCTGCCATAGTCGCCAACTGCATGCCTCTAGGTTTGACTTCCCCTGTATGGGCATTAGTTATATATATCACATCTGCA
This sequence comes from Homo sapiens, assembly GCF_000001405.40. Lineage (NCBI taxonomy): Eukaryota > Metazoa > Chordata > Mammalia > Primates > Hominidae > Homo > Homo sapiens. Next base: position 140,688,859 of record NC_000008.11, on the reverse strand, counting down.
GTAAGAATTCATTTTTTAAATTATTGTTCCTTGATATTATAGTACATATAAACACAGTACAATGTTTTAAGTTATGCTCTTCAGAGTTCAGAAATATTTATTCTGAACTTTTCTGGTTTACTCATTGAGAGAGTTCTAACAGAGCAGAGTCTTGCTTAGTCACCCAGGCTGTAGTGCAGTGGTACAATGGTAGCTCACTACAGCCTCAAACTCCTGGGCTCAAACCATCGCCCCACCTCAGCCTCTCCAGTAGCTGGGACTCAGGCACACACCACCATTCCCAGCTAATTGTTAAAATTTTTTTCTTTGTAGAGATGAGTTCTCACTATGTTGCCCAGGCTGGTCTTGATATCCTGGCCTCAAAGGGTCCTCCCACCTCAGCCTCCCAGATAAGGTGAAATTGCAGGCACACACCACCACACCCAACGCTACATTTGAGGATTTAGGTCATTTTTCATCTATATTTAACTATTGCTTTTAAATGAATATTTTTACGTGAAAGGGAACATGTTTTTTTATATAGTAGCATGGAGGTTAATTCAGTCAACACTGATGTGTTGAGTGCGCACCAACCAGGAACTGTGCCAGGCACTAGGGATATGGGGCTGATATACATGAGCTGTTTTGTAATTCTGTTGAATGAACAGATAAGTAAGTTGTGACTTTTGCCCTCTTTGCTTACTGTCTGCTACTGCTGTCAGGGCTGTCTATTCTGTTTCAGGATGCCTCTGATTATTAGAATGTTTTTCCATAAGTGATCCAAAATCTGCCCTAAATTCAGGGACAACACACAAGTTTCACCTTTTCCCATATGGAATCCCTGAGGACTGTTAACAACAATCAGCCAGAGCCCCCTTTTAGTGATTAGCCATCAGGAGCTCCTTTACCCACTTCCTGGTAGGAGCTGTTCTCAGACCTCAGCCAGCTACCTCCAGGCACTGTGCCTGGGAGGGAAGGAAAGGGGGAAGGGAGGAAGAAGGCAAAGGACAGTGCAGGGCCCCTGCCCTGGAAAGTTTGTTTTTACCTCTGAGCCATCAGAGGATCACTCTTACCTTAATGGTGGCCGTGTCCTTCACCAACTTCCTACTACACCCTGGCACCCACGACTGACCCCGCTTTGATTAGAGATAGTTAAGACAGAGACAAAAAGCCTAGTAGGAACTGATACAATGAAAAGGGTTTGGGCTACAGCACTGGAATTGGAATTGGAAAAGAAGGGAGAGGTGAAGCTCATTTCTCCATCCCCCACCCAACAAGTGCTTGCAGATGGTGTGCTCAGTGGCAGGCTCAGGTGTGGGAAATAGGAGATACACAGACGAATCAGACATCAAGATGCTCCATCTCTAATGAGGGAAGTAATTATGCCTGATAGGTGCCAACATAGAGGTATCTGTAAGGCACAGGCTAAGAAGCGACCAGCTCTGCTTGAAGAGGGAAATATGCTGCCAAGAAAGGGTGTCTGGCTCAGCCTTGAAGAGTGAACAGAAGTTTTCCGGGAAGAAGTATGTGGCCAGTGTTCACGGGCAAAGGGGAGGCAGGAGCCACTGTGGTAGAAGGCCCGTAACCCATACTGCGGGAGCACGGGGTTGTTTTCATGAGGAAAAGCCTTTCTGCCCTGTTCCTTCACCATAAAGGCACGTAGCCTACTTCGTTTATTCTGATATTGGTGAAATTTCCGTACTATTATTTACGTAAAATCTAGATTTCTCTGTTTGGTTTCTATATTCTAGATGCAGTGTGGGAAAACAGTCTTGTAATTGAACTCATTTGCTACTTTGGCAAGACAGCTAAATCCGTATAAGCCATATTCTGTCAGAAAGCCGCAAGTAATGCCTGATATTTTTATCCTGGGGTTGCGGGTATCTCAGTGAAGAAGAAAGCCATCTGTGCTACTTGGAATAGAGGTAAAGTGCAGGTTCTCCAGCACTGGGTGGGCCAGTGCAGGTACCAGTCTGTAAGGTGTGCGTGTGTGGAGAGGAATGCAGTTCTTCCCAAGGCAGCCAACCTTCATTTATCATCACTGGAATTTTTTTGAAACGGGGGAACTTTCAACTCTTCTTATTCAGAGGACAATTGTGTTAAAAAGGAAGGAATTTAATACAGAATCTGTCAAAAATTTTCAAATCAAAAATGAAATTGTTTTGATTTTGTTTTAATTTCTTCAGAAACCTGATGTGAGACTCTCTCGAGGCAGTATTGACAGGGAGGATGGAAGTCTTCAGGGTCCGGTAAGCCTGAGTTTTCAGCAGGATTTGATTTCCAGTTCTCCTGTGCGTGGACCATCAGTGTTTATGTCACAATATATCCAAGTTTACTAATATTTGTAATAGGGAACAGAATATTCTATAAAGTTAACATTTTAAGATTATGAAAATCTATGATGTACAGCCTAGAATTTTTATTCAGATACAGAAGTTTTCTGCACTATTATTGATAAAGGCTTTTTTTTTTAACTTTTATTTTAGTTTCAGGGGTACATGTACAGATGTGTTATATAAGGAAATCGCATGTTGCAAGGGTTTGTTATACAGGTCATTTGGCACCCAGGTGATAAGCATAATACCTGATAGGTAGTGTTTTGATCCTCACCCTCCTCTCACCCTCCTCCCACCCTCCACCCTCAAGTGGGCCCCGGAGTCTGTTGTTCCCTTCATTGTGTCCGTGTGTACTGAGTGTTTAGCTCCCCTTTATAAGTGAGAACATGTGGTATTGGTTTTCTGTTCCTGCATTAGTTCACTTAAGATAATGATAATGACCTCTAGCTCCACCCATGTTGCTGCAGAGGAAATGATCTCATTCTTTTTGTGGCTACATAGTATTCCATAGTGTATACATACCACATTTTCTTTATCCAGTCTATCATTGATGGGTATTGAGGTTGATTCCATGACCTTGTTATTGTGAACAGTGCTGTGATGAATATAAGCATGCATGTGTCTTTATGGTAGAAAGATTTATATTCCTTTGGGTGTGTACCCAATAAGGGGATTGCTGGGTCAAATGCTACTTCTGTTTTAAGTTCTGAGACATCGCCAAATTGCTTTCCACAGTGACCGAAGTAATTTACATTCCCACCAGCAGTGTCTTAAGTGTTCTATTTCTCCACAACCTTGCATCTGTTAATTTTTTGACTTTTTAATAATAGACATTCTGACTGGTGTGAGATGGCATCTCATTGTGGTTTTGATTTGCTTTTCTCTAATGATTAGTGATATTGGGCATTTTTTCATATGCTTGTTGGCCATGTTTATGTCATCTTTTGAAAAGTGTCTGTTCATGTCCTTTGCCCACTTTTTAATGGGGCTGTTTGGTTTTACTTGTTCATTTGCTTTAAGTTCCTTATAGATGCTGGATATTAGACCTTTGTCAGATGCACAGTTTGCAAATATTTTCTCCCATTCTGTGAGTTGTTTATTCTGCTCTTAGTTCCTTTTGCTGTAAAGAAGCTCTTTAGTTTAATTAGGTCCCATTTGTAATTTTGTGTTTGTTGCAGTTGCTTTTGGTGTCCTCGTCATGAAATCTTTGCAAGGGCCTATGTCCAGAATAGTATTTCCTGGGTTTTCTTCAAGGGTTTTTATAGTTCTAGGTTTTACATTTACGTCTTTAATCCGTCTTGAGTTGATTTTTGTATATGGTGTAAGGAAGGGTCCCAGTTTTATTCTTTGGCGTATGGCTAGCTGGTTGTCTCAGCACCATTTATTGAATAGGGAGTCCTTTCCCCATTGCTTGTTTTTGCCAACATTGTCAAAGATGAGATGGTTGTAGGTATGAAGTTTTATTTCTAGGCTCTGTATTCTGTTCTATTGGTCTGTGTGTCTGTTTTTGTACCAGTACCATGATGTTTTGGTTACTATAGCCTTGTAGTATAGTTTGAAGTCATGTAATGTAAAGTCCTCAGCTTTGTTCTTTTTGCTTAGGATTGCTTTGACTATTCAGGCTCTTTTTTGGTTCCATATGAATTTTAGAATAGCTTTTTCTAATTCTGTAAAGCATGTTATTGGTAGTTTGATAGGTACAACATTGAATCTGTAAAGCTTTGGGCGGTATGACCATTGGGCGGTACGACCATACTTTGGGCGGTATGACCATTATAACAATATCAGTTCTTCCTATCCATGAGCATGGAATGTTTTTCCATTTGTTCGTGTCATCTCTGATTTCTTTCAGCAGTGTTTTGTAATTCTTATTGTAGAGATCTTTCACCTCCCTGGTTAGCTATATTCCTGGGTATTTTGTGTGTGTGGCTGTTGTAAATGGGATTGCATTCTTGATTCGGCACTCAACTGGATGTTGTTGGTGTAGAGAAATGCTACTGATTTTTGTACATTGATTTTGTACCCTGAAACTTTGCTGAAGTTGTTTATCACAGGAGTCCCCATCTTCCTGGGCCGCAGACTGGTATTGGTCCATAGTCTGTTAGGAACTGGGCCACACAGCAGGAGGTGAATGGCGGGCTAGCCCGCATTAATGCCTGAGCTCTTCCTCCTGTCAGATCAGTGGCAGCATTAGATTCTCGTAGGCATGTGAACCCTATTGTGAACTGCGCATGTGAGAGATCTAGATTGCACACTCCTTATGAGACTCTAATGCCTGATGATCTGAGATGGGACAGTTTCATCCCAAAACCATCCCCCACCCCATCCCCTGAGTCCGTGGAAAAATTGTCTTCCACGAAACCTGTCCCTGGTGCCAAAATGATTGGGGACTGCTCGTTTATCAGATCTAGGAGCTTTTGGGCCAAGACTATGGCGTTTTCTGTGTATAAAATCACATCATCTACAAACACAGAAGTTTGATCTCTTCTCTTCCTATTTGGATGCCTTTTATTTCTTTGTTTTGCCTGATTGCTCTGCCTAGGACTTCCAGCACTAATGTTGAATAGATATGGTAAGAGTGGGCATCCTGGTCTTGTTTCAGTTCTTCAGGGGAGTGCTTCCAGCCTTTGCCCATTCATTCAATATGATATTGGCTGTGGGTTTGTCATAGATGGCTCTTATTATTTTGAGTTATGTTCCTTCATTACCTAGTTTTTTGAGGGTTTTTAACATGAAGTGAGGTTGAATTTTATTGGAAGCTTTTTTTTTTTTCATCTATTGAGATAATCCTGTAGTTTTTTTTAGTTCTGTTTATGTGATGAATCACATTTAATTGATTTTCATATGTTGAACCAACCTTGCATCCCAGGGGTGAAGCCTACTTGTTTGTGGTGGATTAGCTTTTTGTTGTGCTGCTGCTGGATTCGTTTTGCCAGTATTATGTTGAGGAATTTTGTATCTATGTTCATCAGGGATATTGGCCTGAAGTTTTCTTTTTTTGTTGTTTCTGCCAGGTTTGGGACTCAGAATGATTCTGGCCTCATAGAATGAGTTAGAGAGGAGTACCTCCTCCTCAATTTTTTGGAGTGGTTTTAGTAAGAGTGCTACCAGCTCATCTTTGTACATCTGTTAAAATTCAACTGTGAAGCCATCTGGTCCTGGGCTTTTGGTGGTTGATAGGCTATCTATTACTGATTCAATTTCAGAGCTCATTATTGGTCTGTTCAGGGATTCGCTTTCTTCCTGGCTCAGTCTTGGGAATGTGTATGTGTCCAGGAATTCATCCATATCTTCTAGATTTTCTAGTTCATGTGCATAGAGTTGTTCATAATGTTCTATGATAGTTCTATGTATTTTTCTGTGGGGTTGGTGGTAATGTCCCCTTTGTCGTTGCTGATTGTATTTTTTTCGATCTTCTCTCTTTTTTTAATTAGTCTAGCTAGTGATCAGTCATTCTTATGTATTCTTTCAAATAACCAATTTCTGGTTTCATTTATCTTTTGCATGGTTTTTCATGTCTCAGTTCCATTTAGTTCAGCTCTGATTTTGGGTATCTCTTGTTTTCTGTTAGCTTTGGGGTTGATTTGCTCTTGTTTTTCTAGTTACTCAAGGTGTGATGTCAGGTTATTAATTTGAGATCTTTTTAACTTTTTGTTGTAGATGTTTAGCACTATAAACTTTCTTCTTAACACTGCCTTAGCTGTGTTCAAGAGATTCTAGTGTGTTGTATCTTTGTACTTATTAGTTTCAAAGAATTTCTTGATTTCTGCCTTACCCAGAAGTCATTCAGGAGCAGGTTAATTTCCACGTAATCATATGGTTTTGAACAATCTTCTTAGTACTGATTCTGTTTTTATTGTGCTGTGGTCCTAGAGTGTGGTTGGTGTGATTTCGGTTTTTTTTTTTTTTTAATTAGCTATAGAATTGTTTTATAGCCAATTGTGTGGTTTATTTTAGAGTATGTACCATGTGCAGATGAGAAGCATTTATATTCTGTTGTTTAATAAAGGCCTTTTAGTAATAAGCCAAACTCTTTGTGACCTAAAGAAATATGTACATCACTTCTCAGCCTTTTGGCTAAGATCAAGTGAAGAAATATATACACATATTAGCCGTTGTTAACACACGCTGTCATTTGCTAAATTTTTTGTTGTTGTTGTTTTCGTTTTTGTTTTGAGACAGGGTCTTGCTCTGTCACCCAGAGCTGGAGTACAGTGGCGTGATAACCTCCGCCTCCCAGTTTCAAGCGATTCTTGTGCCTCAGCCTCCTGAGTAGCTAGGACTACAGGCACGTGCCACCACGTCCATCTAATTTTTGAATTTTTAGTAAAGACAGGGTTTCACAATGTTGGCCAGGCTGGTCTCAAACTCCTGACTTCAAGTGATCCACCTGGCCCATTTGCTAAATTTTTATGCTCTTACTACATGGTTGTAAAAGTCTCCAGAATCACAGAAAATTTGTTCAAGCAATATTTTTTTCTTCTGGATGTAGCAGGGGGAGAATGCCTGAAATTCTCTTTAAAGAACTAGCTTATGATTATTCCAATTATATTTAACCTATTTATGCCTAGTGTTCCATTATTGGAACGCTAAGCTTGTGAGAGTTATTTATATCCTACTGCTTAAGGTCATCGCCAGTGTCTGATTTTTCCACACCAAAAAATTTGCAACCTCCAGCATAAATAGGTTAAAGCCTGCTAGAAATAGGACTTATTTTCACACCAATTCCCAGTCCTTCCTAACGTTTTAGGACCAACTGCTTTTTTTTGAGACGGAGTCTCGCTCTGTGGCCCAGGCTGGAGTGCAGTGGCGCGATCTCGGCTCACGGCAAGCTCCACCTCCCGGGTTCACACCATTCTCCTGCCTCAGCCTCCCGAGTAGCTGCGACTACAGGCGCCCGCCACCACGCCCGGCTAATTTTTTGTATTTTTAGTAGAGACGGTGTTTCACTGTGTTAGCCGGGATGGTCTCGATCTCCTGACTTCGTGATCCCCCCCTGCCCGCCTCCGCCTCCCAAAGTGCTGGGATTCCAGGCGTGAGCCACCGCGCCCGGCCAACTGCTTGTTACACATTAGTTTCTTCAACATAAGGAAGCAGCCAGTTTGGGGTTGGTTGGCTCTTGTTTTTCCAGTTCCTCAGGGCGTGATGTTAGGTTATTAATTTGAGTAATTTGAGATCTTTTTTTTTTTTTTGAGACGGAGTCTCGCGCTGTCACCTAGGCTGGAGTGCAGTGGCAGGATCTCGGCTCACTGCATCTTCTGCTTACCGGGCTCAAGAGATTCTCCTGCCTCAGCCTCCCAAGTAGCTGGGATTACAGCCACCTGCCTAATTTTTGTATTTTTAGTAGAGACGGGGTTTCACCATGTTGGCCAGGCTCGTCTTGAACTCCTGACCTCCAGTGATCCACTCGCCTTGGCCTCCCAAAGTGCTGGGATTACAGGCGTGAGCAACCGCGCCCAGCTGAATTTAAGATCTTCTTAATCTTACTAATTTGAGCAAACCAACGCCAAATTTCCATCAGCAGATGTCTGTTTAAGTTAAATGCAGATTTCCTTAAACATTTGCTGTGCCTGTCAGGTAGCAGACTTACGGAGTTAAAGTTTTACCCTAATAAGGGTGAAACTACTGAGTTGACTTCTAGTCACAGGTGTGTATGCAACTGTCAACACTTACCTTAAAATCTTGCAAACATTTTTTCTATATAAAATAGCACCCAGTCGGGCACAGTGGCTGACATTCTTTAGTTCACGAGCAAGAAGGTTGCATTATCAGCCATTTAACATTCCCATACACTGAGCTCCTTCCTTGTATTGAAGAGACAAATGCATAAAAAGCAGTTGGTCCTAAATTGTTAAGAAGGAGTGAGAATCGGTGTGAAAATAAGTCCTATTCAAGATACTAGCTATTTAGAACGTTGCTAATAGGAAATTTGTTAGATAAGGAAAATTCTTTGTGTTCCAGTGTGTGGCCCACAGAAGGTACTCAGAAAAAAATGTAAATTTGTTAATCAAACCTGGATAGAAGGATTATGCAGAACTGCTTTATTAATAAGAACTTGTGGCCAGGAGCGGTGGATCACCTGAGGTCAGGAGTTCGAGACCAGCCTGGCCAACATGGTAAAACCCCGTCTCTACTAAAAATACAAAAAAGTTAGCCGGGCGTGGTAGCGGGTACCTGTAATCCCAGCTACTCAGAAGGCTGAGGCAGGAGAATCGCTTGAACCTGGGAGGCGGAGGTTGCAGTAAGCCGAGATTGTGCCATTGGACTCCAGCCTGAGCCAAAAGAGCAAAACTCTGTCTTAGAAAAAAAGAACTTCTAAGACAATCAGATGACACATGATGGGCCCAACTAAGATCTCAGTTTGCTTTGTGCCAGGTGGAGGCAATAGTAAGAGTGCTTAGTGCTAACTGAGGTCCTGGCTTAGTACTACAAGGTACTGTGTCGCATCACTCTTGACACATCGGGTACTGTCGTCATCCACATTTCACAAATGAGTAGACCAGGACTCAGAGAAAACTTGCCTAAGTGCCCCCATTTATGCACCGGTAGCCAGCCTTGCTCAACAGACTTCACTGCCTTCCTGGGGACTGTTAACACGCTATGACCATTTGATTTTTTTCCCTTTTGTGCTTTCCTAAAGATGATAATTTGGTTTTGGCCCCATTTTGTGAAACACTCCAGCTTTAACACTTTTAGAAATGTGCCACGGCTTCAGGGAGAACCCTTTGACTAGAAAGCCGTGTAGATTATAAATGGATGTGAACTAGTTAGTAAACATTAATAACTGCCTAGTGGAAAATTGATCCCATCAGTGTGCATAAAAGGTAAACTTTTATTTAGACTTTAATACACAGGTTGACAGCATGTTCATTTTGTGATGACAACCCAGTTGTCTTATTAGGTAAGTGTTATTAGCCTCAGTTTACAAATTGAAAAACCAAAGCCCCTAACAGCTCTGCAGCTTTTCCAAAGTAAACAGCTGGTTCCGCACAGAACCATGCACGAGGCCTAGCTCCACACACTCATACTGTCAGACTTCTGAAGCAGAGTCTCTCCTTTTCTGTACCTGAGTACCCGAGCAGGTTGTACGTGAGCACACATTGGCTAGATTACTCCAGGATGTTCTGAGAATAGGATTTTCTAGTTCATTAAACTTTCTTGTTACCCGAGTATCAACCAGAAAGTTCTTTGTATTTTTAAACCTTTTAAAATGAGCATGGGGCCAGGCGCGGTGGCTCACGCCTGTAATCACAGTATTTTGGGAGGCCGAGGCGAGCAGATCACCTGAGGTCAGGAGTTCAAGACCAGCCTGGCCCACATAGTGAAACCCTGTCTCTACTAAAAATACAAAAATTACCCAGGCGTGGTGGTGCACACCTATAATCCCAGCTACTTGGGAGGCTGAGGCAGGAGAATCACTTGAACCTGGGAGGCAGAGGTTGCAGTGAGCCAAGATCACACCACTGCACTCCAGCCTGGGCGACAGAGCAAGAGTCCGTCTCAAAAAAAAAAAAAAAAAAAAAAAAAAAAAAAAAAAAAAACATGGGGAGCACTCAGCTGGCCGTGAGCTGGCTGACTGGAAACAGGCACCACATAAATTTAAAAATTTTTTAAATTAAAAAAAAAAGGGCATGGATTTTATTGCCTGAAGCAGTGAGTACAGCACAGCCAGTAGACATTGTCTGTTGTTAAAGTATTGGCCCGTTTCCACCATTCCCTGCCCTCACGCCTCTCTATCTGCCCTGACCACCTTGCTGTTCCTCACACATTCGGTTTGCCCTACTGGACTCCTCCCTCTCGAAGCTACTCTTCTCCCGGGTTGCTACAAGGCTTCCCTTTCAGGGATCACTTTCTTAGAAGGCCTGACCTTCCTACTTAAAACTGCAGCTTTGGTCTGGAGTAGTGGCTCACACCTGTAATCCCAGCACTTGGGGAGGCCAAGATGGGTGGATCGCTTGAGCTCAAGAGCTTGAAACCAGCCTGGGTAATATGGCAAAACCTTGTCTCTACAAGAAATATAAAAACTAGCCAGGTGTGATGGCATGCACCTGTGGTCCCAGCTCCCAGCTACTCAAAAGGCTGAGGCAGGAGCATCACTTGAGCCCAGGAAGTCGAGTCTACAGTGAACAAAGATCATGCCACAGCACTGCAGCCCAGGTGACAGAGTAATACCCTGTCTCAGAAAAATAAAAATAAGGGCCAGGCGCAGTGGCTCACGCCTGTAATCCCAACACTTTGGGAGGCCCAGGTGGGTGGATCACTTGAGGTCGGGAGTTTGAGACCAGCCTGGCCAACATGGTGAAACCCCGTTTTTACCAAAAATACAAAAACATAGCCAGGCATCGTGGCGGGCGTTTGTAATCCCAGCTACTCAGGAGGCTGAGGCAGGAGAATCACTTGAACCTGGGCTGCAGAGGTTGCAGTGAGCCAAGATTGTGCCACTACACTCCAGCCTGGGCGACAGAGTGAGACTCAGTCACTCACTTAATCAATCAACCAATACCAAAAAACGTGTAGTTCCTCTCCTTCTATCCCAGCCATCTCCTTTCTTTGTGGGACACAGCTTCTCCTAACAGAACACAGAATATACTAATACATGTTCATTGTTTATTACCTGTCTCCTTCCACTGCATTGTTAGCTGTTTGCTCCCCAGGCAGGATCTTTGTTTTATACCTAGAACAGTGCTAGAACAAAGCGGATGTTCAATAACTGTTCATTGAACAAATGAATGATATGATAGTGATATATGAAGTAGAAAGCACTACACAAAAATAAGTTGATATGGTATCATTCTTCATACCTTCAAGCTCTGAGACTTTTTGCAAGTCTTTAAAATCAGAGGTGTTAAATGACATGTTGAAAACAACTTGATTGTGTGAGGGAGGAACAATTTTAATTTTGTGTGCTATTTTTTATAGCACTTGTATTGTAAAGAAGTGGATCTCTTTTCAATAGAAAGTAAAGTGTCTTAGGTTATATCTATTAGCCAGTTCATTATTTTAAAGTAAGCAAGAAAAGTCTTTCTTTTCAAAAGTAGAAAATAGTTCCAAAAAGATTTTTTTCCAGGTAGTTAGCCTCAGAAAGACTATTTTAAGTGCAGTTTCAGGTATGACAACTTGAAGGAGAACTGGTGTTAAGTGAAACTTTATCCTGTACCTGGGACAGAAGTTCTGGGCTGTGGTTTGGCTTCTCTGGCTTGGCCTAGAACTGATGGAGGTATAACAACAGGTCCTGACACACACAGTGCTTTGGGGGTGATGACAATGTAGGCCCATGGGAATCTACACACCCAGTGCTACCAAGCCCCTTTCCATCATTTTTCTGGTTGTACCTGTTTTTGTGATAAGGATAGTTGGGAGGCCAGGCAGGAGAGGATGCAGACACTGGGAAGTCCTGGGATTTTAAACCCTTTAGAGGTCAACTGGAGACATCCATATAAGAAAATTTCAAATTTTTTTTATTTGTATAAATTTAAGGTGTATAAGTGCAGTTTTTTTACATGGATATATTGCATAGTGGTGAAGTCTGGGCTTTTAGTATAACCATCACACAAATAGTGTACATTATACCCATTAAGTCATTTTTTTTTTTTTTTTTTTTGAGATGGAGTCTCCCTCTGTTGTTGCCCAGGCTGAAGTGCAGTGACGTGATCTCGGCTCACTGCAATTTCCGCCCCCACCAGGTTCAAGCAATTCTCCCGCCTCAGGCCTCCCAAGTAGCTGGGATTACGGGCACACACCACCACACCTGGCTATTTTTTTTTTTTTTTTTTTTTTTTAAAGTAGAGACGGGGTTTCACCATGTTAGCCAGGATGGTCTCAACCTCCTGACCTTGTGATCCACCCGCCTCAGCCTCCCAAAGTGCTGGGATTACAGGCGTGAGCCACTGCACCTGGCGCCATTAAGTAATGTCTTAACGCTGTTCCCCCCGCCCCCACCGACCGCGGCAACTCTTCGAAGTCCCCAGTGACTATTCCACATTCTTACGTATGTGTATACGCATTATTTAGCTCCAACTTATGAGAACATGCAGGATTTGATTTTCTGTTTGTAAGTTGTTTCACCTAAGATAATGGCCTACACATTACTGCATCCATCCCCACTGCTGCAAAAGACAGGAATATATATATTAATTAATTAATTAATTAATTAATTAATTAATTTTTTTGAGACAGAGTCTTGCTCTGTTGCCCAGGCTGGAGTGCAGTAGCACGATCTTGGCTCACTGCAACCTCTGCCTCCTGGGTTCAAGCTGTCCTCCTGCCTCAACCTCCCAGGTAACTGGGATTACACCCACGTACCACCACGCCCAGCTAATTTTTGTGTTTTTAGTAGAGACAGGGTTTTGCCATGTTGGCCAGGCTGGTCTTGAACTCCTGACCTAAGGTTATCGCCCATTTTGACCTCCCAGAGTGCTGGGATTACAGGCATGAGCCACTGTGCCCAGCCAATTGTATTCTTTTTTGTGGTTAAATAGTATTCCACTGTATACATATACCACATTTTTTTAATCCAGACATTCATTGATGGACACTTAGGTTGATTCTGTATCTTGGATATTGGGAGTAGTGCCATGATAAACATAGCAGTGCAGGTATCTTTTTGATACAATGATTTGTTTTCCTTTGGGCGTATATGCAGTCATGGGATTGCTGGATCGAATGGTAGTTCTATTTTGAGTTCTTTGATAAGTAGTTCTATTTTGAGTTTTTCTAGTTCATTTTCCATAGAGGTTGTACTAATTTACATTCTCCTCAGCTGTGTAAGAACATTTTAAATGGGTTATGACCACTGTGTTTGTGGTTCCAGAGTGTCCCATGCTTGCTTCTCTCACAGCCCTTTCCACACATGCTATTGGCATCATTTGCTTATTTGCCTGATCCCCCACCCCAACTGAGACCTTATGCAGAACCCTGTTTTGTTCATTTTGATACACTAGAATCTAGCCTAGAAGTTCAAGGGGGTGGATAGACAGGGTGGGTGAGAGAGGTCATTGCCCAAGTGTATATACCAGTGCATTGACTGAACTTTTCTTTTCCCACAGATTGGAAACCAACATATATATCAGCCTGTGGGTAAACCAGGTAAAGAAGAAAAGAATTGGGCGGAAAGAAGTTAGTTTAATTTGATGAAAGCAGGTTTTGAATGTATATAGTGTCGTAGCTTTGGAATACCCTCATGGTTAATTTTTCCTCTACAGACCACAGCAAGTACGATGTTTACCACATTCAGCTCATTACTAGAGTATTGGGAAAAAGAATTTGTTGGTATAATGCATCAGAAATACCTCCTTAGGGTTGCAGTGAGCCGAGATCACGCCACTGCACTCCAGCCTGGGTGACAGAGCAACACTCGGTCTCAAAAAAAAAAAAAAAGAAAGAAATGCCTCCTTAGAATGCAAGATTAGTGTCTTTTGTAAGAACAGCAGTAGGCATTTATTTAGCAGTGGTTTCTTTCTCTTTCCTTTTTTTTTTTTTGGATACAGAGTCTCACTCTGTCACCCAGGCTGGAGTGTAGTGGTGTGAGCTCACTGCAACCTCCACCTCCCGGGTTCAAGCAATTCTCCTGCCTCAGCCTCCCGAGTAGCTGGGACTATGGTGCACACCACCATGCCTGGCTAATTTTTTTTTCTTTTCTTTTCTTTTTTTTTTTTAATTTTACTAGAGATGGGGTTTCATCGTGTTGCCCAGGCTGGTCTTGAACTCCTGAGGTCAGGCATCCGCCCGCCTCAGCCTCCCAAAGTGCTAGGGATTACAGGCGTGAGCCACTGTGCTCAGCCTTCTTTCTCTTTTTTTTATTTTTTTGAGACGGAGTTTTGTTCTTGTTGCCTAGGCTAGAGTGCAATGGCACGATCTCAACTCACCGCAACCTCCACCTCCTGGGTTCAAGCGATTCTCCTGCCTCAGCCTCCTGAGTAGCTGGGATTACAGGCATGTGCCACCACACCCGGCTAATTTTGTATTTTTAGTAGAGATGGGGTTTCTCCATGTTGGTCAGGCTGATCTCGAATTCCTGACCTCAGGTGATCTGCCCGCTTCAGCCTCCCAAAGTGCTGAGATTATAGGCATGAGCCACTGCCCCCAGCCTCTTAATCTTTCTTAACGCACATGACTTAATGGGAATCATTCTCTCTCACCAGATCCTGCAGCTCCACCAAAGAAACCGCCTCGCCCTGGAGCTCCCGGTCATCTGGGAAGCCTTGCCAGCCTCAGCAGCCCTGCTGACAGCTACAACGAGGGTGTCAAGGTGGGCATCTGAGCCTGTGCAGCACCTTCTGCTTGCAGGATTTGTGGTGTCCCCTAGTTCTCAGTTGATGTGTTCATGTCATAGAGTGGAGTTGGTGCTGAAAATAGAACAGTGCAGAGTGGAACTGCAGTGAGACCCAGGAGTCAATTGGTCTGGTTCTGAACCCCTCTGAGAGTCAGGGAAAAGCTTTATGCAAACATTTTCTTTTCCATTTTCCTCTCAGTGTAATAGATTTTAGGAATTCAGTCAGATTCTGATTTTCTACATACATCTTCCTCTGATCAGACAGAATGTTTTCTTTAGAACAAAGTGCCAAGATTGTTTCTGGTTTTAAAAATTAATTAAACCAGGATGCTTGGGGTAAGTGAGGACTTTTTGTAGGAGTTTATAAGTGTGGCTTCATGGAAGACTTATTTATTTTCCATTTAAAGTTAGAATTGGGTTTGTAAAAGCAATGTATGCTGAGTAGAGCCATCCTCAAACCAAGGGGAGTGTTTGACTCAGGCACAAACAACCACAAGCTTCTGAGTTTGGCAGTCAGAAGTCAGGTGCAGCCTGCCCCGAGGGGTGCCAGCTGGAACTGTTGGCGCCTGTGACTCTCCTGGGTCCCCACCAGCCCTCACCGAGTGCTGGAGCCACTAGAGCAGCAGCCCTCCTCCCTGAGAGATCTGACGGAGGAGGCTCTTCTTTTCTAGCCTGTGTCCTGTAAGGAGATGGGATCTTTTTACTTTCCACTTAAAATGACAAATTACCTCTCAAAATAGACGCTATTTCTCAATTGTCATATACCTTTTATTCACATTTTAATATCTCTAAAATTGGGATGGTGTTTTGGTTTAATTGGCAGCATTTTTTTTTCTTAGTGGTTCATTAAAAAATGGTGCATCTTGAGCTAGGTGTGGTGGCTCATGCCTGTAATCCCAGCATTTCGGGAGGCCAAGACGGGCGGATCACAAGGTCAGGAGTTCAAGACCAGCCTGGCCAACATGGTGAAACCCCGTCTCTACTAAAAATACAAAGAAATTAGCTGGGCGTGGTGGTGCATGTCTGCAATCCCAGCTACTCAGGTGGCTGAGGCAGGAGAATCACTTGAACCCAGGAGGTGGAGGTTGCAATGAGTCAAGATCATGCCATTGCACTCCAGCCTGGGCGACAGAGCAAGATTCCGTCTCGAGGTTAAAAAAAAAAAAAAGGATGCATCTTATAGTGGAAGACATCTTAAAATCCGAAAAATGTCATATCAGGTTAAGATAAACTTTGCTTTACCAATAACCACCATTTATTGACTGTCATCCCTTTACCAAGTTCTGTGGCAGTCCTTTTTCATGTATTATCAGTTCTCATGTGAACCTCACAGGACTGGTGGTGGTATCATTTCTCAGTTGACCAAGGCTCACAGAGATTAAGCAGTTTGTTCAAGGTTACACAGCCTCCACATAGCTGAGCTGTGCTTGGCCGCAGGCTTGGCTGAGCACATACTTGACTCAAAGGCACTCGCCTCCAAAGCTGAAGCTTCGTTAGATGTAGATACATTGTTGTCTTCTCAGAGTCATCAGAAAGTTAGTCCAGGGTAAGAAAAAATGTCATCTCCAGGCCCAGAGGGATAGCCTGCAGCTTAGAGGGCACAGGTTTGCCAGTGTTCATTGAGGAGGTGACCAGAGGGTGAATGGGCAGCCACTGGCACAAACTAGCCTGCTCTCTGTGGCCAAGCCTGCCCTCTGTGGCCATAGTGAAAGTACCAACTGGGCTAGGGATGCCTCTGCCCTTAGGGTTGGTGCCCAGAGTTCATGCCAGTGGCTTTTAAGTGCCTGGGAATCAGGAACTTCCTCAGTTCACCAGGCCTCCAAGCCCCAGGATGCCTCCTGACAGTTCTGTTAAAGACACACTGAGTCTTCTCCAAGGAAAATTGAGGAAGGACACACCCTTCCCAATATTGGCTTCTTTCAATAAATTTCTAAAAAGGAGCCAGACATGGTGGCGCACCTCTATGACTATAGTCCCAGCTACTCGGGAGGCTGAGGAAGGAGGATCACTTCAGCCCAGAAGTTTGAATCTGGCCTGCGCAACATAGTGAGACCCCATCTCTTTAAAAAAAGAAAAGGGGACAGAATGAGATTAATGAATTATTTATTTTCATAAGCCAAAAGAACAGACTTTCAAAATGGCTTGTATTACAATGAAAAACCAACTTTACAGGTAGATCGGTACCACCTTAGAATTCTGACATCATTATGAAACATCTTTCACAGCTGGAATAACATAATGAATACATACAATTAGGATAGGGTATGAAGCAAATTGAAATCTTGAAAATAATATGTGTACTTAAAATATATTAAGTAAAGATTCCCGCCCCCCGCCCCCCTGAGACAGAGTCTCACTCTGTTGCCCAGGCTGGAGTGCAGTGGTGCGATCTTGGCTCACTGCAAGCTCCGCCTCCCGGGTTCACGCCATTCTCCTGCCTCATCATCCCAAGTAGCTGGGACTACAGGCACCCGCCACCAGGCCCATCTAATTTTTTTTTTTTTTTTTTTTTTTGGGTATTTTTAGTAGAGACGGGGTTTCACCGTGTTAGCCAGGATGGTCTTGATCTCCTGACCTTGTGATCCGCCCGCCTCGGCCTCCCAAAGTGCTGGGATTACAGGCATGAGCCACCGCACCCGACCTAAGTAGATTTTTAAATAACATGAAATATACACCTCTGTTTCTTCATTGTCTGCTTGGTAGAGGTCATTGAATCCATCCTAAAAGAACAGTATTGTTCTAATACTGCAATGCAGCTAGGCACAGTGGCTCACGCCTGTAATTCCAACACTGAGAGGCCAAGGCAAGTGGATTGCTTGAGACCAAGAGTACCAGACCAGCCTGGCCAACATGGCAAAACCCTGTCTCTACTAAAAATACAAACATTAGCTGTGCATAGTAGTGTGACCCTATAATTCCAGCTGCTCAGGGGGCTGAGGCACAAGAATCGCTGGAATCCAGGAGGCGGTGGTTGTGGTGAGCTGAGATCACACTACTGCACTCCAGCCTGGGCGACAGAGCGAGATTCTGCCTAAAAAAAACTAATACTAAAATATTTACTTTTATGTATAACTAAAATAATTCATCCAAATAACAGCCAAAATCAGTCTCAATTTTTCCTAGGTAGCACTGCATTTTGGTTCTTAACTGAGTCTTTAAGCATCAACCTAAGTGGTTGGAATTGGCTACATCTATAGAGGGTTTATCAACTGCCTGCCAAGGAGCTTCCAAGTTGTCAAGCTCCAGAAAATAGAAAACCATTAGGATGTCTTTCCAAACAGCTTTCCCTTCTGGAATGTCACTGTGAATGGTCCCTAGAAGCATTATGACAGTGCCCCTCTACCACAATAATTGGGCAAAGGGTAAAGTAGAAAGGAACAGAAGCTTTAAACAGGTGACAACCTCCCTAGAATTACAGAATTGTCTATTTCTTCTTGATGAAACACCCTGTGGCCCCCTCCTCAAGAAGCCCTGTTGATGTAGTTTGAACTGGTACATCCTATGAAGTTAAACAGAAGACCACACTGTGACTCTCAGTGCAGAAAATAAAATACAGGAAGTCATCTCTTGGAAATGGTGTGGTTATAGTAGGATAGCGCCCTGGCTTGAGCTTTAGAGAAAACACATTAAATAAAACTGTTCAGTTTCAAGTAGTAGAACCTAATCATAAGAATCAGCTCAAAAAAGGGGTTTCTGTTCTACTTTTGTTTTTTGTTTTTAAAATAAGCTCCCAATGTGTGTGTGTGTGTGTGTGTGTGTGTGTGTGTGTGTGTGTGTGTGTGTGTTGTTGTTTTTTTTTTTTTTTTTTTTTTTTTTTGAGACACAGTGTCGCTCTGTCACCCAGGCTGGAGTACAGTGGCACAATCTCAGCTCACTGCAACCTCTGCCTCCGAGGTTCAAATGACTCTCCTGCCTCAGCCTCCCGAGTAGCTGGGATTACAGGGATGCACTACCATTACCCTGCTAATTTTTGTATTTTTAGTAGAGACAGGGTTTGACCATGTTGGCCAGGCTGGGCCTAATATCTTTAAACTCAGCCCCAAGTCAGGAATCTTTATGATAGCATTATGGCTAGATGATGAAGTGGATCTCAAGGATATTGAGGGGCCGGGCTCAGGAATTGAGGCTGCTGCAGTTTCTCCTGAATCTATGAGAATTCAGATGGGCACTTTTCAGTAATTAAAACCATATGTCCTCCTCCTCCTTTCTTTTTGAAGAGCTCTCATTCTGTTGACCTTGCACTGCTGCTGGATTGTTCCTCGGGCTTTGCATGTTCCCTGCATTTGTTTTGTAACTGAGCATGGTGCATGGCAGACCTCTCTATGCAGTATGCTGGGGCAGTGAGCAGGTGGCACAGTAGCCACACCCTGGCAACAGTGAGTGAGAGCTGGTGGGCAGGCTTGGAAACTAGCTCCTTTTTGTTCTGCTCATGTGTTTTTATGGGGGATTTGTCTTATGCCTTTATTAATATTGTTTTTCTTTTTTCCCTTTCTCTGATAAATTCCTTTAACTTTTCCTCACCTTCCGTTCGACAATAGCCATGGAGGGTAAGCACATCGTGTCTTTGTGTGTCTGTCCAGCTCTCTCTATCACACCCGGCTCTCTGCATGTAACTTTGGACTGGAAAGCAGGAAGCCCAAGTGGGAGGGCACTTCGGCCTGCTTTGTCACCTCTCATGACTGACAGATGCCAAAAGCAGTGTTTATATATGCAAAAGAATGAGACATGTACATCTTTGCAGTAAATGAATTATTCTTGTGCTTTTCTATCTCATACCCAGACTTTTGGAACAACCAAGAATTAATCTGTTCCAGATTACTTAGGCAAAAGCACCCAAGGGTTCAGAAATGGGAACTTATATTTAGACTGAGCACTGGCATCAGGTTCATGATTAAACTATATGTACTACAAGTTGGTCTTTTTTAAAAAGTGTATATATATATATATATATATATATATATATATATATATACCATTTTATGCTGGTGTAATTCTAACCAGTTGGAATTTTTAAATACTGCTGAAGATTTCCCAAAGGCCCTCATGTTATTCCACCATCAGTACTCAAGTTATCTTAGTAACATTTGTTGATGTCTCTTCTGTGCCCAGGCCCTAGGTAGACATTGTTACATCTTTGGCCTCATCTTCCCTGATCACAGTTGCCCGGGTGAGAGAGCTGAGGCTTTATAAGCGTAGGCCCAGGTGCTTTCCAGCAGTCAGCACAGAGCTGGCTGAAACCGGGGTCTTGAGCAGAGAGGCTCCTAGCGACACCACTGCTGCTTTGACTTCAGTCACGACCTGCAAACAGATGCTATCCCCTTAAAGTGCATTCATATGTCAGCTTTTTATAATTGTACAAAGAACATGTTTCCATTAGGCGGCTGAGGGCAGCTAAGCTGAGCCATACCGTTTTCACTGCAGAATTCAAACTAAGTGGAAATCCTTATAGTCTTCATGTAGAATGTTTGACTCTTTAGCCAAATAGGTAATTTTGTCTAAAATTCAGTAAATTCCCAGATGGATTATTATCTTGTGGTAAATGATTTTGGGGTGAGGGGACATTGAATCAGGTCTCTGAAAGAATCTGGGGTTTTTAGTATAATATGTATGATTCCATCTCATTTCCTTTAACTGAGCTCAAAGTTAGAAAGAAAATACTGCCTAATTTGTCACTTGGAGGAATTACTTTACTGTCATTCTCAATCTGAACTATATCCCGCACACACAAGAAAATCAATGACCTTCTGCAATCTGCTTTGATCTCTTGTAAAGACCCTCTCTAGCTTGATTGTGGTGATCTCACGCCATCTGCTGGAGAGCAGAAAAATGACTGGCTTCTGTGTTGTCAGCTTCAGCCCCAGGAAATCAGCCCCCCTCCTACTGCCAACCTGGACCGGTCGAATGATAAGGTGTACGAGAATGTGACGGGCCTGGTGAAAGCTGTCATCGAGATGTCCAGTAAAATCCAGCCAGCCCCACCAGAGGAGTATGTCCCTATGGTGAAGGTAAAATAGAGTCATTTTGTGTACTGGCAAAAATGTTCTTGTTTCCTGTAAGCTGTGGTGCCAGTTGATAGATGTCTCTAGGTCCCCCCGCCCCACCAAAGTCAGAACTGATGCTTTAGAAGCTCTTCACGAAAGCACCATACAGTGACAATGTTAGTGAGAACTGCAGTTATTCTGAATTGCCGTTCCTATCTTGTTTTCTTCTGTCAGTAAACACTAGGATGGGAGTGTCTTGAAGCAGTACACTCTTTTAATAATTACCACTCACACATAAAGTCTGCAGTGAAAGAGAAAGCTGCAAAAGTATGCTTACAGTATGATGCCATTTATGTAAACTTGAAAAACATGCAAAATAATCCTGTGTAAGACTTAGGGAGATGTGGTTACGTTGTTGGAGTGCAAAGACAAGTAGAGGAATGATCATTATCAAATTCAGATCCCGCACCTGTAAGGAGGAGCCAGCTGAAGAAAGGTACATTGGGAGGATTTATCTGTGTTGTTTTTCTTAAGCTAAGGGTTGGGTATGTGGGTGTTCATTGAATTTTCTTTTAAAAAGAGTAAAAATAAATAAAAATATCATGCCAGTAAACTAATGTTTTCCAAATTGTGTTCAGTGGAGTGGGATCCTAGCAGGCAGTGACAGGTGTCCTGTGTAAAAGGACACTAGGGGCTGAGTGTGGTGGCTCATGCCCATAATCCCAGAACTTTGGGAGGCTGAGGCAGGCAGATCACTTGAGGTCAGAAGTTCAAGACCAGCTTGGCCAACATGGTGAAACCCCATCTCTTTAAAAAAAAAAAAAAAGAGAGAGAGAGAGAGAAAGAAAGAGGACACTAGGTCCAAGGAAAGTCAGCAATGGCTCCTTTTAAAGAGTACAGACTGGCATGTTGGTTGCACAGGGGTGTCCTCCAGTTCACAGAGTGTGGTCGAAATTTGCTCTAAGCCAGTATTTCTGAAACATACTCGAACATACTTTTTTTTCACTATAGTAAAATACACGTAACATAAACTACCATCTTAACCATTTTTAAGCATACATTTCAGAAGCATTAGGTACATTCACAATGTTGTGCCACCATCAGCACCATCCACTTCCATAACCCTTCCCTTGCAAAACTGAAACTGTGCATTTGAAACAACCCTCCTCTTTTCCCCTCCCCCAGCCCCTGGCAACCTCCATCCTACTTGCTATCTCTATGAATTGACTACCCTAGGTACCGCTTATAAGTGGAATCATACTGTATTTGTCTTTTTGTGATGGATTTATTTCACTCAGCATAGTATCTCAGAGTTCATCCATGTTGTAGCATGTGTCAGAATTTTCTTCCTTTTTAGGGCAGAGTGATATTCCACTGTATGTTCACACCACATTTTGTTTATTTACTGAACCATCACAGGGTACTTGGGTTGCTTCCACCTTTCAGTTATCATGAAGAATGCTGCTAGGAACATGGATATACAAATATCTTTTTGAGACCCTGCTTTCACTTCTTTTGAGTGTATACTCAGAATTGCTGGATCACTGATAATTCTATTTTTAATTTTTTGAGGAGCCACCATTCTGTTTTTCACAGCGGCTGCACCATCTTACATTCCCTCCAACAGCACACAAGGGTTCCAGTTTCTCCATATTCTCACCAAAACGTGTTATTTTCTGGGGGGTTATTTTGAAGCTTGGGGTTTTGTGTGTGTGTTTTAAAAAATAATTGTCATCCTAATGGATGTGAAGTGTATCTAAGTGTGATTTTGATTTGCATACAGGTCTTGAACATCTGTTTGCTTTTTGAGCGTTTGTGTATCTTTTTTGGAAAAATGTCAAGTTTTTTTTTTCTTTTTTGGCCTGTTTTTTAAATCATACTGTATTTTGTTGTTGAGTTATAGAATCCTACAATTGTTGTTGTTGGGTTTTTTGTTTTGTTTTGTTTGAGATGGAGTCTCATTCTGTCACCCAGGCTCCCAGGCTGGAGTGCAATGGCACGATCTTGGTTCACTGCAACCCCTGCCTCCCAGGTTCAAGCAATTCTGCTGCCTCAGCTTCCCGAGTAGCTGGGACTACAGGCATGCACCACCACACCTGGCTTATTTTTGTATTTTTAGTAGAGACGGGGTTTCACCCTGTTGGCCAAGCTGGTCTCAAACTCCTGACCTCAGGTGATCTGCCTGCCTCGGCCTCCCAAAGTCCTGGGATTACAGGCATGAGCCACTGCGCCTGGCCCCTACAACTGTTTTTTAGTATACCTATTAGCAATCTTTGCAACAGCTTCTTATAAACCATCAATGTGGAAAAAGCTGCTTGAAAGTTGTAATGTTTCATGGAAAGCACAGTTAATCCATTCTGGTTCACTTTTTTAAAGTGTATCCACATAACAGTTTTAACCAAAGTTCTTAAGGAGGAACTTGCATGAACCCACAGCCAAGTTTAAACAACTCAACAGTAGGTGAAACCATTCAGAATTTTGTACATACTAAGATTTTATATGGTGATTTTATAGACACTATTTTTTTAACCGTTTTACTTTGGCCAAATGACGTTCTTTTTGTATGTTGATCCAATTATAAGTAACTATCATTTTCTTACTGGTTTTATTCATATTACATGTAATTTGATGTCTTAGTCATTACATTATTTGGTCCTCATAAGTATGACAGTAATGAAAATTTGAAGTTTAAAATTATTTGTTTTAAATCATAGTTAGACCCTTTTTGCTGCAACTCGGAAGTGGCAGGGAGGAGTGTTTCTGCTCAGTGTGCCTAATAGATGAAGCCTGAGATTCAGAACGGGGTCCAAAGCAAGGCTGCCCCCTTGCATCCGGGGCAGTGGTGTCATCTCTGGCCAGCCTCATGAGGTGTTTGAAAGTACCTGGGTGAGAACACATTTGGTGAACACACTTGGGGAAAGGTGCTACTATTTATCCTAACCTGTGTTGGCAGGGTTGGCAGTTGGAGCCAGGAGGGTGGTATAATCTGCTTGGAAGCAGTAGATGAGAAAAAAAAAAATCCTGCTTTCCACCCTCAGCATCTGTGTGACTTTTCTTACATGAACTTCTGGTCTTCAACTCACTCCTTAGGGTATTAGAGCAATGAACAGTCAGATCTAAATCTTTTGGGAGAAAAAGGAGCCTCATAACTTACAAGATAGGGCTAAGCACTGAGAAAAAGAAATACAGAAATTTGCCTTGAAACTTGTGGAAAGGAAATAAAAAAATATATAACTGAAAAGCATAAAAATCCTTTGTGTGTGTTCTAATATTGGTTGTGATTCTTGTCTGTTAGGAAGTCGGCTTGGCCCTGAGGACATTATTGGCCACTGTGGATGAGACCATTCCCCTCCTACCAGCCAGCACCCACCGAGAGGTAGGGCACAATCTTCCCCTTGCAGCCCTCTGTGACAGCACTGGGCAGGGACACATTCAGGGATGCCTGTGGTGCTGAAGGCCGCTCCTCAGTCTGTGGCCAGCAGAGACATCAACTGCCCTACAAGCGATGACCTTCCCTCTAACACTGGCCCCAACCAGGACGGGGCTGTTCATTCTAGGGCATAGGGGTGGTGTGGAGCAGTGGCCACTCAAATTCCAGATCCTGGGTCTTCCTGCTGCTAGTCCACTGCAGAGCCACTATGCAAGGTCCTCATCTGAGCTACAAGTGGCTCTGAGCAGTGGATGAGGAAGGCACATGGGAAACTGCTGCTGGTGCCATGAACCTAAAAGGTAGAAGAATGCTGATATGAATGGGGCGGGCATTGTGCATGGTCTGCTTCCTCGAATTCTCCTTAAAAATAGTTGAGCTTGCAAATGATCCTGGTTTTCCATTTCAAGTAGTAATATAAAAAATTTCTTTTAGGCCAGGCATGGTAGCTCACGCCCGTAATCCCAACACATTGGGAGGCCAAGGCAGGAGGATGGCTTGAGGCCTGGATTTCAAGACAACATAGTGAGACCCTATCTCTACCAAAAAATTAATAAATAAAATTATTGTCTTAAAAAATTCCAGGCCAGGCGCAGTGGCTCACGCCTGTAATCTGAGCACTTTGGGAGGCTGAGGCGGACAGATCACGAGGTCAAGAGATCGAGACCATCCTGGCCAACATGATGAAACTCCATCTCTACTAAAAATACAAAAAGTAGCTAGGCATGGTGGCACGCGCCTATAGTCCCAGCTACTTGGGAGGCTGAGACAGGAGAATGACTTGAACCCGGGAGGTGGAGGTTGCAGTGAGCCGAGATCGTGCCATTGCACTCCAGCCTGCAACAGAGTGAGACTCCATCTGAAAAAAAAAATCATTTTAAATTAATGAATGTCTTTAAGAAGCTTCTTAAGGGCTGAGTGTGGTGGCTCACCTCTGTAATCCCAACACTTTGGGCGGCCGAGACAAGAGGATGGCTTAAAGCCAGTTTATGACCAGCCTGGGCAACAAAGCGAGACTCTGTCTCTACAAAAAATTTTTAAAAATTAGCTGTGTGCAGTAGCTACTCAGGAGGCTGAAGCAGGATGATCGCTTGAGCCCAGGAGTTTCAGGCTACAGTGAGCTAGGATCAAGCCACCATACTCCATCCTGGGTGACAGAGCAAACCCTGTTTCAAAAAAAAAAGTTTTAAGGAATAAAAGTTGACCCAAAATACTGTAGCCCAGCAACAACTATCATTTTTGCTACCTTTTGGCAATTTTGTTTCAATTATATGACTAACAAATGAAAGGAAGCACCTGCATTTGTTTTAGTGTCTTTGAGCCTAGGGTGTACATTCTGTGGTTGGGATTGACAAACGCATGTGGGATGCGTCCCCACTACAGAGTCCAGGATCTGCAGGCTTCAGCCTTGCTCCCTGCTGACTCCAGCTGCCTGCTTTTCTCATTTCTAGGGAAGCATGGGCAGTTCTTCATCCCAGCACACACTTTTTGTTTGTCCTTTTTATTTTGAAATCATTTCAGATTTATATGAAAGTTAAAAGATTAATAGAGAGAACTCCCAACTTTCCTTTGAGTTTCACAGCCTTTTAACATGTCAGCACATTGTCACCTTGCTCCATTGTCTATGTGTGTACACACATCACTTCCTGCTGTCGAGCAGCTTGAGAATGGCTGTGTATCTCATGCCCTCTTCCCCTTTAAGATTTCCATTTATATTTCTCATAACAAGGCCATTGTCCTACATAACCACCACACAATCACCACATTCTGGAACTTTAACATGATGTAATGCACTGTCCCACTCTGCAGGGCACGTTCCAGGGTCGTCGGTTGTCTCTGTAGCACTTTTCCGTCGCCTGTGAGAGCCAGACCAGGATTACACTTTGCACGTGGTGTTGCTTTCTTCAGCCTCCTTTCATCTGAAACAGCTCCTCAGCCTTTTTTTATCTTTCATGACATTGACATTTTTGACAAACATAGGCTCAGTGATTTTATAGAGTATTCTTAAAGTTGGATTGAGGGATATCCTATAAACATTTGTTTCTTCCTGATGAGATTGAGATTTTGCATCTCCAGTCAGGAATACAACATAAATAATGCTGAATCCTTCTCAGCATCATACCCAGAGACATACGATGTCCAGGGGATGTTCCAGTTGACCAACTGGACATTGACTTCTGAAGGACGGTTGGACACAACTCCTGTTGGTGATTCCTTTGTAAGTGGCATTGATTCATATGCATAAACCCTTTAACTTGTTTTTGAGAAGGCCTGTGACTGGTGCTGTAGTGTAACTTCACATCCCAACCAAATGGGGTTCTCTCACTTACCTGCTTCACCGGGCCTCTGGCTTTCCATGACAAGCCTCAGTTTTGCCCCAAAGTGGAGAAGTTCCATATGCTAGAGGCAAGAAAATGGTGTCCTACCAAGTGGATATTTTAGTGGGACTATTTGTCAACACCTACTCTAGTTGATAAAGTCTAAAGTAATCTTTTCATCTCCCCTGATTCCAATACACAAATTGCTCTCCTGTATACAGTATTTTTTAATTATTAATTTTTTTTTTTTTGAGACAGGGTCTGTCTCTGTCACCCAGGCTGGAATGCAGTGACTCCATCACAGCTCACTATAACCTCCAACTCCTGAGCTCAAGTGATCTTCCTGCCTCCGCCTCCCAAGTAGCTGGGATTACAGTTGTATACCACCACGCCCAGCTAATTCTTTATTTTTTTGTAGAGACAGTGTCTTACTGTGTTGCCCAAGCTGGTCTCAAATTCCTGCTTCAAGCCATCCTCCTACCTCGGTCTCCCAAAGTGCTGGGGTTACAGGCGTGAGCCACCACACCTGGCCTTAAATCATTTTTGAAAAGAAGAGGAGCCTGTCTTTGATCCTGCATCTGCCTTTCACTGTCCTCATGCCTCCTCCTGTCCCCATTGTACTTCCTGAAAGAGCAGCCCATCCCTGATGGGGCCACCTCCTCACATGGCAGCTGCACTCAGCGCCAGCTCAGAGCATTCCAGTGCTCCAGCTGTTTGGAACTCTCTCTGCTGTAACAGCCCTTCAAGGTCTCCTAATTGCCAGAGCCCCTGCTTTCCCCTCAGTCCTAACTCCCCCTTGAGACCCCCTGCTCTGGCCCAGAGCTTCCTCACTCACTCCTCTCCTGCCAAGACCTCTGCTCAGGCTTTTGTTCCCTGCCACCCTTGAGTGTGGTCATCTCCCAAAGTGCTACCCACTTGTTTTATTAAAAAATACTTTTTCACTCTGGTAGTTCTTCTCATTCTCATAGATTCAAGTATTTGATGCCTCCCAAATCTGTGTTGATTTTATAGAACCCCGCCCTGAGCTCTGATCTCCAACTGTCTGCCATTGGCAAGAACGGTCTGCTTTCCTTGTTTGCTTCCACAGTCAGTGACAACACCATGCACTTGCATGTCTGTTCCCAATCCCCTACACACATGCAAACAACCACACACCTTCCATCTCTCATCAGGTCTCAGGTTGGTCCGTTCACCTGCACATCCACCATCACCTCTCCTCTGAAGATGGCCTCTTAGATGGTTTATCTGCCTCTTGTCTGTTCCCCTGCCCTTCCATTCAGCCTCCACATTGCCGCCAAGAGCCATCTTTCTAGAATATCTCTCTAGATTTTGTCATTCTCCTTCTTAAAAATCTCTTATCCCTCTTGCCAAGTCCTGCCAAATAAAGATCAACTAGGTGTGGCTTTCACAGTTGAAGCCAGCCTACTTTTACAGTATAGGCCAAATTCAGACAAATTCTCTCTGTGAAGTCTTTCTGACCCTCTCTGAGACAGAATGCATTGCTGTCTTATCTATGTACTTTTCTACTACGTGATTTATTCCAGTGTATTATAGGGTCCTGTGTATGCTTTTCCCATTGTAGACTGCGGGTAAAAACAGGTCTTCCTCCTTGTATCCAAGCACCAAGTGTCTCGTACATAATAGGTGCTCCATAATTGATAAAAGAGCAAATGGATAAGTCACCACTGGTTGAAGAAACAGATAAGAAGGATCATGAGACTCTCCCATGCAAAGCATTCGAACCCTGTAGGACAGCATTTTGTGTTCATTAGCTGCTTCCACCATTGCTGCCCTGACTTAATGTGTGCGGGGGGAGGGGCGTACATAATGGTCTGGCTCTGTCACCCAGGCTGGAGTGCAATGGCACGATCTTGGCTCACTACAACCTCTGTCTTCCAGGCTCAAGCCGTCCTCCCACGTCAGCCTCCTGAGTAGCTTGGAATACAGGTGCACACCACCATACTCAGCTAACTTTTTGTATTTTTTTGTAGAGATGGGGTTTCACCATGTTGCCCAGGCTGGCCTCAAACTTTTGAGCTCAAGCCGTCAGCCTGCCTCCGCCGCCCAAAGTGCTGAAATTGTACAGGAGTGAGCCACTGCGCCCTGCCACCATCCTTAAACCATTTTTTGTATAGCCAAGGAAGGTCTTGAAATAGAGTTGGCATAGTAGAAAGCATAAGACCAGAAGTCAGAACTGAGGCTTTTGTCCTGGCTTGGAGACTAAAGAGCTGTGTGGCCTTCAGCACATCTTACTGTATCTCAGTTGTCCACTCTAATGTGAAAGTGTTTGGAATAGATGATCTCTGAAGTTCTGTCAGATTCTGTGGTTCTATTATGAAACAAAAGCCCTGCCAGTCACTGAGATTAATAAAGTCTAAACAGCGCAAATGGAGACGAAGTTAGTCATGGTGTCAGGGAAGGCTTTGAATGGAAGGAACAAGATGCTGGATCTGCATGTGTGAATCGGCATGCACAAACAGGCACACTATAATAGCTGAATTTCTAAAGTAAGTAAAAAAAATGTTTAAATGCATGAATGTAGTGTGGGAAGTTAAAATAAGAAAAAAAAAATTTAAAGATTGATTTTTACATCCTATTGCTCCTAAGGAAGATTTATTTACAGGAAATAAAGTTTTCTTCTCATGGAGGCACTGAAAGAAAGGCTCATAAAAATTCCCTGAAAAGTTCATTGGTGCAGGGCTTGGTGGCATGTGCCTGTGTTCCCAGCTAGTGGGAAGGCTGAGGCAGGAAGATTCCTTGAGCCCAGGAGTTTGAGGCAAGCTTGGACAACACAGTAAGAACATCTCT
This sequence comes from Homo sapiens, assembly GCF_000001405.40. Taxonomy (NCBI): domain Eukaryota; kingdom Metazoa; phylum Chordata; class Mammalia; order Primates; family Hominidae; genus Homo; species Homo sapiens. Next base: position 140,659,739 of record NC_000008.11, on the reverse strand, counting down.
CTAAAAAAGAAAAAAAAAAATCACTGAAAACAGTTCTCCTGACCTATCTCTTGTCTTTCAGATTGAGATGGCACAGAAGCTATTGAACTCTGACCTGGGTGAGCTCATCAACAAGATGAAACTGGCCCAGCAGTATGTCATGACCAGCCTCCAGCAAGAGTACAAAAAGCAAATGCTGACTGCTGCTCACGCCCTGGCTGTGGATGCCAAAAACTTACTCGATGTCATTGACCAAGCAAGACTGAAAATGCTTGGGCAGACGAGACCACACTGAGCCTCCCCTAGGAGCACGTCTTGCTACCCTCTTTTGAAGATGTTCTCTAGCCTTCCACCAGCAGCGAGGAATTAACCCTGTGTCCTCAGTCGCCAGCACTTACAGCTCCAACTTTTTTGAATGACCATCTGGTTGAAAAATCTTTCTCATATAAGTTTAACCACACTTTGATTTGGGTTCATTTTTTGTTTTGTTTTTTTCAATCATGATATTCAGAAAAATCCAGGATCCAAAATGTGGCGTTTTTCTAAGAATGAAAATTATATGTAAGCTTTTAAGCATCATGAAGAACAATTTATGTTCACATTAAGATACGTTCTAAAGGGGGATGGCCAAGGGGTGACATCTTAATTCCTAAACTACCTTAGCTGCATAGTGGAAGAGGAGAGCATGAAGCAAAGAATTCCAGGAAACCCAAGAGGCTGAGAATTCTTTTGTCTACCATAGAATTATTATCCAGACTGGAATTTTTGTTTGTTAGAACACCCTTCAGTTGCAATATGCTAATCCCACTTTACAAAGAATATAAAAGCTATATTTTGAAGACTTGAGTTATTTCAGAAAAAACTACAGCCCTTTTTGTCTTACCTGCCTTTTACTTTCGTGTGGATATGTGAAGCATTGGGTCGGGAACTAGCTGTAGAACACAACTAAAAACTCATGTCTTTTTTCACAGAATAATGTGCCAGTTTTTTGTAGCAATGTTATTTCTCTTGGAAGCAGAAATGCTTTGTACCAGAGCACCTCCAAACTGCATTGAGGAGAAGTTCCAGAACCATCCCCTTTTTCCATTTTTATATAATTTATAAAGAAAGATTAAAGCCATGTTGACTATTTTACAGCCACTGGAGTTAACTAACCCTTCCTTGTATCTGTCTTCCCAGGAGAGAATGAAGCAAAACAGGAATTTGGTTTTCTTTTGATGTCCAGTTACACCATCCATTCTGTTAATTTTGAAAAAATATACCCTCCCTTTAGTTTGTTGGGGGATATAAATTATTCTCAGGAAGAATATAATGAACTGTACAGTTACTTTGACCTATTAAAAAGGTGTTACCAGTAAAGTTCTTGTTGTAATATCCTTTCTTTTGGTTCTGTTTCTTCAGATGGCTTTTCAGGTGACTTGTCAGATAAGATAACATACAAGAGAGTTCCCAATAATTATCAGGAAGCCTCTCACTAATTAGTTTCTTTTTTTTTATTTAATCTTCTAAACAAGTCAAGGATGTTACCACAGAAGGGTAGCGTGGCGTAAGTTAACCTTTTCATTCCATCGTCACCTATTAAATGCAGAGCTCAGGATGGAAGTAGCAATGGTCTTCAATGAAAGAACCTTCCCCTGCGCAGGGTCTCACTATTCCGCTAACTCGGACTCAAAGCATAATTCACTTGTCAAGGAAATTGTTAGCATTTCCCAGGCCCACCCTAGTCTTGCTAGAATCTCTGTGAGCCACAGAGCAGGGAGCAAATAGAACTGAGATCTCCAGCACTAGGGACTCAGACTCCAAAGGGAGGGATTTGAGTGAATTTTTTCCAGGTAAATACATGCTCTTATGTGCAAAAGCAGCTTCATCTTTGGATCTGTGACAGTTACTTCATCTGAAGCAAATGTCAAGGGAATGCCATCCTTGTGAGTTTTTTCTAATTTTTGGCATTCTTGAGTCTCTTACATTTCCATTTCCTCATGTTTGAAGTGGTGACTGTGAGAGTGAGCTAAGTCCAGTGTAAATGGTAAAGTGCTCTACATACCTTGTAAGGAACTTTGATGTTGGACCTGTCCAGTGTACTCTCAGAGGTTTAGGAGCATCCGTGGCCTTCACCCACTAGAAACCAGTAGCACTCCCACCAAGCCGTGACAACCAACCTGTCTGCAGACATTGCCAAAGGTTCCCAGGGGAAGGAGGGACAGAACCATTGCAAGTTGAGAACCACTGTTTGAGATAAGAGTTTACCTGCAGTTAGCCGGGCGTGGTGGCTCACGCCTGTAATCCCAGCACTTTGGGAGGCTGAGGCAGGCGGGTCACGAGGTCCATCCTGGCTAACACGGTGAAACCCCATCTCTACTAAAAATACAAAAAATTAGCCAGGCGTGGTGGCGGGCGCCTGTAGTCCCAGCTACTCGGGACGCTGAGGCAGGAGAATGGCGTGAACCCGGGAGGCGGAGCTTACAGTGAGCGGAGATCGCGCTACTGCACTCCAGCGTGGGCAACAGCATGACTCCGTCTCAAAAAAAAAAAAGTTTACCTGCAGTTAATACATTTTGCCTCATGGTCTCACTTCTTAGGAACACCTAGAATTGCGGGTAAGTTTCACATCTTCCTATAAACCAAAGAAAATTTTGGTTTTTAGAGCAGGTGGAGAGACAGACGTTGCATCAGTGCATGGGCCAGAGGTCAGAGGTCAAGCGCAGCCACCAGAGTTGAGCAGAGGCAGTTCACATCCCATGAACTTAGTGGCCTGGAGGGCTATCAGGACCATGAGGTGACTTCCATTACAAGACAAAATGGGGAATTTCAAATCTAAAGACCCAGAGAAAAGTTCATTTGAAACTAAAAGTGTTCAAATTACTCAGCTTCCTTATACTACCTCAGTAACAGCTGCTTAATGAGACAAACCATACATGCAGCACCTGAAAACCTGTCCAAGTTAGCTGGGAGAAGTGTTCACAATCTCATCATTTTTCTCCTATTTTTTATTCTCCATTATTAAAGAGTAGGTAGAGAAAAGGGCACACAAATGTAGAGCTTACTGAACTTTTCCCAAAGGAATGTCCTCTTGTAACTACACCCAGGGTCAGAGAATAGTAACATCACCCCAGAGGTCCTGGGGCTCCCTCCCGCACTGCTCCCCAAGAAGGGCAATCACCACCCTGCTTTTAATCAACTTGAGTAGGATTTAACTTGCATACAATAAGAGCCACTGAATAAACAGCTCAATTTTTTTCAAATGTATACGACCAGTTAGTGACCAGTGTGAGGAAGATGAGAAAGAGCCAGCACTTGGGAAGTGCCTTCATACCTCTGGAGGGCAGGTCCCTGTTTCTCCTTTGTAACCTCTAGTGTGGTCTCCATCGCTAGAAATGGCTTCTTACACTTCAGATTGCTTCTAGAACTACACCATATATACTCTCATTTCTGGCTGCTTTCACTACGAGTGATGTTTTTGAATATCCATGTTGTGTGTATCTGAAGTTCATTCCTTTTTATTTCTGATAATACTCCATGGTAAGAATATATTGCTGCGTATTTCCCTGTTCACCTGTTGATGAATGGGACATTGGGTGGTTTTCAGTTTCTATTAGAAATAAAACTGGGGACGGTGTTTCCATTCCTCCTGGGCAAGTAAACTCTGCAGGAAAGTTCTGGAACATCTGGTAAGTGTATGCTTACCTTTATTAAAAACTGCCAAACTGGTTTCCAGTGACGTTATACCATTTTCATGGATGGACATTCCAGTTGCTCCACATTGTCACCAATGCTTGGTAGTGTCAGTCGTTTTTATCCTCCATACCTAATGAGGTTGAGCGTTTTGTTTTGTTTTGTTTTGTTTTTTCTATACTTAGCCACTTATATATGTTTTTGTGAAGCATCTGCTCAGATATTTTGCATTTTTAAGAAAACTGTTTATCATGTTGTTGTGGAGTAATGGGTGTTCTTACACACTGGATATCAGTCTTTGGTCAGATACTTGTTTTCTAGGTATTTTCTCTCATCCTGGGGCTTGACTATTCATCTTGTTAACTGTACCTCCCCGTATTTTTATCTGAAAAATTGGCAGAGGGGTTGTTATGATTGGGATTTCATTGAGTTTATAGATTGGTTTGGGGAGTATAGATGTCTTAGAAATTGAGTCTTCAGAAACATGAACTTCTTTTTTAAAAAGAAGATCTTGGCCAGGTGCAGTGGCTCACACTTACAATCCCAGCACTTTGGGAGGTCAAGGCAGGCAGATCACCTGAGGTCAGGTCAGGAGTTCGAGACCAGCCTGGCCAACATAGTGAAACCCCATCTCTACTAAAAATACAAAAATTAGCCAGGTGTGGTGGCACATGCCTATAGTCCCAGCTACTCAGGAGACTGAGGCAGGAGAATCACTTGAACTCAGGAGGCGGGAGGTTGCAATGAGCCGAGATCAGGCCACTGCACTCCAGCCTGGGTGACAGAGCGAGACTCCATCTCAAAAATAATAATAATAAGAAGGAGATTTTTAGCCAGGTGTGGTGGTGTGCGCCTGTAGTCCCAGCTACTCTGGAGGCTGAAGTGGGAGGATCACTTGAGCCCAGGAGGTTGAGACTCCAGTGAGCTGTGATCACGACTGCACTCCAGCCTGAGTGACAGAGTGAGACGCTGTCTCTTTTAAAAAAATTTAAAAATACTGCTTGTTTTGGCAGCGCATATACTAAAATTGGAACGATACAGAGAAGATTAGCTTTTAAAAACTTTTTAAAGGCTGGGCGTGGTGGCTTATGCCTGTAATGTCAGCACTTTGGGAGGCCGAGGCAGGCGGATCACCTGAGGTCAGGAGTTTGAGACCAGCCTGGCCAACATAGTGAAACCCTCTCTCTACTAAAAATATAAAAATTAGCTGGGCGTGGTCGACCTCCGCCTCCCAGGTTCAAGTGATTCTCCTGCTTCAGCCTCCTGAGTAGCTGGGATTACAATCATCCGCCACCACGCCCAGCTAAATTTTGTAATTTTAGTAGAGGTGGGGTTGGCCAGGCTGGTCTCGAACTCCTGACCTCAAATGATCTGCCTGCCTCTTCCTCCCGAAGTGCTGGTATTACAGGCATGAGCCACCACGCCCGGTCTCAGTCAACTGTCTTAATGCAAAGGGATCCTTAAAACCTTTTGAAGACACTACCAGTTTACATTTTTTTAATAACTCGTGACCAGAAACTTCAAGATCATTAAGGTTACAGTTTCCCTGTTTTTAATTTAAAAATTTTATAGAGAAGATGGTTTCTGCTTGAAATATGAACACTTTTTGAAATATGAGTGCTTTTATTCATAATGTAATTACAACATTTATATATACACGTTTAATACTAGAGTACACTACCTTTAAACCAAAGGATTTTAAAATGTAAGACCAGGCGCAGTGGCTCACACCTGTAATCCCAGCACTTTGGGAGGCCGTGGCGGGTGGATCACCAGAGGTCAGGAGTTCGAGACCAGCCTGGCCAACATGGCGAAACCCCATCTCTACTAAAAATACAAAATTAGCCAGGTGTGGTGGCACATGCCTGTAATCCCAACTACTAGTTGGGGCTGAGGCAGGAGAATTGCTTTACCCTGGCGGCAGAGGTTGCAGTGAGCTGAGATCGGGCCACTGCACTCCAGCCTGGGCAACAGAGCAAGACTCCATCTCAAAAAAAATAAAATGTGAATACTTTCTCTCCCCTTTTTAAAAACAATTGGAAATCACCTTATTCAAAGGGAGCTCATTAAAAGATTGAGTCCCCAGCGACTGATTTTTTGAACCCCCCTTACTTGCCAGCCCAGGTCACTGAGTATAATTTACAACTTAGCTCTCTATCAGCGTACTGGAAGTTTCTGTTCTTCCATCCTGGAGTGTTCTTAAAAGCCAGCACTTCTAACATTTTAGTAAGAGTTTTGACTTGTGTTCAAAGTCTTTGAGACCCATAATTTCACATTTCTAGCTGTCACTAGAAACGAGTCAAGAAGCTCAACTGAATCCGAAAGGCTTTACAGGCTCAGGTGCCAGTTTCCTCTGGAGGTCGGCCAACCCCAGTTATCATGTGCATCTTTCTGTGCCACTGCTGGAATGCAGTCAGCTTGCACAACGGTAAGGATCTGTTGGCAAGGGTTATAGATTCTACATGTTTATTTAAATGCTGCTTTGAGTTATAAGGGGTCATCTTTAAGTTAGGGACATCTTTAACAATAACTTTTGCCCCTGCCTGTGAGATTACACGCTACAGCTACTGTGCACCGAGAATTCAGTACTAGTTCAGGTCAGGCACACGGCTGCACGTGTAATCCCAGCACCTTTGGAGGCCGAGGCAGGCAAATCACCTGAGATCAGGAGCTCAAGAACAGCCTGGCCAGCAGGGTGAAACCCCGTCTCTACTAAAAATACAAAAATTAGCCAGGCAGGGTGGCAGGTGCTTGTAGTCCCAGCTACTCGGGAGACTGAAGCAGGAGAATCGCTTGAACCTGAGAGGTGGAGGTTGCAGTGAGAAAAGATCATGCCACTGCACTCTAGCCTGGGCAACAGAGCGAGACTCCATCTCAAAAAAAAAAAAAAAAGCCAGGTGTGGTGGTGTGTGCCTGTGGTCCCAGCTATGTGGGAGGCTGAAGTGGGAGGATCACTTGAACCCCAGGGGTGGAGGCTTCAGTGAGCCGTGAGTGTGCCATTGCACTTCAGCCTGGGTGACAGAGCGAGACCCTGTCTCAAAACAACAACCACGGTTTATTATATACAGGGGTCATACAGTACAGCTAACTATGCACTGCAGATTGTACACCAGCTAACCGCACCAGAGATTGAGTATTACAGATTATTATATACTAGGGTTATACATTGCAACTGACTAGGTACCATGGGTTGCACACTACAAAGTGTAGGAGTCAGAGGGTGGAGACCATTCTAGCCTATTAAGGTCAAAGTTCCAGAACAAAATGAGAAGCTGTAGGTAATGCCTGAGGCCTGGAAGGAAGTGTGGATTTGGCCATAGTAGGAGTGGAGATGGGCTGAGGTTGGGATGAGAAGAGCCGGGGAGGTTGTGGGAAGACCCATGCTTGGTGTTTTTGTGGTCCACTGAAGTATAAAGGACGCTGTCAGCAGCAGCCTCTAGTTCAACTCACACCACCTGAGTGGTACGATGCTTATCCCTGGTTCACAGGTGAAGAAACAGTTACACAGTAATCTGACAGCCACGTAGTGAGTAGGTAGGTGCCAGAACTGGGTTGGAAGCTGGGTCGGCCTCATGTTTAGGACTGTAACATAACCACTAGGCCAAATGCCTCTCCCAGATTCTCCCCAGGGATGAAGACCCCACATATTACATTTTGAAACGATCTGATACCTGACAATATCAGAATTGCCATATTTGGTTGGGTTTCCCATCCACACAACCCAGTAAAATCAAAGCTCAATGCCAAAGTAAAAAGGCACTGGTGATGTGCCCCAGAGGTCTTTCGTCCAGGTCTAACCTTTTGCAGATGAGTGGACATGCTGGAATGACGAGCCCAGAGGGCTCTGATCTCCACCTAAAGTGACACATCCTTTGTCCTTTAGTTGTCCCTCATGTTCTCTCTCAATGACAACAGCTAATACTGAGTTCACGTGTGCCAGGCACTGTCCTCTAACAGTGACCCACTAAGGCAGGAGGGTTTAATCTCTTCACTTGGAAATGGGGGTTTGGGAGTTTAAATTCTTAGGTCACCTTGGCGCTGGAACCCAGCCCCCAGGTGTCCTGGCTTTCAGGCTTTGACCAGGTTCAGCAATGACCAGGTGTAGCAATAAGGAGGGCTGTGTGCGTTGTTTAAAACTTTTGAATCATGCCTGGCTTTAATTTGTTATCTTTCTGCAAACAAACAGGCCGGGCATGGTGGCTGACACCTGTAATTCCAGCTACTCGAGAGGCTGAGGCAAGAGGATCACTTCAGGCCAGGAGTTTGAGACCAGCCTGGACAACATAGCGAGACCTTGTTCCTACTAAAAACTAAAAAATTGGCTGGGCGCCGTGGCTCACGCCTGTAATCCCAGCACTTCGGGAGGCCGGGGCAGGCGGATCACAAGGTCAGGAGTTCGAGACCAGCCTAGTCAATATGGTGAAACCCCGTCTCTACTAAAAATACAAAAATTAGCCGAGTGTGGTGGTGCGCGCCTGTAGTCCCAGCTACTTGGGAGGCTGAAGCAGGGAAATCACTTGAACCTGGGAGGCGGAGGTTGCAGTGAGCCAAGATCGTGCCACTGCACTCCAGTGTGGTGGACAGAACAAGACTCCATCTGAAAAAAAAAAAAAAAAAAAAAACCTAAAAAATTAAGTGGGCATGGGGGTACATGTCTGTAGTCCCAGCTACTCAGGAGGCTAAGGCAAGAGGATTGCTTGAGCCCAGGAGTTCAAGTTTACAGTGAGCTATGATCACCCACTGCACTCCAGCCTGGGTGACAGAACAAGATCCTGTCTCTTTAAAAATAATAATTTTTGAAATGTAACTGGAGTGTTGTCTCGGACTATCATATTTTTCAAGATCTACTGGATAAAACCCAGATAAAACTTCTGTCCAATATCATACTGGGTGGGTATTGATTAGTGAAGTAATTAAAACTGATTTTTTTAAATCACTTTAATATGCTGTATTAAAATGCTGTAACTTTGGTCAATCCTCATCTTATTTCATCTTATCAAGTGCTTCATATTTTCCACTCCTAACAGCAAAAAGTAAAAATGATATGTGAACGTCCAGAGTGATTGTGTGTATGTATATATATGTGTGTGTGTGTGTTTATATATATATATACATACACACAAATATATATACACGTTTTCTTTAAAAAAAAAAAAAAAGTGAGGCCCTCCTTTGCAGAGTGATTGTTTTTTAAGCAGTGTGTGACTTTCTGTTTCTTTACATTCATAAGAAAATCTGGTCATGATATGTAACAACATGGATGGAGTTACTTCTGATTTTTATATTTGATTCTCATTTAATAAATCCCCAAAGCCAAAAAAAATCATTATACGTGCTCACATACATTTACCAAATGAATATCATGCTTTCTATCGTACTCCTTGCTTCGTAACTTACTACTCTAAGCACACATTATACTGTATTATTACAAATTATGTTAAAGTGGATACAGTATGATTTATTTTCTTGCTCTTGTAACATGGTAAAATAGATACATTAATTATATCTTATCATTTTAATCTTGACTGCGTTTAGTAATCTATCTTACAAATATATTCTTTATTTCTCAGTGGCTTCTATAATAATCCTGGAAATGTGTATTAGCACGTTTATTTGAATTGAAAAATGAAGTCACCTGACAGAGAGTCTATTTGGCTTTCTTGTTTGACAAGGGGGACGGGCTCTGCAAATCAGATATCAGATGCCATATTTTTCCATAAATTGAATAAGCTAAATCTACAGTTACAACTTTGACAAAAATGTATTAATATTTAAAGAGTAATATAACTTTTATTTAAAAAACATTTTATTGCAGCCGGACGTGGTGACTCAACCCTGTAATCCCAGCACTTTGGGAGGCCGAGGCGGGCAGATCACCTGAGTTCAGGAGTTCAAGACCAGCCTGGCCAACATGGTGAAATCCCGTCTCTACCAAAAATACGAAAGTTAGCCGGGTGTGGTGGCGGGTGCCTGTAGTCCCAGCTACTCCAAAGGCTGAGGAAGGAGAATCGCTTGAACCCGGGAGGTGGAGGTTGCAATGAGCAGAGATTGCGCCACTGCACTCCAGCCTGGAGTGAGACTCTGTCTCAAAAAAAAAAAAAAAAAAAATTTGACCAGGTGCAGTGGCTTACACCTGTAATCCCAGCACTTTGGGAGGCCGAGGCAGGTGGATCACGAGGTTAGGGGTTCAAGACCAGCCTAGCCAAGATGATGAAACCTCGTCTCTACTAAAAATACAGAAATTAGCCAGGTGCGTGGTGGCAGGCGCCTGTAATCCCAGCTACTCGAGAGGCTGAGGCAAGAGAATCGCTTGAACCGGGGTCGGGGCGGAAGTTGCAGTGAGCCGAGATCGTACCACTGCACTCCAGCCTGGGCAACAGAGTGAGACTCTGTGTCAAAAAATACATATATTTATTGGCAAAGATATAAGTGAATTAACTCCGACAGAGTGAGACTCCTCAACAAAAATTTATTGGCAAAGATGTAAATGATACAACAGTATTTTTATGTTCCTCACACCTTACTGAACATATTAGGTTAAACTTGATCCTTTTAAATTAATATTAGATATCAGCCTCAGAAAATTCTTTTTGTTTTTGTTGAGGTAAATGTACATACAGTGAAATGCACAGTTTAATGAATTTTAACAAATGCATACACCTGTGTAACCATCACTCAAATTGAGATATAGAACATACTCATGGGGAGTTCCCAGCCTATAGGCAAACACTGTTCTGATTTCCAACAGCATAGATTAGTTTTTGTCTGTTCTTGAATTCATATCAACTGAGCATACAGTGTGTGCTTTTTTGTGTCTAGCTTCTTTCACTTAACACAATGTTTTTGGGATGCATCCATGTGGTGTGTTTGTTGTTTTCTTTGTTTTGTTTTGTTTGAGATGGAGTCTCACTCTGTAGCCCAGGCTGGAGTGCAGTGGCATGATCTCAGCTCACTGCAACCTCTGCCTCTTGGGTTCAAGTGATTCTCCTGCCTCAGTCTCCCCAGTAGCTGGGATTACAGGCACCTGCCACTGCACCTGGCTATTTTTGGTAGTTTTAGTAGAGACAGAGTTTCACCATGTTGGCCAGGCTGGTCTTGAACTCCTGACCTTGTGATCCACTCGCCTCGGCCTCCCAAAGTGCTGGGATTACAGGCATGAGCACCGCACCTGGCCTGTAATTTTTTTTTAATTGCTGAATAGTATTCTATTGGGTACATAGACTACAGTTCGTTTACCATTCTCCTATTGATAGATATCTGATTGTTTCCAGTTCGGGGCTTAATGAATAAAGTGGCTATAAACATTTGCATACAAGTCTTTTTGGGTAGGTATGTTTTTATTTCTTTTCTCTCTTTTTTTTTTTTTTTTTTTTTTTTTTCCTGAGACAGGGTCTCACCCTGTCACCCAGGCTGGAATGCAGTGGCACGATCCGAGCTCACTGCAGCCAGGCATCCTCTTGTCTCAGCCCCCTAAAATGTTGGGATTACAGGCATGACCCACTACAACTGGCCAACTGTTTGCTTTTATGAAGGTCTGTTCAAATCTTTTGGCTATTTTTTTAAATTATTTAATTTATTGAGACAGGGTCTCATTCTGTCACCCAGGCTGGCGTGCAGTGGTTCAATCATGGCTCACTGCCAGCTCCACTTCCTGGGCTCAGGTGATTCTCCCACCTCAGCCTCCCCAGTAACTGGGACTGCAGGCATGCACCACCACATCCGGCTCATTTTTGTATTTTTTGTAGAGATGCAGTTTTGCCATGTCACCCAGGCTATTACTCATTTTTTAAAAATTATTTTATGTATTTATTTATTTATTTTACAGCAAGTCTCACTGTGTTGTCCAGGCTGGTCTTGAACTGCTGAGCTCAAACAATCCTCTTACTTCAGCCTCCCAAGTAGCTGGGATTATAGGCGTGAGCCACTCCACGTGGCCTTTTGCTGGTTTTTAAAAATCAAGTTTTTTACTTTATTATTGATTTGTAGTCATTCTTTATATATTCTGGATATAAGTCCTTTGTCAGCTGTATGTATTGCAAATATTCTCTCTCAGTCCGTGGCTTGTCTTTTTATTTTCTTAACAGTATCTTTTGATGAGCAATAGTTCTTAATTTGAATGAAGTTCTAATTAATACTTTTTAAAATACTTAGTGCTTTTTGCATCTTCTCTAAGACATCTTTGCCTGCCCCAAGGTTGCATGATATTTACCATATTTTCCTCTAAAAGCTATATAGCATTAATTTTTAAGGTTGTTTGTTTGTTCATTTGTTTTTGAGACAAGGTGCCACTCTGTCACCTAGGTTGGAGCGCAGTGGTGCATTCTCAGCTCACTGCAGCTTCGACCCCTCAAGCTCAAGCGATCCTCCTACCTCAGCCTCCCGAGCTCGAGCGATCCTCCCTCAGCCTCCCGAGCTCGAGCGATCCTCCTACCTCAGCCTCCCGAGCTCGAGCGATCCTCCTACCTCAGCCTCCCGAGCTCAGGCGATCCTCCTACCTCAGCCTCCCAAGTAACTGGGACTTTCTTTTCCCTTTTTTTTTTTCCTTCTTGAGACAGGGTCTCACTCTGTCACCAAGCCGGAGTGCAGTAGCATAATCAGAGCTCACTGCAGCCATGAACTACTAGGATCTAGGTGTATGCCACCAAGCCCGTCTAATTTTTATATTTTCTATAGAGATGAGGTTTTGCCACGTTGCCAGGCTGGTCTTGAACTTCTGGGCTCAAGCAATCCTCCTGCCTGGGCCTCCCAAAGTGCTGGGATTACAGGCATAAGCTACTACGCCCCGCCATATTAGTTTTATATTTAGGTCTATGATTTATTTTGAATTAGTGTGAAGGATGTGAGGTAGATGTTGAAGTTCATTATTTTCCATACGGAAATCCAATTATTCCAGCACCATTTGTTGAAAAAAATCTTTCTCCATTGTCTTGCCTTGGTACCTTGGTCAAAAACCTATTGGCCATTTATGTGTGGATTTATTTCTAGACTTGCTATTCTGTTCCACTGTTCTCATCTGTTCTTATGTCTATGCCACATTGTCTTGATTACTGCAGCCTTATAATGACTCCTGAAACCAAGCGTAGTCAGTCTTGAAAGTGGCTATTGCAAATCATCCAATTTTGTTCTTTTTCTCCAAGATACTTATTTTTGGCTCTTCTAACTCACTTGCAGTTACATTTACATTTTGGCACCAATTTGTCAACTTCCACGTTTTAAAAGGCCCCTTGGGGATTTTGACTCAGCTTCTGCTGTGTAACAACACGTGTTCCCCTCACTCCACCTCTGTGCATTAGCTGGCGCAGCTGCGTGTGGCTGGGAGGCTCTGCCTCCAGATGGACCTGGCTTCACATGCCCTCAGCGACCAGGCTGAGGAAGATGCAGGGAGGAAGGTTTCTCTAGGCCACCTGGCTGAGACCAACCTGGCAACCAGACGGGGCAACTGCATGTAAGCCTCTGAGGGCAGGACTGCTGACATCCTGTCGACCGTTGACAGTCACACGGTTGAGCTCAGCGCCACTGGGGTAAGAAATCAACTGTAAAGGGCAAGGGAGCGATGACTTTTGGATGGTAATCTCATCTATCACACCTTTCTGTAGACACCCAGACTCAATTAGGGTCACAAAAGATCCTTTTTTTTTTTTTTTTTTTGAGATGGAGTCTCGCTCTGTCGCCCAGGCTGGAGTGCAGTGGCGCGATCTTGGCTCACTGCAAGCTCCGCCTCCTGGGTTCACACCATTCTCCTGCCTCAGCCTCCCAAGTAGCTGGGACTACAGGCACCTGCCACCACACCCGGCTAATTTTTTGTATTTTCAGTACAGACGGGGTTTTACTGTGTTAGCCAGGCTTGTCTCGAACTCCTGACCTCAACTGATCCGCCCGCCTCAGCCTCCCAAAGTGCTGGGATTACAGGCGTGAGCCACCGCGCCCGGCCACAAAAGAACCTTTTGAAAGCCAGGTGACTTCAGTTGTAGCTTCCATCACCCTGAGGCAGGATGGCTGAGTCGCCAGCTGTGGGTTCTCACCCAGGACTGTCGGTAGGAGAGCAGCATGCGAGTTCTGGAGGATATCCTGGGAGGGGTCAGAGCACTGAGTCACTGTAACAGAATTTCCTTCCATTCTCACCCACGCTTCCTGGGACCGCAGCTGTAAGCACTGACATTCACAAACATGGGGAACGGGAAAAGAATTGTTGAAGAGCCCTGACTCCAGCAATGGGTCATCCGGTTCTTCCTGAGTCTGGGAATTAGAAAAAGAAAAGTCCACTATTTTCCTTAAGAGATTATTTCCAACAAAAATGTATGACTAATGAGTGACACTTTCATGACTAATAATTATTATTCAAACTTTGTAATATATTTGTGTTTGATTAGTTGTGTTCTGACAGTTGTAATGATAAGTAAGCCCAGAAGAATGTTTTCTAACACTTGGTCTCACAGGAAATAAAAATTTCAGATTTCAATTTATATATACTTTTTGTTGTAGACAAGTATATAGCATAATCAATAAGATTTTCAAACATAAAAATATCTCCTTAGGATAAAAATATGTGGAAGAATTAAAATGGAAAATGGGTCCTGTGAGGAAAAGAGTGATGTGAAATATTAAAGAAGAGGTGGCTCAGGTACAGTCAGCCCTCCATGCCCTCAGAGTCAACCAACTGTGGATGGAAAATGTAGTCAGGCCTATGATGGTTATCTCTGTACTGAAGGTGTACAGACATTTTTCTTGTCATTATTCTCTAAACAATACAGTATGATTATTTACTACATGGCATTTTACATTGTGTTAGGTATTAGAAGTAATCTAGGCCAGGTGCGGTGGCTCACGCCTGTAATCCCAGCAATTTGGGAGGCTGAGGTGGGCGGATCATGAGGTCAAGAGATTGAGACCATCCTGGCCAACGTGGTGAAACTCCATCTGTACTAAAAATACAAAGATTAGCCGGGCACGGTGGCGCGCGCCTGTAGTCCCAGCTACTCGGGAGGCTGAGGCAGGAGAATCGATTGAACCTGGGAGGCAGAGGTTGCAGTGAGCCGAGATCGCACCACTGCACTCCAGCCTGGCAATACAGCAGGATTCCATCTCAAAAAAAAAAAAAAAAAAAAGTAATCTAGAGATGATTTAAAGCATATGGGAGGATGTGCGTAGGCTCTATGCAAATACCGCACCATTTTACATCAGGGACTTGAGCTGTGCATTTTAGTATCCACTGGGGGTCCTGGAACCAATCCCCCACAAATATAGAGGGACAACTACACTGTTTTGAATGGATTATATAAGATATCAAATCGATATGGTATTTTTCTGTTCCATCTGGTTACATTTTTTTAAGTGAGATGACAGTTTTATTTTTAAGTGTCAATATTTACAATGTTCCAGAAGTTATGTTCTTTGTAACTATTTAAACTTACATAATATTTTAGGTGTCAACTTAATGTGTAAGGGGGGTAAAAAAACATTTAAAATGACATTTGGGGGTATGTAAACAAAACTGTTTGAAGACTGCCCATGCCGAGTGCATTCATTGTATGGTGGAGTCAGAAGAAACCCAGAGATCAGCTACAGGCTCCCTGGTGTCATCGTGCCACTGTACCTGTTGGGACCAAGCTGCTGGGTTTCCAGCTTGGCTGTGGGATCCCTCTGCCTCAGTTTCTCATCATAGGATGAGGGTATGTGCTCTGAGGCTTGAATGAGTAAATACTCATGCAGTGCCTAGAACAGGTACTTGGGCCAAGGAAGCGCACTGTGCCATTGTCTGCCTTTTGATGGAAATGCATCTCTTAGGAGGCAGTGCAGGATCCCATGGGCTCTTAGGTAATCTTCCCATGGACCCATGCCGAGTTCTGCTTCTTCAGGAAACACAGAACAAGACTCTTCCCTTCTCTATATGTGAGCTCAATGAGAGTATATTAGTCCACTGTGGGCTGCTGTAACAAAATACCATAGACTGGGCAGCTTACGACCAACAGAAATGTATTTCTCGTAGTTCTGGAGTCTGCAAAGTCCAAGATCAAGGCACCAGCAGATTCAGTGTCTGCTGAGGGCCTCCTTCCTGGTCCACAGATGACAGCTTCTCCCTGTATCCTCATATGGTAGAAGGGGCAAGGCAGTTCTCTGAGACCTCTTTTTTTATTTTTATTCTTTTTAGAAATGGAGTCTTGTACTGTCACCCAGGCTGGAGTGCAGTGGTGTGATATAGCTTATTATAACCTTGAACTCCTGGGCTCAAGAGATCCTCCTACCTCAGCATCCCAAGTAGTTGGAACCACAGGTGCGCCCACTGCAATGGGCTTTTTTTTTTTTTCCCCCAAGACAGAGTCTCACTCTGTCACCCAGGCTGGAGTGCAATGGGGGCAATCTTGGCTCACTGCAACCTCTGCCTCCTGGGTTCAAGCGATTCTCCTGCCTCAGCCTCCCAAGTAGCTGGGATTACAAGCCTGCACCACCACACTGGGCTAATTTTTGTATTTTTGGTAGAGACAGGGTTTCACCACGTTGGCCAGGCTGGTCTCAAACTCCTGACCTCAGGTGATCCACCTGCCTCGGCCTCCCAAAGTGTTGGGATTACAGGCATGAGTCACCGGCTAATTTTTTTTTCAAGACAAAGAGACTTGGCCATGCATGGTGGCTCATGCCTGTAATCTCAGCACTTGGGAGGCCGAGGCAGGTGGATCACTGGAAGCCAGGAGTTTGAGACCAACCTAGGCAACATGGCAAAAACCCATCTCTACTAAAAATACAAAAATTAGCCAGGTGTGGTGGTGCACTCAGCTACTCAGGAGGCTGAGACATGAGACTTGCTTGAACCCAGGAGGCAGAGGCTGCAGTGAGCTGCTGAGATCACACCACTGCACTCCAGTCTGGGTAACAGGGAGATTATGTCTAAAAAAAAAAAAAAAAAAAAAAAAAGAGGGAGTCTCGCATTGTTGCCCATGCTGGTTTCAAACTCCTATTCTCAAGCAATTCTCCTGCCTTGGCCTCTTGAGTAGCTGGGATTACAGGTCCCAGCCACTGCACCAGCCAAACAAGGCCTCTTTTATTTTATGTGTTTATATTTCTTTTTTGAGAAAGGGTCTTGCTCTGTCACCCATGCTGGGGTGCAATGGCATGATTTCAGCTCACTGCAACTTCCATCTCCTAGGCTCAAGCGATTCTCCCACCTCAGCCTCCCAAGTAGCTGGGAGTATAGTTGTGTGCCACCATGCCTGGCTAATTTTTGTATTTTTTGTAGAGATGGAGTCTTGCCATGTTGGCCAGGCTGGCCTCAAACTCCTGAGCTCAAGTGATCCACTAACAGGGCTTCTTTTATAAGGGTGTTAATCCCAATTGAGAGGGTTCCATCCTCATGAAATAAGCACCTCCTAAGGGCCTCACCTAATACCATCACCTTTCATGTTAAGATTTCAACATATGCATTTTGTGGGGGGAAACACACACTTAGATGATGGCAAAAAGTTTGAAACAGTGACTTCTCCCACCCACTGCCTGAAATTGTCCTGTTATGTGATTAGACTGTATCCCCATGCTTCTCAATTCTGATGGCCCTCTTCCATGTGCAATGCCGCAGGGAAATGCAGGCTCTTGAAACAGAGGAACTTAGGAGAGTGTTGGGATGTTATGTACAGAGTATCCACTAAGGAACCAGGCCCTCATCAGGAACGGAACATATGTGCTCTCATTGTTGGTCACAATCAGCCATGTTCCCAATAAGGAGGCCACACCCATCTCAGTGGGCTCACAGGGTATCCAGGACTGGGTTCCAGAGCTGCACACTCCACCCGCTGCCTCTTCAGAGAAGCGGGGCATCTACCTTCCTTAGGCTAGTGTTGGCGGAACACAAACACAAAGCACGATGTCAGTGCCGTGCCGCTCCCTGTCTCCCCAGCGTCCCAATCCGTGAGTATGCTGTCTCCCTCCATTGTGAAATTCTCAGTCATGTTTCACAGATTTCTGTGCAGAGGTTTTGTACATCTTTATTTTCATTTGTTCTTCTGTTTTCAACTTTTCTTTTTTCCTTTCTTTTTTTTTCCTTTTTCTTTTTTTTAGTCTTTTTGAGACGGTCTCTGTTGACCAGGCTGACGTACAGTGGCGTGATCACAGTTCACTGCTGCCTTGACTGCCCAGGCTCAAGCCATCCTCTTGCCTCAGCCTCCCAATTAGCTGAGACTATAGGTATGTGCCACTGTGCCCAGCCTCATTCTATTTAAATTTTACTTTTAGGCCAGGCCTGATGGCTCATGCCTGTAAGCCCGGCACTTTGGAAGGCCAAGGTGGGTGGATCATCTGAGGCCAGCCTGGCCATCATGGCAAAACCCCGTCTCTACTAAAAATACAAAAATTAGCCAGGCGTGGTTGTGCACGCCTGCAATCCCAGCTACTCGGGGGGCTGAGGCACGAGAATTGCTCAAACCCGGGAGGCGGAGGTTGCAGTGAGCCAAGATCATGCCACTGCACTCCAGCCCAGGTGACAGAGTGAGAATCTGTCTCAAAAATAAATAAATTTTTATTTTTAATTGTCATTAGTATATAGAATTATGGTTAATTTTAAAATATTGGTCTTACAGCCAAAATCTTTGCTAAACAATGTATCAGTATATTATTTCAAAGAAACATGATACTAGGTAAGAATGATAGTATAAAGGAGTCATTGTGGAAAGCTAAAAATTGACACTTGTTTACATCATTATATACTTGGCTTCTTTGACAATTTTTACTTAATGTTTCTCCTCCTATGAAAGATAGGTTGCTGTTTTGTGTGTGTGTGTGTGTGTGTGTGTGTGTGTGTGTGTGTGTTTTGAGACAGCGTCTTGCTCTATCACCCAGACTAGAGCGCAGTGGTACAATCACAGCTCACTGCATCCTCAGCCTCCCTGAGGGCTTAGGTGATCTCCTACCTTAGCCTCCTGAGTAGCTGGGACTACAAGCACACAATCATGTCCCACTAATTTTTGTATTTTTTGTAGAGATAGGGTCCCACTCTGTTGCCCACACTGATCTCAAACTGTGCTCAAGACACCTGCCCACCTCAGCCTCCCAAAGTGCTGGGATTACAGGTGTAAGCCACCATCTTTAGTGAAAGATAGCTTTTATTTATCTCTTTTAACTCCAGAAAATGCTACAAGCTGGATACACCACATCCACACAAATCTCCCAAGGACTTTGTAGAAGATGCATTGGGATGAATTTGTAACTCTTGACCTTAAACAATTTGTGGCAGCATCTCTCATGTGCTCTGGGTGGTCTTCACATCATGCTTAGGAACACCAGCTGGGCCAGGCGTGGTGGCTCACGCCTGTAATCCTAGCACTTTGGGAGGCCAAGGCGGGCGGATCACAAGGTCAGGAGTTCGAGACCAGCCTGGCCAATATGGTGAAACCCCGTCTCTACTACAAATACAAAAAATTAGCTGGGCATGGTGGCGCATGCCAGTACTCCTAGCTACTCAGGAGGCTGAGGTAGGAGAATCGCTTGAACCCGGGAGGTGGAGGTTGCAGTGAGCTGGGATTGCACCACTGGCACTCTAGCCTGTGCAACAGAGCGAGACTCCATCTCAAAAAAAAAAGAAACACCAGCTGTCCTCAGGCTGGGGCAAAGGAAGGCAAGGGCACCCACACCTCATAGGTGAGACACCATCCTTTGAAGAGGAACTAGATTCAGAGTTAAATTTAGGGGGCTGTAAGTAAGTGTGCCAGACTAAAAAGCAGAGATCAATGCCTGCCTGAAAAAAATACAGTTTGAAAAGAAAAAAAATAATAAAACAAACAAAAAGAATGCAGTTTGGCTGTGCATGGTGGCTCACGCCTGTAATCCCAGCACTTCGGGAGGCCAAGGCAGACAGATCACTTGAGGTCAGGAGCTCAAGACAAGCCTGGCCAACATGATGAAACCCCATCTCTACTAAAAATACAAAAAATTAGCCGGGTGTGGTGGCATGCGCCTGTAATCCCAGCTGCTGGGGAGGCTGAGGCAGGAGAATCACTCGAACCCAGGAGGCGAAGGCTGCAATGAGCCGAGATGGCACCACTGCTCTCCAGCCTAGGAGACAGAGCAAGGCACTGTCTTAAAATTAAAAATTAAAAAAAAATGGCAACTTGAGAGGAAACAGAGGGCCAAAATGAAGTACCTCTTGTCTAGAGATGGTTACCTGAAGAAGCAGAAGGTGTGGCCTGTATTCAGACACGCTCACCAGTCAAGGGAACACCACATCCAGGCCCCTCCACCCTATCCTGCAAAGGGGGCCCAGCTGGCAGACCCAGTGGAGGATGGCACTGGCAGATTTTAAAGAGGTTATCATGGCCTGTTTTTGTTTTGTTTCTGAAACAGGGTCTCACTCTGTCACCCAGGCTGGAATGCAGTGGCACAGTTATAGCTCACTGCAGCCTCGACCTCCTGGGCTCAAGCAATCCTCCCACCTCAGTCTCCTGAGTAGCTGGGACTACAGATGTGTGCCACCATGTTCAGCTAATTTTTTTTTATTTTGTAGCGATGGGGTCCCCAGGCTGGTCTGGAACTCGTGGCCTCAAGCAATCCTCTCACCTTGACCTCCCAAAGCACTGAGACTTTGGGCACAAACCACTGCATATGGCCTGCTTAGTTTTTTTTTTTTTTCAGATGGAGTTTCGCTCTGTCCTCCAGGTTGGAGTGCAGTGGCACAATCTCGGCTCACTGCGACCTCCGCCTCCCAGGTTCAAGTGATTCTCCTGCCTCAGCCTCCCGAGTAGCTGGGACTACAGGCGCGTGCCACCACAACCAGCTAATTTTTTGTATTTTTAGTAGAGACAGGGTTTCACCGTGTTAGCCAGGATGGTCTCTATCTCCTGACCTCGTGATCCACCTGCCTTGGCCTCCCAAAGTGCTAGGATTACAGGCGTGAGCCACCTGCTTAGTTTTTAATTAAAAAACAAAACAAAACAAAAAACCAGTCTGGGCATAGTGTCTCACACTTGTAGTCCCAGCACTTTGGGGGCTGAGGCTGGTGGATCACTTGAGCCCAGGAATTTGAAACCAGCCTGGACAATATGGTGAAACATCATCTCTACAAAGATTAGCTGAGCCTGGTGGGATACTCTTGTAGTCCTAGTAACTTGGGAGGCTGAGGTAGGAGGATTATTTAAGTCCAGGAGGCTGCAGTGAGCTATGATTGCACCACTGCACTCCAGCATGGGCAATAGAGTGAGACCCTGTCTAGAAAAATACAAAAACAAAAAAAATAAGGTCAGGTGTAGTGGCTCATGCCTGTAATCCCAGCACTTTGAGGAGGCCAAGGTGGGAGGATCACTTGGGCCAAGCAGTTCAAGACCAACCTGAGCAACACAGTGAGACCTGTCTCTACAAAAGTTTTTAAAAATTAGCCAGGCATGGTGGCATGCACCTGTGGTCCCAGCTGCTCAGGAGGCTGAGGTGGGAGGATCACTTGAGCCTGGGAAGTCAAGGCTGCAATGAGCTGTGTTTTCGCCACTACACTTTCACTTTGGTGATCCTGTCTCAAAGTATATATTACTCAAAGAATCATAGACTATTAGAGCTGGAAGGGATCATAGAAGACCTCTACCTCTGTGTTTCCTAAATTATGCTCCACGGAACCTTGAGGTACCTCGTGAAAAAAGGGTTCTGTGGCTAAATGGGTTTGGGACAGGTTGCATACTGTCTCATGCCCTCCTTCCTCTTTGTAGAAGCATGATTCTTCTCACCTTGCTACAGGCTCTGAGAAGGCCTGCAGACAATAAACTTATTTATCATTGTTTGATCCAGTGCTTCCCAATTTACTTGACTTCCCAAAGCTGCTTTAATCATGTGCAGAACATGTTTTAGGAACAAATGATTTATTCCATTGCCTGCATTTTAGTCTTGAAGAAACAAAGTGCCCCCAAAGCCGAGGGCTTTGTCAGCCCTGTGGCCTCAGGAGCTTTCTCTGTACTTCCCCTCACCCCTTCTTTCTCTCTCATGGGGAGCTGGTGCTTTAGACTGAGTGCACCCAGTGTGCAGAGCTGCAGGCCAGGCTGCTGCAAATGTCCCTGGCTGTGATTAGAGCCCACGGTCTTATCAAAGCATCAGGATCCTAAAACACAGAGGAAGGAATTGTATCAGGGAGAAGCACTGGGTCCAGAAGACCCAGAGTCGGCTGAGTCACCATCCGGGTGTGGGACGTGGGTCTGGGGGACAGAGCAGCAAGGGCTGGAGACATGTCACAGCAAGCACCGAGACGCACAGTCAGATGAGTTAAGCAGGTTCACTAATGGCAGGAGAGGTAACAGGCAGAGGGGACTGCAGTTCTCAGCTCCGTTGGGTGGTGGATCTGTTAGCCATGCTGAGTGAGGGACACCAGAAGAAAAGCAGGTTGGGAGGAGGGTAGGGATGGGGCTGCAGGAAGCGGGCTGAATTCCTGAACACAGGTGTGGAGGGTAGAGACCTGCAGAGAATGGGCTTATCTAGGAAAAGAGCAGAGGGAACCCCGTGCCCCAGAGGGCGAACCCAGTGACTGCATGGGCCCTGGGGATAGAGATGGGGCAGGCAGCAATGGCACCCCTCCGCCAGCAGAGGGCCACGGTGTCCGCCATCCAAAGAGAAGTGACACAATGAAGCCCTCAGAGACATTATCTTGCCTTCTGGAACGAAATCCTTGCAACAAAGTTCCCCAACACAGCGCTCAAAGGAGCTGAAGGCGGGCTGAGGGCAGCCAGTGATGACAGAGCCTTCTGGGCCTTTGCTGAGGCGTGCAGTCGCTGACAGCAGGGCAGTTGGGCCTCAGGGATTTCGGGCCAAAACGAGTTTTGGGGATATGTGAAGGAGACAGGGGCAGAGAGAGAGGGTGGGCATCTGCGAACTGGGAAGATTGATGAGGTTGCATGGTTCATAAATAGGAAAGTGGTAACATTCATGATTATTTAAAAATTTCCGTGAAATACTACAGTAAAGGTACAGAAAAGCATATAAAGTAAAAGTGCAGTTTAAGGGATGGCTGCCAAAGGGCACCATTGCAGGAAGGAACAGGCCTGGCACCCCCAAATCCCCCAGGGGCCCTGCTGTGGTCACAGCCCTCTCACCCCCAGCTGTATCCACCATTCTGACACTTAGAGTAAGCACCTTCTTGCCCTTCTGTCAATTATTTACTACTTAATGATGCTTCCCTAAAGAATGCAGTTTAATTTTGCCTGTTTTGGAATTTTTGTGAATGGCTAGATTCCATCCTGTGAATATGAGCACACTGTTTCTCCATCCTGCTCTCCGTGGGTATTCAGTGCCATGCAGTCCAAGCGGTGATGAAGAATGCCATGCACACTCCTACCCAGGTTTCCTGGTGTTCATTACTACACATTTCAGGAGCACGTTTTGTATCGGCAACTTGGTGAAGACTGATGTCCTTTTGAGTTTTCGGAGGAAGTGCTGGTTCTCCTGCCCTTCTTCAGGGCTGTCCTCCGAGACTGCAGAGAACTAGTGACCACCCTGCTGGCTGCGGAGCTCCTGTCAGTCAGAACTCCTGTTTATTCTCCGCCCGGAACAGGGCCTTGCACCCATATGCAGACAGCCGATGCCACGGGGTGAAGGAATGCTCCGGGAAATCTGGGAAAAGGCGACCAGGCACTTTAGATTGTGGGTCAACCTCTGCCTTCTAATCCTCCATCACTTAGGGGAGAAAGGAGGTAGCCACAGGCTGGCTTTTCCAGGAAAGCCTCCGAAAACCAGACGGACCCAGAGGGACCGGACAGAAACGCTCGGAGGTGCACGACGGTCCGAGCAGGCCCCTGACTGCTGGAATGGGCGTGTCCGCTGATCTGATCCCTGATACCAGCTACAGTTTACTAAAAACTTCTTAGATTTTCTCAGTGCTTTAAACGGATTATCTGGGTTCTGGGGCCGCGCCGGGAGGTGGCGGTGTGGTCCTGCGCGAGCGGCCGGCCGCGTTCAAGTTCAAGCTCCGGGCTGGGAGGGAGCTTCCCGACCTCCGTGTTTCTGTAGTAACTTAAAGAGCCAGGCTGGGGGCCGAGGGGCTGAGGGTGGGAGGGTTCTGCGCCCCCCACCGGGGGGCGGCGGGGAAAGCGGGGGCGCGTGGCCTCCCCTCCGGCTCCGGCGGCACAGCCGGGGGGCCCGGCTCCTCCCCGTCGGGAAGACGCGGCTTCTCTGGGTGGCAGTGAAGGGTCCCCGGGGCCGCGCCCGCCCCCGCGCCACACGGGCCGCGCCGCCCTCGGCCCTCGTCCCCGCTCCCGCCCGCGGTTCCCACCGCCCGGCGAGGTCTCCGGGCCCCTCCCCGGGTCCCCGCCCCAGGCCCCGCCAGACCCGGCGCCGCCGCCGCCGCCGCCGCGGACCCCGCCCGCGCGCCCAGCCCCGCTCCCCCCGCGAGCGCGCTCCCGCCGCCGGCCTCGCCTCCCCTCCCCCTCCCTCCTCCTTCCTCCCCCGCCCCTCCCGCTCCCGCTCCCGCCGCCGCCTCCGCCCGCCGCCCCGGCCGCGTCGGGTAAACCTGTTTGGCGAGGCGGCCGCGCCGGGGCGGATCGTGCGGCCGGCGGCTCCCTCGCGGCTCGCGGCGTCGGGGCCCGTGGCGCGCGCGCGGCCGCCCCTCGGCCCCGGAGCCCCTCGGCGGCGCCACCATGTACTCGGGAGCCGGCCCCGGTGAGTCCTGGCGCTCGGGGCGCCCGCCCGGCCGTTCGCGCGCTCCTGCCCGTGGTTGGCGGGCCCGGCGCGGGCGGCAGGGGCCGGGGATCGGGGGGCCGCGGGGTCGGGGCGGCGGGGGCCGGGGGCGGGCGAGCCGGGGCCGCGCTTGGGGGCTCGAGGAGCGGCGGCGGCGGGGCCGAGCCGGCCGTTTTCTCGGCCCCGCGTTGGACGCGCAGCCCCGGCCTCCTCGGCCCCCGCGAGTCGTCGGGGCGCCCCGCGCGGCCTGGGCCCCTCCCGCGCCTCGGGCCCGCGTCCCAGCGTCCTCGCATCCCCCGCCCGGGGCCCGCGGGCTGGGGCCGGGGCCGAGGCGGCCGCCGCGTGTAGGCCCGAGGCCCGGAGCGCCCCGCTTGGCCCGGCCTCGCTGCCCGGGCGGGGATGGGGGCGCCGCAGCCCGGCCCGGCCTGACCCTGAGCGCCTGAGCGGGTGGAGGCCGGGTCGGGGCGCCCGGCTCGGGGCGCGCACGGGCGGGAGGGGAGGGGGCTGCGCCGGTCCCGACCCCAGCCGCGGTGAGTCTGTGGCGCGCTCCGTTGTGGCCCTTCTTGTTGCCGGCACTTCTTCGGCCCCTTTTCCCAAGGAAAGTCTGGAAATGCTGAATTTTGGCCAATTCCTGTAGTTAGGGCTGTCGCCTGGAAAGGGGAGGACGCGGCTCCCCGGAACCCTCAAACTGCGTGCGCGGCTCGTTCTCATTCCAGACACGCCGGCCTCCCCATTCAAGTGCTAATTCCTTTTACAATTTCCTAGGAGAGGTGAGGCGAGGTGGATTCCTGTAGCACCCCTTGTTGCTAGTCGGCCTTTCTCTGGAAAAGTTCTAAAAAACTTAAAGCGGTAACGCGTTGTTTTTCTTTTTAAATGCAGAGTAGAAGGCGGTCTCCTTGGTGGGCCAAAAAAACGGTCAGGTGTTCTCCTGCTTTTGGCGTGCTCCCACCGGGCACGTGGCTCCTGGCTCTCTCGGCCGGCCTGGCCGCTGGGACGGGGCACCGCCTGCTCCCCTTTGTCCGCTGGGCCCCAGCCGGGCCGCAGGCGGCGCAGGCCCCGCCGGGCTCTGGGCTTATGTTTACCCGGCCGGGCGAGGAGGCTCGCATTCCCGATGCTGCCCTCGTTGCTGCAGACCGGCCCCAAATTGTGGGGTCCGGAAGGCCCCCTGGCCCACCTTGGTCCGTTGATGGTGGCCCCCACTGCTGGAGCTGTTGGCTCTGTGCCTTGCGAATGTCGCGTCTTTTTTCTGATGTCATTTAGAAAGCTTCAACAAGGCGGAGTCTGACCAACTTTTCAACCCCTGAGGGCCATCAGCAGTTTGAAGAATGATTTTCCCCCTCCACCTGGGAGGGGCCGCAGTCCTGGAGCAGGTGCTGGCCTCTAGAGGCCTTGGGTGGCCAGGCCCCCTCTTGGGAAAGGACCGGGCATCCCCTTGTGAGTTGGGACCTTCCAGCTCCTCTTTGTAGAGGAACCCAGCTTATGGGACTGACAGCACTACATTTTTTCAGGTTATCGGTTTTAAAAGTTGGAGGCCCAGAAAAAGTGAAGAGGCTTTAAGGAAGGTCAAGCTTTCTGTGTTGTGTTTTGCGTGTTACTTAATTCACTCCACTTGCTGAGGTTGGTGGTGTTTGTGAAGACAGACAGCCGAGGCTCACAGAGGTTGAGAACTTCACCAAGGTCACACAGCAGTGAGTGAGTATCAGGACAATCGGTCCGACTTCCGAGCTGGTTCTCTGGGTGCCTTCCTCAGGGCAGTCCCTTTCAAGCCCTATAACCCAGACCCACAGTAAGAAGTCTCTGTTAGGGCTGGACTGGACCAGCACCTGCCCGCATACTTGTCATTGACAGCGGGGCTTCAGGAAGCCACCCCAGCTCACTGCTGTACTGTGTGCACTGCCCCGGGATGCTGTCTTGTCGATTTCATTTTTCAGCGTACCTTGGCCCTCATGATCCACAGGCTCGTTTCTGTCACTCGCTGCTTTTTGGAGATTGTTGCCTTGGTGTGGGCCTGGTAGGGAGTGGACCCTCTGGAACAGGACAGTGGTTGAAAGAATAAATGTGTCTGCAGGATAATTCATAGCTAATGGCAGGATGGGAATGAACCCAAGTTTCAGGTTGTACAAACGTGCTGTAATTATAAGTCTGTGGTGCAGTTCCATTTTATGCTACACATTAAGGCTTTTAATTTTGTGTAAAAGGAATTTTTGGAATAGTCTTCATTGAGACTCTTTTTAATCTTATACTTTCTAATTTAGAATTATAAGACATTCAATTTGAATTATAGAAAAATTACATTGGGAGGCCAAGGCGGGCGGATCACGAGGTCAAGAGATCGAGACCATCCTGGCCAACATCATGAAACCCCGTCTCTACTAAAAATACAAAAATTAGCTGGGCGTGGTGGTGCACGCCTGTAGTCCCAGCTACTCGGGAGGCTGAGGCAGGAGAATCGCTTGAACCCTTGAGGCAGAGGTTGCAGTGAGCCAAGATTGCGCCACTGCACTCCAGCCTGGGGACAGAGTGAGACTTGGAGACTCCATCTCAAGAAAAAAAAAAAAAAGAAAAGAAAAATTACAAATAGTTTTGCTACTTCCAATTGTAACACCCTTATTAGGCAACTTACTAATTTAAAAAGCAGTTCACAATAGCTCTACATTATACCAATCACAAACAAATGCTGTGACGTATGTGAATGCTATTTAGAATCTGAAGTTAGAAATGTTACTATTTTTTCGTTTTTTGAACTGAGTTAGTTGTTTAAGATGGGTGGATTCTCCAATGACCTTGAACCTTCACTGATGAACAAATTAGTTTTTTGGTTTTTTAACCATTTAAAGGTCTTGATCTGTGTCTAGTGATTGCCTGCCCCCAGGATATTGTCTCTTATGGTTTTGCTACACTTTCAAGCTCCCGTGTGTTACACCCCTCGCAGATTTGCCACAAAGTAACCTCTGTGACATCTAAGACTTGACAGTTGTCTAAATAGGATTGTGACTTTGAGAAGAGCTGAACTTCACTGTGGTTTATAGAGCCATTTAACTCCTCCTGCCCCCTCTCCCCCTTCCCTCAGTGGTCCCCATGAAGGTATGGCCACTTCTCCCAATACTGGTGCCCATCTGCCATGGCAGGATATCACCCTCTACCCGTGGGGCAGTTGACATGGCCGAGGCCATCGCGGCATGGCTGGGTATTTGTGCAGAGTCCCCCTTGGGTCTTTGATAAACCTTGGGGAATAATTTAAGTAAGTGCATAGGAAAAAAAGATGTAAACGCTTCCAAACTCCTAAACCCTGTGCAATTTGAAGAAGCAGAATTATTTTTTAACTTCTAGTTTCCATGTCAAAAGTTTCCACAATGCCAGTTGGGCTTATTCTCTGTGTGTTGTACAGTGAATGCTCTCCTGTAATGGTCCAGTCTCATAAAATGTGGTTTTGTTTCACGAATCGTTACTGTGAATCTTCAAAACATAACATTTGAGTTTTAAAAATAGTTAATATTGTGAAATAATTGAAAAGACATAAAAGTAGAGTGACTCATTTAATACCCCTCCATTTATCCATTAGGAAGCTTTAGCAGTCATCAGGGTTCTCCACATTTGCTTCAAATATGCCCCTTTTCTTTGTGGACGTTTTCCAAAGTGAATTGCAGACCTGTCATTTTACCTCGATATTTAAATATGCGTGTCTAAAGCAATGGAGACGTTTTGAACATACCCCAGTGCCGTTATGACAGTTAACAGTCTGTGATCAATTTCTCTCATATTCTCAGAAGTGTGTTTCCAGTTGGGTGCTTTGGATCCTGAATTTTAACCAAAGTTCACACACACATTTGGGTCTCTGCCTTCCGCCTCTAAAGCTAGCCCACCCTCTCTCTTCTCCCTGCATTTGACTTGTTATATTTACGTCTTCTTTTTTTTCTTTTTTTTTTTTTTGAGACGGAGTCTCGCTCTGTCACCCAGGCTGAAGTGCAGTGGTACCATCTTGGCTCACTGCAACCTCCTCCTCCTCCCGGGTTCAAGCGATTCTCCTGCCTCAGCCTCCTGAGGAGCTGGGACTAAGCCACCATGTCCGGCTAATTTTCGTATTTTTGGTAGAGATGGGGTTTCACCATGTTGGCCAAGCTGGTCTCAAACTCCCAACCTCAGGTGATCTACCTGCCTCGGCCTCCCAAAGTGCTGGGATTATAGGCGTGAGCCACCACGCCCGGCCTACGTCTTTTAAAATCTCTTTTCTTCAGAGCATTCGTGCCTCCCCTCCCCCTCCGTTTTTTCTTTAATGGTTTTAGAAAGAGCCCCATTGCTCAAAATTTTTGTTTTTTGGGCTCCGTTTTGTTGAGGGGGGCTGTTTGGAGACCCAGTTGCTCATGGTTTTAATTCTGACACATTTAAGTGGTGTTTTGTTTTGTTTGTTTCTGAGGGTTGGGGTTGTTCTCTGTTGCCCAAGCTGGAGTGCAGTTACACAGTCATGGCTCACTGCGGCCTCAAACTCCTGGGCACAAGCCGCCCTCCCACCTCAGCCTCCCTAGTAGCTGAGACTGCAGACATGTGCCACCATGCCCAGCGAAGGTGTTTTACTTTTTTAGAGATGGAGTCCTGACATGTTGCCCAGGCTGTTACGCAGAGTGTTGGGGCAGGTCCCTTTGCATCTTGAGTTTTCAGTTGCAGCAGAATCCTTTTTGTGGTCCTCTTTCAGCAGAAGCGACACTGTATGACCTATGGCAAATACGGAAGATAACTGGAGGCTCTTGTGCAGTTTATCTCTTACAGTTATTTCAAATAAGAGGGATTCTTTTCTCCCCAGTGTTGGGTTGGGAATGGCTCCCTCTTTCACATATCTCTGCCCTTATCGTTTGTGGCCAGCTCTGTGCTGCCTGTGGTTGCTCTCTCCTCCTCACTGGGGATCTGCTGGCCCACGCCACACATTGAGAGCCCCAAGCCTGCTGCTGCGGTCAGGGGCCTGCACTTGTTCGCTGTAGCCACTATTCTAATTTTTTCCTCCAAAAGTTTAGGAACTTGAAACCACTCTTTGTTCTTGGTCCTTTACACGTTGTGACCAAATCGCCAGGCCCTCCCAGTTTCTGTCTCCATAGAGCTGCACCCAGGGTGAGGAGACACTTAGCATTTGTGCTGGGAGCTTCCTCCAGGGCAGTGGGCACCTGTAAGCTTTCCCTGGTACGAAAGGCAGACACAAGAACTGTCCGTGCAAAGCAGGGTGGACGGGCGGCCTCTCAGATTCAATGCGTTTTTAAAATCTGGGGCTTGTGTGTAGCTTAAAGATGAACAGGCTGGAACATTTTAAACTTGGTTCACCCCTGATGGCACTGCACTTCCTGAAATCCTCAGAAAATCTGATGGGCGTGAGTGTGGTGTCATTGAGGTTGCCAGTAGTTCTTTCCAAAGGGTGCTGACGCGTGTCCCCGTTGTGAGCTGGGAGAAGCAGGGTGTGGGAGGTGGGCCAGGCCTCCCTGGGTCTGCCAGGAACCGGGCTGTGTGGGTTGGATCAGGAACTGGAAGCCCCACCTCTCTCCTCTCCTCTCCCCTCCGCTCCCCTCCCCTCGCCTCCGCTCCCCTCCCCTCCCCTCCTCTTCCCCCTGCTCCCCTCCCCTCCCCTCTCCTCTTTTCTTTTCTTTTTTTGACAGGGTCTCACTCTCATGGCCCAGGCTGGAGTGCAGTGGCACAGTCATGGCTCACTGCAGCCTCAACCTCCCCGGGCTCCGGAGCTCCACCTCAGCCCTTTTGGGCAGCCTCCCAGGTAGACTGCAGCTGTGGACCACCGTGCCTAGCTAAGTTTGTGGAGAGACGGGGTTTCCCTGTGTTGCCCGGGCTGTTCTGGAGCTCCTGGATTCAAGTGACCCACCTGCCGCAGCCTCCCAAAGTGCTGGGGTTACAAGTGTGAGCCACTGCGCCCGGCCCCCTCCTTTTTCATCTTCTCACTGTCATCGAGATGGACAGACAGGAGTCTGGTCAGAACTGCAGCCCCGTCCGCATCTCCTCGTGTGGTCTCAGTTTTCTCGCCTGTTAAGTGGGGACTTTGGCCTGGATGACTAGCATCCTCTCCAACCTTACTTCCCCCATACAGTGACTTTTCTGCCTTCCCACCTGGCCCCGGGCACGGGCGCCTGCGCTGAAGGGAAGCAGCACATTCCCCACGAATCCTTAGTCTTCATACAGTGACCCAGGACAGAAGAGAAGGTGCTGGAGGCCTGCAGTGACAGCCGGAGCCGAGGTCACACATTGGCTGGCAGAGCCTGGCCCCTACTGTTTCGTGCAGTGTTTCTCTTCCTGTTTGATCTGTCAAAAAAGTCCGTGGCCCCAGAGTCGCGCGTTTATTATTAGTTTTTAGAATTTTTAAAAATTTATTTATTTATTTATTTATTTTGAGACAGAGTCTCTCTCTGTTGCCCAGTCTGGAGGGCAGTGGCGCAATGTCGACCCACTGCAACCTCCGCCTCCCA
Organism: Homo sapiens; assembly: GCF_000001405.40. Lineage (NCBI taxonomy): Eukaryota > Metazoa > Chordata > Mammalia > Primates > Hominidae > Homo > Homo sapiens. The sequence continues at coordinate 140,629,014 of NC_000008.11, read as the reverse complement.
GGTTCAAGTGATTCTTGTGCCTCAGCCTCCTGAGTAGCTGGGACTACTGGCATGTGCCACTATATACCCAAATTTTTTTTTTGTATTTTTAGTAGACATGGGATTTTGCCATGTTGCCCAGACTGGTCTCGAACTCCTGAGCTCAGGTGATCCACGGTGGCTCAGCCTCCCAAAGTGCTGGGATTACAGGTGTGAGCCACCGCGCCCGGCCTATTATTATTATTGTTGTTGTTGCTGCTATTATTATTTTGAGGTGGGGTCTCACTCTGTTGCCCAGGCTAGAGTGCAGTGGCACAGTCATGGCTCACTGCAGCCCTGACTTCACGGGTTCAAACCTCCCACCTCCACCTCCCAAGAAGCTGGGACTATTTTTTGTAGAGATGGAGGTCTCCCTATGTTGCCCAGGCTGGTCTCACTCCTGGCCTCAAGTAATCCTCCTGCCTTGGCCTCCCAAGGTGCTGGGATTACAGGTGTGAGCCACCACACCCAGCACAGAGTTGAGCATTTCTCAGAAGCATCTGTGCTGCTTAACACTGCAGAATATTATGCAGATGCACAGGGAATAAAAAATATCTGCAGGTACACACACGCACACAGGTATGTAACACACACACACGCACACACACACGTGCCTGCAGCTCCACGTGCCTGGCTCCCTGGTGGGGCTGCCGTCCTCCTCATTCCTGGGGCCTCACACACGTGGGTGTTCGTTCCCTGGGGAAGCAAAAGTGGCTCAGGAGGCAGTGCATCTGGCAGCCCCAGTAAGGCAGTGGGTCAGGGCAGGCTGGGCCGAGCTCTGGGGTGGGGCCTGCCCACAGCTGGTGCTCAGTCAGTGGGCGCTGCGGCCGGGGGAGCAGGAATCACAGAATTACCTGAAAGCTTCTTCCGGTCTCTGCCCTGAAGACCTAGGAAGCTGATTTCACAGATGTCCCAGGTGATTGCCCATTAGGCCAGGTTTGGGACCCCCTGGTTTTGGGATAAGGGTGGGGAGAGGAGGTAGAAGCCCTCGAGCAGCTCCAGGGAGCATCCTCCTGGGAGTGGAATTGAGGGAGGGAGGAGCCCATGCCAGAAACCTGGAGGACAGCCCCGAGACAGTGGGGGCAGCAGCCCTGGGGGGTGCATCTGTGGGAGATCGCGTGTTGGGTGTCCCACAGTGGACTTTGTGGTGGTCTCCTTTACTGATGAAGCGTGGAGCTCTGACAAGTGACCGCCATGCTTGTGTGGGGTGCCGCCTGTGGTTCCATGTTGCTGTGAACACAGCTAGTCCACTACCAGACGGAAGGGGACTTCTGAAGGTGATTACTGGGGCTTCAGTAAATGCAATGCAAATCGGCCAATACCTGTTTTTAAGGACCTATATCCCAAAACAAACACAACTGCAGCAAGGCTTAGAAACAGCCAGACTCAGGAGCCCAGGCGGCCCCTAACCCGAATCTCTTACTGTAATTGACATCCATCTTGGGAAAATCCTACTGGGGCAGTAACTCAGGGCAATGTTGTTGTTTTCCACGTCATTTCTGAGTGTTTCAGCTCTGTTTTGTCCTTAGAGAGTTAGTGTACTCTGCTGCCAGAAGGCAGCCACTAGAAACTTTCATCTTGCAGCTGCACATAAAAAGATCAAAAACTGAAGTTCATAGGTCATAACCATTTGAGATGTTTGTCAGGTTTGCCTTATTGAGTAAAATAATAGAACTGTTGTGAGTTTGTCTTTCCAACATCATGTTGACTTGTTGGAGGAGTTTGCATCAGCACTCTTGTTCCGACGGTTGGAGGACTCGAGGGTGCTTTGCCCTGTTTCTTTTTGGCTTTGATAGTGAAAGGATCCTCCCGTGGGACCCACATTCCCAGGCTTCTCTGGTGTCTTGCTCTAAGTGAGCTTATGCAGGGCGGGAAGGTGGCGGGCACTGGATATAAATGGGGAGTTCTTTAGCCCCTGCTTTGGGGTGGGTGTCTGAGTCCCAGTTATGATTGACGGGATGATCAGTGTCCTGTGTGTGTGGCGCCTGGTGTGCTCAGAGACCTGGACACCATTCTGGTCTGAGCACAGCCCCATGCTCGTGTGCAGGCTGAGCAGTGGGAATGAGAAGCCCAGGGAGGCCCTGAGGGATGGCGGCCTCCCTGCCCCTCAGGCTGGCAAGCCGGGGCATCATTTGTTTTATGTTTTTTTGCAGGGACAAAGGAATTAATAGAGTAACACGGGTAAAAAATGCAGAGAAAGCAAAGGAAGATGCCAAGAGTGATGAGAGGGGTGACTTGGAACAAATCTGTGTGTGGAGGTGTCTGAGCTCTTGGGAGTGGCTGGGGGCTCATGTGACGTTGCAGGATGCCCGCCTCAGCATAACAGCACCCTGAGCGCAGGCTCAGGTCAGGCCCACCTCACTGGAATCCTGGCCACGTGATGGGTGTCTCACCTCACCTCTCTGAACCTCAGTCTCCTCTTCGTACAGAGTGAAAACCTCGTCCTCATGGTGGTGGTGCTTTGATCAGAGGAGATGATGCGGGCGACCTGCAGTTGTGTCCCACATGCAGGGCCCTCAGAAGGTCCCTCTGATGGTGACTGTTACTCCCGCCGTGATGGGGGCGTTACTCTGCCTGGCAGTAGGGCGGGCGTTCCTCCTCCCTTTGATCCCCTTTGTTGACCTCTGGGTCTTTACTTTGCAAGCAGGGAGGGATAAGAAAACATTTAAAAAGGCTTATCTCTGATAAATAACACTCATCTGTCTGGTGTCCACAGCGGCCTTGAGAGGCTCGGGCCAGGGACACAGAAGATGGCCTGTGTCGCTCAGAACTCACCTCTATACAGACCCAGGTGCGCCGGACCCCGACAGCTCTTGGGGACCTTCCTTGCCCGCTCGTAGACAGGAGCGACGCCGAAAGGGCGCCAGCTGTGCCCCCCCGGGCCATGAACCCAGCTGAAGCCGGTGGAACTAGAAGGCCACGTGCTGCCCATGGCTTTGCCGTGGTGGCTCGAGTGGCCCTATTGGTGACTGGGGCAGGGGGGCCTTGCTGGGCGCACCTTGGTCCCTGTGCGTGCTGCTGCTTCGTGAAGTATGCAGTTTGCCAGATGCTAAAGCGCGTGCCTCACTGTAAGAACGGTCACATTAGGTGTGGATGGATTCTCAGTGCTGAGACGCTCACTCATCACACCTTAACTTCGCTGTTGGCCCTGGAAGCTTTTTGGGGGGTGGTCCCTGTTCTGTGCAGCTCCCCTGAGGAGTGCAGAGCATTCTCCTGGAATGTTCTGAAACATTTGAGGGTGACCCTGTGGACATAGCCTGGCCATTCCAGGACTGGCAGGTGAACACAGGATCTGGTCGGGGATGCGCATGGTAGAGTCGGCGGGAACTCTGGTTGGACTCCCTCTGGGAAGCTTTGCAAAGGATATGCCATTGGAAGGAGCCAGGCCGGGGGTGAGGCCCGTTCATGGTGTGTGATTGAGGAGAGGGCTTGGGGGCAGCATCAAAACAGGACTCACCAGTGAGCCAGGTGTAAAGCACCCCCTGGATACGAGGGATGAAAGACCATGGTTGAGCAGGGTCAGGGGCTGGGGCTGGGGAGGGGCGAGTTGCCTGGTGGTCAGCACAGGCCCACCAAGAAAGAGTAGGACTGGACAGGGGTCAGTGGCTCACGCCTGAAATCCCAGCACTTCGGGAGGCCAAGGCGGGCGGATCACCTGAGGTCAGGAGTTTGAGGCCAGCCTGGCTAACGTGGTGAAAACCCGTCTCTACTAAAAATACAAAAATTAGCCGGGCATGGTGGCAGGCGCCTGTAATTCCAGCTACCCAGGAGGTGGAGGTTGGAGCGAGCTGAGATCGCGCCACTGCACTCCAGCAAAGGAGGGATGCAGCCAGGGCCCAGGTGCAGGCTGAGGGCAGGGAGATCAATACCAGGGACGTGCAGCAGGGACTGAGCAGAGGAGGGACGCCAGCTGACTTAGTCTTTAAAAGGATCCCTGTGGCCACTGTGTTAGAAACAGACCAAGAGGGTGGGGTGGAAGCAGGGAGGCCTTCCTGGAGGAGGCTGCTGGGATGGTCCCAGTGGAGGGCATGCTCTGGAGCAAGGGGGCCGTTGGAAGGAGCGGGATGGGGGTGTGTGCCATGCACTATCCCCCGCCTCCAGCATGGTCTGTCTGTGGTTGATGCTGCTTCTCTTTGAGCCTCGTCCCGTTTCCCGTTTCTCATTGCAGATCCCAGTGGCATCGTCTTGTTGACAGATGTTTCAGAAGATGTCACCACATGACATGGGTGTGTGTCTGTCTTCCTCTGTGCTCCTTATATGCCCCGCATAGTGTCCGGCATCCGAAGTCCAACCCTTCCTCCCAGCCGGGGAGCACACGGTGCCAGAGTTGCCCGTTGCTCACTGGTGTGGATGTTCGCAGTTGGTGGCCTCGGAATGCGAGGACCAGAGCCTCCTCCTGAGCCCCCAGCCTTGCTGTTAGTTGGGGACGCTGGCTGCTCAGTGCTGCCGTCTCCCGCAGCTGCATCTCCTGGGTGTAGCCCGGCGTGCCCTCTGTTCCGAGTGTCTTTCTTGCAGATTGGTGGCCGGAGCTGGAGGGGTGTTTGGATGCAGGCTCTCCAAGTTTGGGTTTGTTCTGCCACTGTCCATCCCTGTCCAGGGTGAGGTGGTCACTGCCACGCACGCCGGCTCTGTGCCCTGAGGTGCGTGCAGTGTGGACGTTCTGGCTCCACTTCTACAAATGGGGACTCGCCCTGCTTGGCTGTTTGGGGTGTGCTTGAAGGCAGGGGGCAAGGCTGGCCCAGGTGGGCTGCCTCCCAGAGTGAGGCAGGGCTCCAGAGGGGGCAGAGCCGGGTGACCCAGTCGAGACCTGCTGGGTGGGGGCTCTTCGGAGCTGGCCTGAGGACAGTGGGTGCCACCCATGCAAGCCAGTGTGAGTGTCTGTTATGGACAAGCTTGGTTCCAGAAACCCAGGAGGGGACGGTCCATCGCGCTCGCCCTGCACCTTCCTGGCTCCCCGTGCATCTCGCCCTATGGTGGGCTCTCCTGTCCTGTCTCCATCACCCACTGTGACCTCCTTGCCCCGGGATCATCTTGGTTCCCTTGTGTCTATGCAGTGTTCGCCATGTGTCTTCTTTAACTCACTAAAGGCTTACTGCCTTTAGTCATTTCTTTGTTTAAGAGTTAAATCTGCATGTTGAAACTCGCTTACCCTTTTGAAAAGTTCTGCAGCCATCCCGCCCTGGGGCCTCTTTTTCTTGTGGTTTGTGGCTCGGTGGCAAGTGGCCTCCCAGGGCTGTGTTTGGGATGGGAGATGACGTCTGTGGCCTGGCAGGGGTGATGATGGTGGCCATTATGGAGGGAGGGGCCATGGGGCTGCATCCATAGCACTGATGGAGACAGGTAACAGGTGTGCACGGGAGGGAAGCATGGCCACATCAGGGGGCACGCAGCAAGACGGCACCCTCCGCTCCCACCAGCCCTGCCCTTCTGGATGTTGCTAGGTCCAGGTGTGACCCGTGTCCAGCCGGGGGCCTGACTGCTGACTGGCTGCTGGAGGCTGACTGCCTCCCTGTGTGCCCTCAGGAGACAGGCCAAGGCTGGAGTGCCGGGGGACGTGTGGCAGTGACATCGGATGAACCATTGTAAGATGAACAATTCAGTGGCGTGTAGCGCATTCACAGTGTGGTGCAGCCATCATCGCTGTCTACTTCCAAACCGCTTCATTCCCCCAAGAGGAGACCCCATGTGCATTATTCCCCCAAGAGGAGACCCTATGTGCATTATTCCCCCAAGAGGAGACCCCATGTGCATTATTCCCCCAAGAGGAGACCCCATGTGGATTATTACCCCAAGAGGAGACCCCATGTGCATTATTCCCCCAAGAGGAGACCCCATGTGGATTATTCCCCCAAGAGGAGACCCCATGTGCATTATTCCCCCAAGAGGAGACCCCATGTGCATTATTCCCCCAAGAGGAGACCCCATGTGCATTATTCCCCCAAGAGGAGACCCCATGTGCATTATTCCCCCAAGAGGAGACCCCATGTGCATTATTCCCCCAAGAGGAGACCCCATGTGCATTATTCCCCCAAGAGGAGACCCCATGTGCATTATTCCCCCAAGAGGAGACCCCATGTGCATTATTCCCCCAAGAGGAGACCCCATGTGCATTATTCCCCCAAGAGGAGACCCCATGTGCATTATTCCCCCAAGAGGAGACCCCATGTGCATTATTCCCCCAAGAGGAGACCCCATGTGCATTATTCCCCCAAGAGGAGACCCCATGTGCATTATTCCCCCAAGAGGAGACCCCATGTGCATTATTCCCCCAAGAGGAGACCCCATGTGCATTATTCCCCCAAGAGGAGACCCCATGTGCATTATTCCCCCAAGAGGAGACCCCATGTGGATTATTCCCCCAAGAGGAGACCCCATGTGGATTATTCCCCCGAGAGGAGACCCCATGTGCATTATTCCCCCGAGAGGAGACCCCATGTGCATTATTCCCCCGAGAGGAGACCCCATGTGCATTATTCCCCCGAGAGGAGACCCCATGTGCATTATTCCCCCGAGAGGAGACCCCATGTGCATTATTCCCCCGAGAGGAGACCCCATGTGCATTATTCCCCCGAGAGGAGACCCCATGTGCATTATTCCCCCGAGAGGAGACCCCATGTGCATTATTCCCCCGAGAGGAGACCCCATGTGCATTATTCCCCCGAGAGGAGACCCCATGTGCATTATTCCCCCAAGAGGAGACCCCATGTGCATTATTCCCCCAAGAGGAGACCCCATGTGGATTAAGTAGTCACCCCCATTCGCTCCCACCCAGCCCCTGGGAACTACCCATCTGCGTTCCGTCTCACTGGATTGACCTGTTCCGAGTATGTTCTATAGATGAAGCCACACAGCCAGTGAACTCTTGTGTCTCCTTCTTTCACTCGGCATGTCTTCACGGTTCACACGGCAGCATCAGTGTTTCATTTCTTTTTGTCATCAAGTATCCGAGTGTATGGATATGTCCCAGTTCATCTACGATTTGGCTTGTTTCCACCTTTTGACTATTGTAAATAGTGCTGCTGTGAGCATTTGTGTACAAGTTTTCCTGTGGACGTGTGTGTTCATTTCTCATGGGCTAGGTGAGATGGTCACTCTGTGTTTAACTTTTTGAGGGCCCACTTAGCTGTTGTACAGTGGCTGCACCGTTTCCATTCCCGCCAGCAGTTCACGAAGGGTTCAGTTTCTCCGCGTCCTCATCAACACTTGTTACTATCCTCTGAACCTTTTAGAAAGTGAACCATACTAAACCATTTCTAGCAGATTAGTTGCCAGGATGGAAAAAAATGTTAGATTTAAGATGTTTTGCCCAGATCACCTAATAGATATTAGATGTGTTCATTTCTTCATGCCAGAGTGTACAGCATACTTGGAACCTGGATGACTAAATGAACGTAATAAAGGTGAACATCATTGAACAAGGCCGAAAAGGGAGTCCGGTACCCAGACTCCATCCTGGATGCCTCATATGTCAAAGAAGCTTGTTCTTTGAGTCAGTGTTGAGTGACAGCTATGTGCTGGGGTCATGCCCGTGACTGGGGACAATGGTGAATGGACACAGTCTTGGCTTCTGCCTTGCGAGCTCACGGTCTGAGTCATGAACACAGATGTGAGTCTGTGAGCAGTCACTCACAAATCCATGGAAAATGGCAGGTGTCTCCAGTGCAAGCAAGTGCTTGGTCCAGTAGGAGGGGCAGGAAAGTGGCCTGGAGCATGGGGTGTCGGGGACTGCTGCGGCCAGAGGCTGCCAGGGAACGGCCATCATCATCCAGCCCAAGGAGGGGCAAGTGTGGGAGACAGGCAGGCCCACCGGCTGCAGGGTGGAAAACGATTGGCAGGTGGCTTGGAGATCATCAGAAATGGCACCTGTGAGGGCAACTGTGGGTGGAGAGATGGAGCAAATGTGGCGTGAGGGAGAGGCTGCTGCCCATAGAACTTCTGCTCCTTTGGCATGGATGGGCACAATTCAGGAGGCAGGGAGATCGCTTGAACCCAGGGGTCCAGGCTGCAGTGAGCTGTGATCATGCCATTGCACTCCAGCCTGGGTGATGGAGCGGGACCCTGTCTCTTTTTTAAAAAGAAAAGGAGACCAGATTTACGTTGAATTTGCAAACTTTGAGAAAAATTTTTTTTTTCTTTTTCTTGGGGACAGGGTCTTACTCTGACAACCAAGCTGGCTTGCAGTGGCACAATCTCAGCTCAGTGCAGCCTCTGCCTCCCTTGCTCAAACGATCCTCCTGCCTCAGCCTCCCACAGATGCATGCCACCATGCCTGGCTAATTTTTTTGTATTTTTTGTAGAGACAGGGTCTCTCCATGTTAGCCTGGGCTGGTCTCAAACTCCTGAGCTCAAAGTGATTTGCCTGCCTCAGCCTCCTAAAGTGCTGGGATTACAGGCATGAGCCACCGTGCCCGGCCGAGAAGAAGTTTTAAAGGGCTTTTTATTGTGGAAAAATTCAAATGTACATAAAAGTGGAGGAGAAGATATAAGGAACACTCATGTGGCCATCACTCATCCTGTCCTCCTCTCCTGCTCCGCACCCTCCATAGTTTGAGTCATATCATTTCATTCATAAATATTCTCTTACCATTTTACTTGACAATGATTTTAGGCTTACAGAAAAGTGGCCAGAGTAGTGCAGGGCTCCTATAGTTGGCTTCCCCTGTTGCCATCATCTCGTCTGATCGTAGGGCAGGTTAGCATTGCTACAGGCCTCTTACCCGGCCTACAGCTCTTAGGCACATCTGTCCATTTGACTAATGGCCATTTTCTGGATAGTCCATGCTCACTTCTGGAGCCCCCTCCCACCCAGGCTCCCACATGGCCGGTGCTGTTGCCTGAAGGCCCCTCTTCCTCCTGACGTGGGACCCCTTCAGGTAGCCCCGCATCTTTTCAGCGTGCCCCTTCACATTCTGACTGTTCCTCTCCTGGAACCTGCAAGATGCTCTGGGATCCTTGTATTTTTCCTGCACCAGCCCGTTTCATCCCTGAGCTTCTGTTATTTTATTGGAGGATGGTGCTAGAAACACAGGTCTGGATGCAGGCAGGAGACACACGCGTCCACACTAGCATGCGTGTGTACACACATCTACATGTGCTTATCCCCCGCGTTCATGTTAAAAACCATGGGATCATACCGGTGTTTCAGATTCACATCCACCCCAGCAGGGTTTCTCGCCTCCCCCATTGCTTATAACCTTAGCAGGTGTTGAGAACCCTGGCGCTCACTGTCCACAGTGAGTTTGCTTATTCGTTGAAACCTAGCGTGCCTGTAGAGTGTGGAGAGTTGCCGGCCCGCACCCCTGCGAGACACAGACTTTCTGACCGCAGCCCTCATGTGTGTGGCTCTTCTTGTCCTTGGCCTTACAGTGCAGTCGGATCGCTGCTTTCCAGAGTTGCCTGGGGGTAGGTCCCTCCTCTTCTGTGCTCTGCGGCGCAGTGAGCGGCCTTTGCCTCAGGCCTCCCGCGGCTTCCTTAAGCCTCTGGCCTGCCCGGTCCCTGGCGCCAGGTCTGTTTTCCCTGCTCCCTTCTCTCTGATCCTGCTTTGGTCTGAGCCGTGCCTCTGGGCCCCAGCATTGCTGGGCCGCATTGTCGTTTTATTTCTCTTGTGTCGTTGCGTCTAGTGTAAGACATTCAGTGGATCATTGTGGATGGTCATTAGTGGTCCAGAGTGGAAAGTGAGGTCGTTGTTGGTGGTGTACTTACAGTGCCTGTTAGGGAGCTGTTCCTGGTGTTGCCCGTGAATATTAGACTTGCTCCCGAGCCTGCGCCACAGCCCATCCCTAGCGACTTGGCGACAGTGGCTGCCAGGTGCGGGTGGCTGTGTCTTGTATACACTGTGTGGGCAGCCCAGGGCCAGGGGCCTCCTCCTTCCATGGCAGCCTCTGTCTGCATCACAGAGATAAGGCCGCGGCTGCCACCAGGATAAGGAGCCAGCAGCTGCTCTCGGAGGAGCCGCCCTGACCCCTCCCCATCATGCCGCCGTGGGGTTTCCATGCAGAATTTTCCTTGGGCAGAGTTGCTTTTTGATTCTAGTTTTTAAAAAAACTGTTCTTTCCATCATGATAAAAAGAAAGACATGCTCATTTCAAATAGTTTAGGAGATGTGGAAGTAAAAAGAAAAAAAAAACCACCTGTAATATTACTCACAAGAAATATGTTTTCTTTTCTTTTCTTTTTTTTTTGAGACAAGGTCTCACTCACCCAGGCTGGAGTGCAGTAATACAATCACGGCTCACTGCAGCCTTGGCCTCAGGAGACCCTCCCACCTCAGCCTCCCAGGTAGCTGGGACTGCAGGTGCACCCCGCCACCCTGGCTGATTTTTTGTGTTTTTTGTAGAGACGGGTTTTCACCATGTTGCCCAGGCTCACACATTTCTATACATGGGTGGACAGTTGGGATCAGCCACATTTATGATTTTCTGTCTTTCCTTTTCACTTAATGTCTTCAGCAGTTCTGAGTGCTGTTAATTTGGGGGAAGCATATTTGTATATTTACAATAGTTCTGGGTTTTTTAAGGTCTTGCTTTGTCACCCAGGCTGGAGTGCAGTGGCACAGTCACAGCTAACTGTAGCCTCAACTTCCTGAATTCAAGTGTTTCTCCTGCCTTGGCCTCCCAAAGTGCTGAGATTATACGTGTGAGCCATTACCCTTGGCCAACTTTTTTTTTTTTTTTTCCTGAGACGGAGTCTTGCTCTGTTGCCTAGGCTAGAGTGCAGTGGCACGATCTCGGCTCACTGCAACCTCTGCCACCTGGGTTCAAGCGATTCTCCTGCCTTAGCCTCCCAAGTAGCTGGGATTACAGGCGCCCACCACTGTGCCAGGCTAATTTTTTATTTTTAGTAGAGACGGGGTTTCACCGTGTTGGCAGGGTTTCACCGTGTTGGCCAGGCTGGTCTCGAACTCCTGACCTCGTGATCTGCCCGTCTAGGCCTCCCAAAGTGCTGGGATTACAGGCGTGAGCCACCATGCCTGGCCCAACTTTTTTTTTTTGTAGACGGTCTCACTCTGTTGCCCAGGCTGGAGTGCAGTGGTGCAATCACGGCTCACAGCAGCCTCAACCTCCCAGGCTCGAGCAATCCTGCCACCTCTTGAGTAGCTGGGACTACAGGTGTGTGCCACCACACCTGGCTTTTTTATTTTTTAGTAGAGACAGGGTCTCACTATGTTGTCCAGGCTGCTCTCAAACGCCTGGGCTCAAGCAGTCCTGCCACCTCAGCTTCCTAAAGTGCTGGGATCACAGGCCTGAGCCACCATGCCCAGCATCCAACAATTTTTAAAGTAAAAGGATGATGGCAGCACACAGATCAGAGGGTGGGCTCCTGTGGGACAGGGTCACGCCCACGGGTGGCTGTGCTCAGTTCTTGATTATCCTCCACCTACCAGCTGCGTGACCGACATTGGTGTCATCAAAACTCTTCATTTGGGCATAAGAGTGGTGTTTCTCGGCCAGGCGCAGTGGCTTACGTCTGTAATCCCAGCACTTTGGGAGGCTGAGGCAGGTGGATCACTTGAGGTCAGGAGTTCAAGACCAGCCTGGCCAACATGGTGAAACCCCGTCTCTACTAAAAATACAAAAAAATAGCTGGGCATGGTGGCAGTTGCCTGTAGTCCCAGCTATTCAGGAGGCTGAGGCAGGAGGGTCACTTAAACCCTGGAGGTGGAGGTTGAAGTGAGCTGAGATCTGCACCCCAGCCTGGGCGACAGAGCGAGACTCCATCTCGAAAAAAAAAAAGAGTGGTGCTTCTCTCACAGGGTCACTGAGATTGAACAGGTCAATGCGCCCGAGAGCCTGGTGTACAGCAGGTGCTCGCGTTAGCTGCTAGTTGTGTTGTTGTTGTTTCTCTTACATATATGCTTAGAACACCCTCTTTTTCAGAGTGCTTCCTTACAGGGTCTGACAAGGTGTGTGGGGATGAGGGGGGTCCACTCTCTCACTGCCAGAGGCTGGACCTGCTCCTGCTGCATCTCCGATCCAGCATCGTTGCTTGCAGAGAGCAGAGCTGCAGGAAGCATTTGGTGGAGGGTGCGCGGGGGTGGAGAGCGGGGCCAGGGATGGACAGGCTGCCTGGTGAAAACACGCAGGGCTCCGCTGGACGCAGTCAGTGCTGATGTGTGTCTCTTTCCTGAGGGCCACTTACAGATGTTCCTTGTAAATCCACCTGTGCTCAGCCCCTGCTGGGTGGAGGCTGTACCCCAAGGCCGAGTGAGGTGGGGGCAGTGAGCTCTCTCCCCCTGAGGCTCTCCTGTTCTGTGAGCCTGGTATTGGGCAGTTCTAGGGGCTCTGGCACCGAGGCCCTGGACTCCCACCCAGGCCCTGCCCACTGCTGCTGCCCCTGTGTCAGCTCCTCCTCTGTAAAATGGGATAATAATAGTGATTGCCATCATTAATTCTTATAAATAATACCCATGTGCTAATATGAAATTATGTATCATAACCATCAGAATATGACCATAATGCATTGTATTTTATTATAATTTAGTTATGAGCAATTGTTGATTATAATTCATTGCAATTATTATCAATAAGTGATTGTGTTAATTACATAATAGTTACTAGAGTTAATAATTGTTGTCGTTGTCATAATTAGTAACGGGATTACACTGTGGGAGTGAAGTGAATTAATGCATGGCAAATCTTCCTTGTGCATAGGAAGCCGTTGGTGCCTGCGGCTCGCTGTTGCGATAATGGCTGTGTAAGTGGGTGGCGGGGCTGTCATCGGTCCTTTGAGGAGTGAGCCTCTCCTGTAGGAATCTCAAAATGATGCTTCAGTAAGTTTGTGCTGGTGCTGCCTGGATAAAGCAGGGTACAGATGGGATGGCGGTTAGGGTTCCCTGAGGAGTCTCGTCTGGCACAGACTATGGGGTGTGGGAGCCTCACGGGCTTGGTTACAAGGGTTCTTGTACAAGAATGTGGAAGACTCAGTGCAAACCTTGTTCTGAGGAAGGCACATGCTCTGAGGGTGAGCCTGTTGGCTTAGGGCTCGCTGATGACAGGGTACGCATTGATTCAGATGAATGATATCAGAAAGCATGTTTCTTACAAAATGCCCTCAGAATGGGAACAGATATCTTTTGTTCTTTTAAGTGACTTTGCAGGTATTTGGTCCCATTGTTTGCTTGGATATTGTCAAAGTTTGTTTTCTAAACAAAGCCCCAGAGAGACAGAGCAAACACATGAGTGCTCCAACTCAATAGTGTGTTTAATTCAGAACAGACCGTGGGCAGGATCTGTGGCGAAGCCGCGTGGAGAGCTGCCACAGGCATGAGCAAGCAAGAGGGTGGTCCGGTTCCGAAAAGCAAAACCACCTTGAGCGTGGTAAAAGTTTCATTTAACTGTGGCTGCCCCCTAAACATCGGCTGTAGTGGACAGAAGCCACCATTTCCTACCTGATGTCAGCCACTTCTATTCTGTCCCTGAAGTGTCAGCTCCTGGCCAGGCGGTGGGGCAGGCCCCACTTCATGCTGGTTCTGTGGCTTTGAACTCACGAGCCTGCCACCCTTCAGAGGGCTCTGAGCGGGCTGTGTGCCGGGCGAGAACACTGCCTGGGCCGGGGCCACTGTGGCATGAGAAGGGCCGCCTGGGGGCCCGGGGCCTAGAGCAGGTGGGCAAGGAGTGGGTGCTGACTATGTCTGCTCTGGGCCTTCGGCGCTGAGTCTTACAGGCCTGGCCAGGGGGCTGTCTCCATTATTTCACTCCATTTTTGTTTATTTTATTTTGGTTTGCTTTGTTTATAATATTTTATTTTGAGACAGGATCTTACTCTGTTGCCTGGGCTGGAGTGGAGTGGCACGATCTCGGCTCACTGCAGCCTTGACTTCCTGGGCACAAGGGATCCTCCCATCTCAGCCTCCCAAAGTGCCGGGATTACAGACATGAGTCACTGCACCAGCCTGCTTTTGTTTATTTCAAAAGTGGAACGTTTTAAATGCTGTGTTTGGCAAATCAGGACTCATAAAACAGTTAGTGGAATTGTGCTGTGGATAATGAATATGTGAATGGTGGTGTTGGCAGGGAGTGGTCCCAGGCTTGTATGTGATGAAAAGATGTTACCAAGAGTCACACAGATGAAGTCTGAGGCTCCAGGAGTGACTTGAGCGGTTAGAGTGAGTTCTCATGACTTCAGTAACAGCAGCAGCAGCAGTTACCGAGGGCACGGCGAATGCTGAGTGCCAGGTGCTTGCAAAGGGCTTTAGGCGGTCATGACTCTGTGGGTCCTGCCATCCTCCCGTTTTGGAAGTGAGGAGACTGGGGCACAGAGGGGTTCAGGTCACGCAGCAGTAAGTACTGGATCCTGGATTCAGACCTGGTGGTGCCTCCAGGTTCTAGAACCTTGACTCGTGTGGCTCCTGGTCTGGTTGTTGGACCCCAGGCCCGGAAGGACGCCTTAGTAGAGTGTGGGCTGCATTGTCACTGCAACAGGTTGCTGAAGACATGAGGAGAGTAGCTTGCATTCCTTTGCCATAATTATGCAAACGTGCAGGACTTTTAGGGGACCTCTCTGAAATAGAGCAAACTTCATTAGGGAATCAAAGGAAAAGATTGGCTCAGAATTTAGTGGGTTTGGATTTCCCAGTGTTTTCATTAAAGAATTGGTTTAATGTGTTTTTCTTAGGACACTGTTTTGAATAAATGAATATTGACTTGAGTCCTGCCTTTGCTTTTGTTTTGTTTTGAGACGGAGTCTCACTCTGTCTCCTAGGCTGGAGTGCAGTGGCACGATCTCGGCTCACTGCAACCTCTACCTCCCGGTTTCAAGCAGTTCTCCTGCCTCTGCCTCCCGAGTAGCTGGGACTACTACAAGCACACGCCACGCCCAGTTAATTTTGTATTTTTAGTAGAGACAGGGTTTCACCATGTTAGCCAGGATGGTCTTGAACTCCTGACCTGAGAGATGATCCGCCCGCCTTGGCCTCCCAAAGTGCTGGAATTACAGGCGTGAGCCACCGTGTCTGGCCTTTTTTTTTTTTTTTTTTTTTTTTTGAGACAGGGTCTTGCTCTGTTGCCCAGGCTGGAGTGCGTTGGGGATGATCATGGTTCACTGCAGTTTCAACCTCCTGCACTCAAGCGATCTCACTTCAGCCTCCTGAGTAGCTGGGATCACAGGCATGCACCACTACATCCGGCTACTTTAAAAATTTTTGTTGTGGAGACGAGGTCTCTCTGTGTTGCCCAGGCTGGTCTCAAGCCCCAGGGGTCAAGTGACCCTCCTGCCTCGGCTTCCCTAAGTGCTGGGATTATAGGTGTGAGCTACCATGCCTGGCCAGCTGTTCTTTATAGTGTGATAGAAACCAGACCCGAATTTCTGCAGTGGTCTTGTGGATAGAGTTCCATTTGTCGCCGATTCTGCCAGTATTACCGTTATTCCTGAAGAAACCTCAGGCAGGGCTGCTGTGTTTTTAAGAAAATACTCTAGATGACAATCCACTCCTGGAAAGGGACATTCAGACGGCAGCTCTTCAGCTGTTTTTGGTTGGGACCTCTTTACATTCTTAAGTTATTGAGAACCCCGAAGACCATTTGTTTATGTGGGTTATATCTGTTGTATTACAAATTAAAACAGGAGTTTAAAAAACATTTGATACAACAACATGTCATTATATTAAATATGTATTCATATAAATGTTTTTATGAAAGATAATTTCTTCTAAAACAAAATATAATGAGAAGAGTGGCGTAGTTTTACATTTTTCCTAAATCTCCTTAAGGTCTGCCTTAATAGAAAGCATCAGCTGGCTTCTGCATTCTGTCGACAGGGATATGTTGGGGTTTTTTTGTTTTTTGTTGCTGTTGTTTTTTGAGACGGAGTCTTGCTCTGTCGCCCAGGCTGGAGTGCAGTGGCGCTATCTCGGCTCACTGCAAGCTCCGCCTCCCGGGTTCACGCCATTCTCCTGCCTCAGCCTCCCGAGTAGCTGGGACTACGGGCGTCTGCCACCACACCTGGCTAATTATTTTGTATTTTTAGTGGAGACGGGGTTTCACCGTGTTAGCCAGGATGGTGTCGATCTCCTGACCTCGTGATCTGCCCACCTCGGCCTCCCAAAGTGCTGGGATTAAAGACGCGAGCCACCATGCCTGGCCAGGGATATGTTGTTTTGGTTGAAGTATAAAAAAAAAAATCTGGCCTCATGCAGCTATGTAGCTGGAAGGGAGGGTTGTTGTTGTAGCCTTTTCAGATAATTATGGGTATTTGTTGCTACTACACCAAAACTCGAAAAACAGTAGTTTCATTTTGTTTTTTTTGAGACCGAGTTTTTTGGGTCTTGTTGCCCAGGCTGGAGTGCAGTGGCGCAGTCTCGGCTCACTGCAACCTCCGCCTCCTGGGTTCAAGCGATTCTCCTGCCTCAACCTCCGAGTAGCTGGGATTACAGCCACCACACCCGGCTAATTTTATATTTATAGCAGAGATGGGGTTTCACCATGTTGGCCAAGCTGGTCTCAAACTCCTCGTGTGATCCACCTACCTCAGCCTCCCAAAGTGCTGAGATTACAGGCGTGAGCCACCACACCCAGCCAGAAAAAGCAATAGTTTCTTGAAAGTCAGGTGCAGTGTAGAATCCGCAGCTGTAGAACTGCAGCCCGAATGGATCCTGTCTCCCATGTGTTTTGTCCATCATGCACCAGGCATTTGGAACACACTAGCTCACAGAGTTACACGGGCCTTCCAGCAGTGACACATTTAATCACACAGATCATCAAAACATCCCATTCACGAACACTGCTGAACTAACCAGAAGTCTTTTTTTTTTTTTTTTTTTTTTTTTTTTTTTTTTTTTTTGAGACAGAGTCTCGCTCTTGGCCAGGCCGGAGTGCAGTGGCACAATCTCAGCTCACTGCAACCTCCGCCTCTCAGGTTCAAGCGATTCTCCTGCCTCAGCCTCCCGAGTAGCTGGGACGACAGGCGCCCGCCACTGCTCCCGGCTAATTTTTTGTATTTTTAGTAGAGACGGGGTTTCACCGTGTTAGCCAGGATGGTCTCGATCTCCTGACCTCGTGATCGCCCGCCTCGGCCTCCCAAAGTGCTGGGATTACAGGCGTGAGCCACCGCGCCCGGTCGAACTCACCAGAAGTCTTTTAAGTATTTGGAAGCTTGAAGCTCATGGTGGTGAATATGTTTTCCACGATTATAATTTTTATGTTAAAGCTTGAATTTTACGATTGCAACAGACACCATCAGCCATTTTCTTTGAAGTGCAGGTCACTAGGTCTGCTTGGAGAAGACATCTGCCCGGCACCCTACTCGAGGTCACAGCTCGAAAGGCCACACTCAAGTGCCTCTCCTTGGGGTAGCCTCACACTTAGGGGTATGTGGGTATGTGCACCCCCCACTTCCTCATACAGAACATTCAAAAGGCTTAAGAGACCAGGCACGGCCAGGCACAGTGGCTCACGCCTGTAATCCCAGCACTTTGGGAGGCCGAGGTGGGCGGATCACCTGAGGTCAGGAGTTTGAGACCAGCCTGGCCAACATGGTGAAACCTCGTCTCTACTAAAAATACAAAAATTAGCCCGGTGTGGTGGTGGGCGCCTGTAATCCCAGCTACTTGGGAGGCTGAGGGAGGAGAATCGCTTCAACCTGGGAGGCAGAGGTTGCAGTGAATTGAGATCGTGCCACTGTACTCCAGCCTGGGCAACAGAGCGAGTCTCCATATCAAGAAAAAAAAAAAACAAAGGCTTAAGAGTCAATGTGGAATAAACTTGATGCTTTTTGCTGCTTTCTGCAGGAGTTTTAAGGTAGGCTGGCTTCGTCCCCGTGCTGTGCACGTGCTGTGGTGGTGAGTCCAGCGTCTGAGGGTACTGCCTGCCATCGCCGCCTTGCACTGTGCAGATGCACCTGCAGTTTCACCTTAGCCACCGGAGCAAATGTCAGCACAGGGAAAACACAAGCCGCTCTGGCCCTGGGGACCTCCCTGAAGCTCCCCGGACCACACTTAGAGAACCGCTAAGTCAGAAGACTCCTAACTCCTGTTCTGTTTAACTCTCGAATGATCTGCATGCGCGCGTGTCTACTTAATCCCAGAGTGTTTCGGAGAGATGTTCCACTTTAATTAAATTGTATCATGATTTACACACATGTTTGAATAAAACCACCCAAGAAGAGCATCTGATTTGGAATCTAAAATCTCATCTGCATGGAGTGGCCGCCTGGCTGAGTCTGTGAGAGATTTGGGGGACTGTGTGTTTTTTTCAAAGTCTTTGGATGGACTGTTGCTTTGAGCATATGGGGGGGTTGGCCATGGGCAGGACAGGGGCTCCCAACCCCTCTGGTGCAGAGACAGTGGGGCCCAGGGGCCTGTCGCCTTCAGGAACCAGCCTAGGCTGGGCCCGTGTTCTCTTTTGGGCTGTGGGTATGGGAGCCGGGCTCCCTGCTCATGGTGAAAATAGGCCGCTTTCAGGAGCGCTGTCTTCGGAGGGTTGGAATTCTCTTTGTGCTTTTTGTGGAGAAGTTTTTAAGTTATTCCGTTATTAAGAAAGCCTCTGGCCAGGCACGGTGGCCCACGCCTGTAATCCCAGCACTTTGGGAGGCTGAGGTGGGTGGATCACCTGAGGTCAGGAGTTCAATACCAGCCTGGTCAACATGGTGAAACCCCATCTCTACTGAAAATACAAACAATTAGCTGGGCATGGTGGTGGGCACCTGTAATCCCAGCTACTCGGGAGGCTGAGGCAGAAGTGCTTGAGCCCGGGAAGCAGAGGTTGCAGTGAGCCAAGATTGTGTTCCTCCCTTTCCTGATCTCTTGTCTTTGCCGTCTGTCTTTGGTTTTTGGTTTTGGGGGTGTTTGTTTTTGTTTCTTGAGACAGGATCTCGCTCTGTCACCCAGGCTGGAGTGCAGTGGCTGATCATAGCCCACTGCAGCCTCAACATCCCTGGCTCAAGCAATCCTCCTGCCTCAGCCTCTCAAGTAGCTGGGATTACGGGTGTGCACCACCATACCTGGCTTTTCTTTTTTTTTTTTTTTTTTTTTTTTTAGAGTCAAGGTCTTGCTGTATTTCCCAGGCTGGTTTTGAATTCCCAGGCTCAAACCATCATCCTGCCTTGGGCTCCCACCGTGCTGGGATTATAGGTGTGAGCCCCCATGCCTGGTCGATGTAGTCTTTTTCCGTGCCGGGATTACAGGTGTGAGCCCCCGTGCCTGGCCATTGTAGTCTGTCTTTTTCTGTGCCGGGATTACAGGTGTGAGCCCCCGTGCCTGGCTGTTGTAGTCTGTCTTTTGTCTTTTTCCGGGCAGTCATTCAGTTGTTTGTACAGTTGATGTCTTGAGCACCTGCTCTGTGCTGGGCCTTCTTCTAGATGCTGAAGAGAAAGCAGCAACCAAAACAGACCATTCCTGTCCTCAGGGAGCTTATGACTGGGGGGATGGGATGGGCAGACAGACTCAGGAGGAAGTGCAGGGTGTGTGCAGTTGGGGTGTTAGGGAGGCCTCATTGAGATGGCAGATTCCTGAGGGAGTGAGGCCGCAGCTGTAGCAGAGGAAGAATTGATGACGAGGCCGGTGCGGGAGCAGTGCACGGGGTGATGGGCGGGCCGCCGTGCCGACCTGCTGTGGCCACACTCCTACTTGCAGAGTCTCAAGGTTGCCAGCTGTTTAGACCATACAGGCTGACCCCCAAGCGTGGGCTGGAGCCCCTGTGATCTCCGCAGGCCACCCGGCAGGCCACTGCCCGCCCACCGCTCTGCCGGGTGTGATGCCCATCCTAGGTTCCCCGTTTCTGCTCGTGGAAATTCCTTCTTTCCAAGATTGGCTCAAAACGGGTTTCTTATGGAACTTTGCCAAATAGCTGAGGATCCCGCAGTCCTCTCTGCAGCCGCTCAGCACTTGGCTCACGCTGGCTTTTCCTTTCCCTTCTGGTGATGTACACAAGCCCGTGGCCCCCAGGGAAGGGCTGGGAGGCCCTGAGGCGGCATCCTGCTCCCCCGCTGAGGCCCCTGGCACAGCTGAGCCTCCAAGAGATGCTTACCAGATCTGCAGACATTTTTCGGGGTCCCATGGGTGTTAGGCCTGGGGAGGCAGTGACCCACCGGTGGAACTGAGGCAGTGGGTGGGGAGGGCCTGTGGCCTATGTGGGAGGAGCAGGACCTCACCATGGGCCCCTACACAGTTGCAGATTCTTGCAAGGGGTACCCCATCACCCCGCGGGGCTGATTCAGGTATCCAGACATTACCAGGATGCTGTTCTATGACCCTTGCTGCCCTGGAGCAGCTGGAAAGTAATAGGTCTCGCAGGGACACCCCTCACTGCTTTCGTCTGATGCAGGACGTTTAAGGGGTGCTGGATCAGTGGCCCCAAACTGCAGGTGCTTGGCCTGCGCAGTGGAGGTTGGGGAATGGCACTTCCCCGTGGATTGTCCTGGCTGGTGCCCGCCCAGGT
This sequence comes from Homo sapiens, assembly GCF_000001405.40. Lineage (NCBI taxonomy): Eukaryota > Metazoa > Chordata > Mammalia > Primates > Hominidae > Homo > Homo sapiens. The sequence goes on along the minus strand of NC_000008.11, from coordinate 140,608,627 downwards.
GGCATGCGGTGCTGCCAGCCATGACCTTCCCTCAGCCTGGACCTGCTCCGTCCACGGTGTCTGCTCAGGTCCCCGCCCCGGTCCCTGCTTGCTTGACGCCTGCCTGCCGGCTGCGGGCAGCTCAGGGCCCTGAATAGCGCTGGGAGGGGGCATGGGGCCGGCGAAGCAGAGGAGCTGCAGACCTGTCTGTTGGGCTCTCCACGGACAATTGTGGAGAAAACAGTAGAGGGTGACGTGGCTGATGTCCTTGGGACTGTGGTGATTTGCACAGAGAAGGAGACCAGGGAAAGTGGCCACTGCGCTGCCAGAGCTCTGCAGATTTGCTGCCTGCCCTGGGGATGTGACAGGAGACCGGAGCGTGCTGGAGGGGAGAGAAGGCAGAATGGCAGCGTAAAAAGTGCCAAGTGTAACATCCACCTCCGACAGGTTATCTCTGCCTGTCTCATGCTAATGTCTGAAAACAACAGCTTTGGTTTCTCCAGACAGAGCTCACAAGCCCATATCACCACTCTGTGTTTAGGAGTGGCGGTTAAAGATCTAAAGAACCTGTTGTTGCTGAGAATTCATTCATTCAATGTGTTCTTCACCAAAGGCCACAGGGGAAGGTATCAGTTCCTCCAGGGGGAGCATAAAGGAGCTCAGTGCTGAGCAGATTCATTGATTATTGATTAGATCTTCCATATGTTTGTAAAATATGCGGAACAAAACGGACCGGTTTAAAGTACATAACTCAACTGCGTTAAGTCCATCATGATGTTGGGCGCGCATCACTCCATCTAGGTCCAGACGTTTCCATCGCCTGGAACAGAAGCCCTGTGCTCCATGAGCAGCTGCTTCCTATGGCCCCCTCCCACCCCCTGGCAGCCACCACTCTGTGCTCCATCTCCACAGAATGGCCTGTTCTGGATGTTGCATGTTCCTGAGGTTATACATGCGGACTTTTGTGTCTGGCTTCTTTCGCCTAACAATGCTCTAAAGGTTCATCCATGTCATAGCAGGTGCCAGTGCCCCATTCCTTTTCATGGGTGTGTAATATTCCACTGTCCTGATAGAACACATTTTTATCCATTCGTCAGTGACATTTGTTTTTTTCCATACGTGTGTGTGTGTGTATATATATATATATATATATATATATATATATATATATATATATATATATATATATAATTTTTCTTTAAGAGGTGGGGGTGAGACGGGGTCTCACTAGGTTGCCCAGCTGGAGTGCAGAAGCTATTCACAGGTACAGTCATAGCACACTACAGCCTCAAATTCTTGGATTCAGGCAGTCCTCCTGCCTCAGCCTCCTGAGTAGCTGGGACTTCATGTGGACACCATTGCAACTGGCTCATTTTTAAATTATAGAATTTTTTTTTTTTAAATGGAGTTTCACTCTTGTTGCCCAGGTTGGAGTGCAATGACATGATCTCGGGTCACTGCAACCTCCGCCTCCTGGCTTCAAGCGATTCTCCTGCCTCAGCCTCCTGAGTAGCTGCGGTTACAAGCATGCACCACCACGCCCAGCTAATTTCGTATTTTTAGTAGAGACGGGGTTTCTCCATGTTGGTCAGGCTGGTCTCCAACTCCCGACCTCAGGTGATCCACCCACCTCGGCCTCCCAAAGTGCTGAGATTACAGGCGTGAGCCACCATGCCTGGCCTTAAATTATAGAATTTATTATTATTATTATTTTGAGGCAGTCTTGCTCTGTCACCCAGGCTGGAGTACAGTGGTGTGATCTCGGCTCACCACAACCTCCGTCTCCCAGGTTCAAGCAATTCTCCTGTCTCAGCCTCCCAAGGAGCTAGGAATACAGGCACACGCCACCACGACCGGCTAATTTTTGTATTTTTAGTAGAGACGGGGTTTTGCCATGTTGGTCAGGCTGGTCTCCAACTCCTGACCTCGGGTGATCTGCCCACCTCGGCCTCCCAAAGTGTTGGGATTACAGGCATGAGCCACCGCGCCCAGCCAATTATAGAATTTTTAATTTGCTACGCTTCCAAGCCTTGCCAAGATGATAACTTTGTGTGTAACTTTGTCAGAATGTATAGGCTTAGTTTGGCTGTTCTTTTCACATTGTGCTGAAGGCATCAACTTTTGGAGAATGTTTAGTGAGTCCTTAATGCTGTGGAGAGGTTCTTGGAAACTGCGTTTTTAAGCAAAACAAAGTACATCAGGTTCTTGAATAATGTTGTTTTGTTATGATGTTGATTAGGAAAAAAATGGATTTGTTAAACATCATGTCACTTAAACTTGCTGTTTCCAAGAACTGCCAACAGTGTTAAGTGAACTGCATGCTCCTCGCTTGCTCTCGCAGTAGGTGGGGCCTCCATGCTCCTGCCTGCAAGTTCTTCCTGCGCTGGAAATGGGTGGAGGCATCTCCCTGGGTCCCCTCCTTAGGCATCAGAACCTACTTGGTTTCTTCAGACAAATTAAAATGTCATCGATGCCCTGGAAGGATATACTTCAGTGGTATTTCTTGGCATATTTAATTATGGAAAAAATCTTACCTTACTTATAGTAGACCTTTCTAAGTTGCAAATATTTTACTGTGAGCATGATTGATTTATAATTACGAAAAAGCAACTTAGTCTGCATAATTTGTTGATAGCACTGGTCATGTTGAGTATATTTGGAGCCTCGAAGGCATGGAATATTGAGCAGAGTGCGGAAAATAAAGCGGTTTTTGACACCGTGCTTCATTTTGCAGGTACTAACTGACTTGTCCATTTGCTAAGCTTCATCCCACCGGGCAATTTTCCTGCACAGCAGCTGTTACAGTCCCATTCTCACCTGGCCCCTGGGCCAGTTCGGAAGCCTCTGAGCAGGTTTGTAGCTTTCTCCTCCCTTCCTGCAGAGTGCCCTTAATTTAGCTTCATCAGCCACTTGTCATCATTCCTTTTCTTGTCCAAGTTTATAGTCAAGAGCAATGGCTGGGAACTAGAGCTACCCCTGGACCAGCGGGTGGGGTCTTCATCAGCTGGGTCCCAGCATGGCTTCTGACCTACCGCTGGGCACCCCTGCGAGAGCTGCAGACCCTCCCCTAGAAGACAGCAGTGGTGGCCTTGCGCAGCCTCAGACACACCTGGCCTGGTATCCCCGTGCGTCCTCCCTACCCCAGAGCCCTGCACCCCCGTCTGTGTTCAGCCCAGGCTGGGTTATCCCATTTCACTTTGGTCATTCCTTCATTTGCTGATATTTTTTTTAAGCTTTAGAAAATACTTTTAAGGGCGGGTGCATTGGCTCACACCTGTAATCGCGGCACGTTGGGAAGCTGACGCAGGCAGATTGCTTAAGCTCAGGAGTTCAAGTCCAGCCTGGGCAACATGGTGAAACCCTGTCTCTACCGAAAATACAAAAAAATTAGCCGGGCATGGTGGTGCACACCTGTGCTCCTAGCTACTCAGGAGGCTGAGGTGGGAAGATTGCTTGAGCCCGGGAGGCGGAAGTTGCAGGCAGCTGAGATTGTACACTGCATTCCAGCTTCAGTAAGAGAGGAAGACCCCACCTCAAAAAGAAGAAAAAAAACTTGTATTTTTTTTCAAATATGTATGAAAGGAAAGAAAGTCTAACGTATCCGCCATAGCCAGTCTTATTTCCTTACCTGAATATTTTGAAGCAAATCCCACATAGTGCACGTTTATGCAGAGATACTTAAGTGTATGTCTCTGAAAGATGAGGAGTCTTTTAAAAAACTGAATCACAGTTCCATGACCCATGATAAATGGCCATTCCTTGATGGCACCAAATACAGTCACGGGTTTTCCCAGTTGTCTTGAAAATGCCTTTTTTTTTTTTGAGATGGAGTCTCGCTCTGTCGCCCAGGCTGGAGTGCAGTGGCGCGACCTCGGCTCACTGCAAGCTCCACCTCCCAGGTTCACTCCATTCTCCTGCCTCAGCCCCCCATGTAGCTGGGACTACAGGCACCCGCCACCACGCCCGGCTAACTTTTTTGTATTTTTAGTAGAGACGGGGTTTCACCGTGTTGGCCAGTATGGTCTCTATCTCCTGACCTCATGATACACCCATCTCGGCCTCACAAAGTGCTGGAATGACAGGCATGAGCCACCGCACCCGGCCTAATTTTTGTATTTTTAGTAGAGATGAGGTTTCACCATGTTGGCCAGGCTGGTCTTGAACTCCTGACCTCATGATCCACCCATCTCTGCCTCCCAAAGTGCTGGGATTACAGGCGTGAGCCACCGCGCCCAGCCAAAAATGCCTTTTTATTGTTGCTGTGTTTGAATCGGTATTTGTATACACATAATTAGCCGTTAATTTCAACATACCTAAGCATTTTCGCTTATGTAATTTTCAAGTTCTTGAACATGAACTCCCAGCTAGATGAAAGGTGCCACTGAGCAGAGACCAGCGTGGTGCTTCTAACTTTCCGACAGTACACAGCACGCTGCACTCATTCTGATGAGTTTGAGAATATATCTGCTCCATCGCGTCGTTTCCCTGGTGCGCCTCAAGGTCTTGTGGCCTACAGCAGCATTTCGTACTGTGTCTGAGCCTCCGGGGCTGCTGGGGCTGCATGACCCAGAGGGACATCTGGTCAGAGGCCAACTTAGCCTCTCGGCCACCTTGGCTAGGGCCTTTCATGGGCCTGGATGATGGGACCACTCCATGCAGCTCCTTCACCCTGAGGGAGGGGCAGCTCATCCCCGGGAGGCAGGAGTCCCAGCAGAGGGCACAGCAGAAGCAGCTGGCACCTTTGCAAGCCCTGAGGGATGCGGAACAGTCATGCCTGTGCCATTTGCCAGGCAAGGCACATGGCTGATGTGGAGTCTGTGGAAGAGGCCGCACAGTTGCAGGGTGGAGGGTGAAGACACAAGGAGGCCCCCAGCCCAGTCCGCCACAGCAGCGTGGGGCTGGAGCAAGCCCCTCTTGAGGGAGTCTGTTAAATCCGGCCCCAGTGGAGCTCAGACACAGCTGCAGCGCGGATGAGCCTCAAGGACAGCATGCCACATGAGGGGGGCCAGGCACAGAGGGTCACGTGCGTGGCTCCACCTCTGGAAATGTCTAGAACAGGCAGAGCCATTGAGACAGAATGCAGGTGCGTGTGCCAAGGCCTGGGCTTTGGAGGAAACGGGGTGTGATGGCTTAGCGGGCACGTGGCTTCTTTTGGGGGTGACGAAGGTGCCCAGGAATTGGGTGGTTGTGTTGGTTACACAACAGTGTGGATGTGCGAAAGGCCACCTCAGTGTGCACTGGAAAATGGCTACGGTGGTAAATTTATCTGAATTTTAACAAGAAGAAAACAACCTGGCCCTGGATCCCTCCTCCCTTGCACACTTATCATCCCAGCTCCGCAAACACAGCCCGGTGTGGAGGCACCACGCACTCCGCTTTGAGGTGTGTGTTTTTGGCTGACAGACTTCCCGATGAGATCTGGGATTCCATCGTCTGCTGAGCCGGGTCCACAGGGCCAGATTAGACCCCATCTTTAATCTCCGCCACGCCGCCGTGGGGGCCTGAGTCAACCCGCACCATCCGAGGCTCCCACCAATTCTGGGCTGGTCTCTGAAGTTGGGGCCAGCAGCAGGCCTGCCTTTCGGATAGCAAATAATAGAAAGAAATCCATAATTATGTCATATAAAAGATGCGGCCAGAACACTGCACGTGGCACGGCCTGTGATCCAAAATGCGTGCAGGCATCGTCGTTAACTTTTCTTCAGTCCTCTGAGGAAGTAGAATACCATTTCGATTTGTTTTAAACTGTGAGCTCGTCTCTCTTCAGGAAGGAAATTGATCAAAGAAGCAAACACTCCTGGATATTTTGTCTGCTTGATTTTCAGCAATTTACTCCTAATTAATTATTCTGACTAGGAAAAAAATGGTACCTCTCCAGGATGCCAGTGTTTAGAATTGACATTTCAAATAGCTGGTTGGACAAATTGGAGAAATTTTCTGATTTCTGTCATTTGTTAAATTTGCTTTTAAGTATCCCTCAGGGAGCTGTATTCATTCCAAGTGCGGGGAATTAAAGTTGAATCTCCATGCAATTGAATTAGCCTGAGCCACAGGGATGGGCTGCAGAAGCCTGCTGAAGCTTACAGGGAGATTTTACTTAAAGCTAAAGCTTATTTCACGGAGTCTGTTCTGACGGTTTTCTAACGCCACCGTGATGTACAGTTTACTGTTTTATTAACATTGGAACAGTACTTCTTTTCACAATGTACAGTGATTGTAATTTAAGATAAATGTGGGAGTATTCTTATACCTAAGGAAATGCTGAGTCGAAATGCTGGATTTCTAAATATATCACTGGGGAGAGGACAGTTTTTTCCCTTTATAATGACAGTGTTGCCAACATGACCTTATAGCTATGTAGGCTGGGGATATTTTGATATGCAGTAGGAAAATGTCACAGAAGAGATAACATCAATAGAGGCTAAATTTTCCCTTCATGATATTTATTTTTAACATCTATTCTACTCTGTTAAAAAATAAGGACCCTCATGTGTTCATGTGGAAAACATAGTGACTAGGGAGAGAGGGATGTGCTCATTGCGATGGATGAAGTTCTTAAAACAAATACATGCAAACGCAGTGGTTCTTGGAGGAATCCAAGCCCTGTAGAAGCTTATTTTTCCTTCATGTAAATTTCCAGGGCTGTGTGGGCTTAGCTGCTCTGCTCCATGCAGCTATTCAGGGATTCAGGCTGCAGGGCATCTTCAACCCAAAGGGGAAAGACCGTGGAGGAGGAGGCTGTGAGGTTTCTGTGTGCTGGCCCGCCGCTGACCTGCCTATCACGTAAACCCACCAAAGCAGGGTGCCTTAACCTAGGGGTAGAAAATATTTGGGGGGAGAAAAGCAATAAAAAATATTCTAAAATTTTAAAGTACAGTATAATAACTATTTACATAGTGTTTGTTTTAGGTATTATAAGTAATCTAGAGCTGATACAAGGTAGATAGGAGGATGTGTTCAGGTTCTAGGCAAACACCAAGAGATGACTCTAGCTGGCAGACACATGCTCTGTTGCTCCAGAAAAAGAAGCAACCAGGCTGGGGCAGACAGCCCAGACTGCCATGGTTGCGGAGCAAAGGGAAAATCAGAACCTACCTGGAGACCATTCACCATATGGTTCACATCCATCAGCCTAGCACTTGCCAGGCATGATTCTAAGCCCTGGGGTAGACCAGGGGGGCAGAAACAGAGACATTTCTCTTTGGGGTGTGCCTAGTGCAGGGAGTACTGGAGATGTAGTGTGCCAGGTGGCAAGCGCTGTTGAGGCGAGCACAGCGGCGGGGGGGTGCTGGGGCTGCTGGGGGCATGCACCGTTTTTAACAAGCCAGTCAGCAGTCTCTAAGGAGGTGACATTGAACAAAGACCTGAAGGAGGTGAGTGGGTGAGCAAACCGCAGGGATTTGAGGAAAGAGTAGACAGGAAGTGCAAAGGCCCTGGGGCAGGAGCGCATTGGGTGCCTTGTGGCCGGACAGCCTCGGAACCCGTGGGAACCTGGCTGTCTCCAGGTGCAGATGAGATGCCACTGGGGAACTTGAGAGTGGAGGGATGACCCAGTCGCCCTTCCTGGTATCTCTGGCTGCTGTGTGGACACAGGGGGCCCTGGTAGGCACTGTGAAGTGATCCAGCTGGGAGAAGATGATGGCTGTGGCCTGCACACAAATGGTGGAGGTGAAGTGGACAGATTTAGACACAATTCGAATTCGGGTTTTTTTTTTTTGAGACGGAGCCTCACTCTGTTGCCCAGGCTGGTGTGCAGTGGTGTGATCTCGGCTCACTGCAACCTCCACCTCCCCGTCAATCCTACGGGGTCTTGGTGACCCACTCACTGGGGTTTGAAGGAGGCAGAGCAGAGAGAGGGGACATAGGACGGACGTGGCGCCAGCAGACATGGAGGCCTCTTTCCAGAAGGATGTAATTCTCCTCCGAATGGGAAAACAGAGAGCGTGTTTTGGATTTTTTTTTTTTTTTGACACGGAGTTTCGCTCTTGTTGCCCAGACTGGAGTGCAGTGGTGCAATCTCGGCTCACTGCAACCACTGCCTCCCAGGTTCAAGCAATTCTCCTGCCTCAGCCTCCCAAGTAGCTGGGATTACAGGCATGCGCCACCACGCCCGGCTAATTTTGTATTTGTAGTAGAGATGGTGTTTCTCCATGTTGGTCAGGCTGGTCTCGAACTCCCGACCTCAGGTGATCTGCCCGCCTCGGCTTCCCAAAATGCTGGGATTACAGGCGTGAGCCACCGCGCCCGGCCTGTGTTTTGGATCTGTAGACCCCATGACGCTGACTCCTCCGTGTGCTGCAGGAGTCTGAACAGAGGCCACAGTTAACACAAGGCTGGGAAGCAGAGGCCTCGCCAAGTGCAGGAGTAATTAAAGGACACATCTTTCGAGTAGACTTCATACATGTCCCACTTTTGTGCCTTACAGCTTTTGTTGTTTGTAAATGACATCTTTGTAAAAAATAACTTTTCTAATCGTTGCTCACACATAGGAATGCATTGTGGTTCAGCAAGCTGGCTGGATTCTTTCTGGCTCTAACAGTGTGCCTGCCAAGGCGTCTCATCTTCACAGAGGCTGTCACGTCGTCTGCATGTGTCTTTGTGTCCATTTGCCTTTTAAATCATGAGAGGGCAGGGCACAGTGGCTCATGCCTGTAATCCCAGCACTTTGGGAGGCTGAGAGATCCAGATCACTTGAGGTCAGGATTTCAAGACCAGCTTGGCCAACACGGTGAAACCCCATCTCTGCGAAAAATACAAAAATCAGCCAGGTGTGATGGTGGGTGCCTGTAATCCCAGCTATTCTGGAGGCCGAGGCAGGAGGATCGCTTGAACCCGGAAGGCAGAGGTTGCAGTGAGCCGAGATTGCGCCCCTGTACTCTAGCCTGGGGACAGACTGAGAACCTTGTCTCGGGGAAAAACAAACAAAAAAATCGTGAGAGGGTCTTGATTTCCAGACAGGTGAAGAGATGTAGATCATATAAGGGTTGTCTGCACATCAGGCACCTCATTTAGAGAGATGGCTTTGAGCACCCCGGGTGAGCGTGTGAAATTTCTCACTTAGGTGATGGCCTGGACCCCATAGGTAGTGTAAATTCAAAACGCAAACCTGGGAGTGTCGGACCTGGAGCTGCAGGTTTTAGGGGGTTGGGGGCATTCACAGGCCCTCCTGCTTTTCTTCTTTCAGCTCTGACTGCTCTTGGGCAGGCTTCGTCTTCATCATCACAAAAGACGTTGAACCCTTGGAATCCAACAGACTTTGTTTCAGATTCCAGCACGCGTTTTTCTGCTGTGGCCTGAGTGGTTACTTTGGCTTCCCCCGTCTCATGTATGAAACGAGCCGGTGATAATCCTGGTCACAGGATTTTGCGTTCTGGTTAAGAAACCACAGCGACGCCACCACATAACGGACGCTCAGCGCACATCTCTTTTAGATGCTGGCCTGTCAGTGGGATGGCAGAAACTATTCAGATGTGGTGACGATTCTGCTTTGGGGACTGCTTCCCAAGCGGGTGCATCCTGCCGGATTTTAACACTGCTGGGCATTGTGAGTGGTGGCAAGATGAGGAGGCCAACCCTGTAGTCACTGGGCTCCAGGTCTGCCTGTGAGCTGCGGAGGGCAGGGTAGAGTGGCCTCAGCGTGAGCAGCAGGATGGGAGCCTCGAGGGAGAGCTGGGTTTGGAGAAAGTGGCCTCTGTTGTCGCGTTTCTGTCATTGAGCAGATTGAGCAAAAGCAGAGGCAGGAAAACGCATGGGGAGGCTGGTGGTGCGAGCCCACGGTAGCCATGAGTCCTGCAAGGAGGTGTCTGGGTTTGGGCCCTGAAAACTTTGGAGAAGAGGTGGGTCTGCTGTACAATTGTCTTGTGCCATTTAAGGTAATTCTGCCCTGTTGGGGCAGGTGTAGCTCCAGTTTTCAGAGGAGGAAACGGGGTTGGGGAGTGGCAGGCAGAGGAAGCAGCAGGCCAGAGTCCCAGAGCAGATGGAGAGCAGCCAGCACGCGCTTCCTCCTGGTGGGGCTCAGACAGGGCTTGGCACCAGGGCTGTCGGGCAAGCGGGAGGAAGAGCTGCGGCTCCGGGGTGCGGTGCTGCCGCGCAGAGTGGACCGGTGATCCTACGGCACCGTGGGCTTGTACGCACAGGGAAATGGAGGCACTCCCAGAGGAGCTGAGTGTCAGGCCTGGCACAGGTTGGAGAAGAGCTAGGCATTCTCCTGGTAAAACCGTAGGAAAGATGGCTGCGAAGCAGGAGAGATGCAAACTCTCTCTGGGTAGAAATGTCAGCAGCATTTGGTTTTCCTCAAGTAACGGAACGCAAACGTCTGCTTCCTGTTGAGTCCTGCTGCCTTTGCCGAAGAGAATTCTTTTTGGTGCTGTGGCTTTAGAACACCTGGATAAAGCCCTGGAAGTTGTTCTCCAGCACAGAACACGCCGTCTCGGGGTTCAGACATCTTCCCATACGGGTCGTGGACGCTCTTGTGGGTGTCTGTTTCCTGACCCCGAGGTCGGCAGTGGCTGAGCTGCTGTGTGGGACCCCAGTCCCTCTTGCTGTCCTGCCTCATCTCCTCCTTTCTCACCCTCCTGGGTTAGATCTTGTACAATAGTAAGCTCAGTGTTCGACCTGGCACCTAGAAAGGAGAGCTGTGCGCCCTACAGCCCAGCATGGGGCCCCGCCAAGCATCTGCTGGCACTGGCACTGGCATCTACTGTGAGGCCCCTGGTGGGCAGGGTCATCTCTTGGTCCTCCCAGGTGGCAGATGACGCAACAGCCCGGTGATGAGTGGAACAGGCGTGTGCGTTTCAGCAGATGAGCAGGAGATGTTGATGGATTTTGCTGCCTCGCTGATAAAAATAGACATTTATTCTTTTCAAGACAGGCAGAAAGGCTAAGATGTGTTATAACCCTGTGGGACGGAACTCAGATGGCAGTTTTTCATTTTTGATGTCTTTTTTTTTTTTCTTGATTCCTTTTCTCTTAAAATTAGGCCTCAGAAGCTAATCCTGTAGATCAGGCTGAAGCTGACAGGAGTGAGGCTGAAGCTGACAGGAGTGAGCCTGAGATTTCTGAATGCTCATTTATTTCTCCTTCCATCCTCAAGATTCAGGCTTGAAGCCAGGAGGCCATCCCCCAGGAAAGGGCCCCTCACTCAGGCAGGGAGGCCTGGGGCGGGGGGGGGGGGGTGGGGGGGCCACCCAGCCCCCATCGGTGTCCGTGGCTGCTGCCAGAAACGGAGTCAGAGAAAGTAATGTCAGCCAGACTTCAACTCCAGCTGGGTGTGAGCACCTTATGCCACCGCTGCCCACGCTGCCCTGCATCCGTGCTGCGCTGCGTTGGCACTGGAGAGGCTGGGAGGCTCTGGGAATTGGAATCCCTGGCTGTGCTTGCCGGAAAGGGTGTATGTAAATGAGGCGGTTTTCCTGCCACCTCTGCAGATGATTCAGCCCAGCAAGTGTGAAGAGGGAGGGAACGTCCCTGCCAGAGCTGGGACACAGTGCAGGGGCGTGGTTATAAATGAACGAAACAGCTCTTCTGCTGAGTTTTTTTTTCTTCTATACAGTTCCTCTGTGAGTTCCCTTTAACCATGACGTAAAACCCATTTTGTGGCTTTAGTCTTCTATTTCAAACAACATGTTCACCAGCAACGGTGCAGAACAGTGGGACGCACTCTGGGGCCAGGGTGCCTGTCTGCACCTTGGCTGGCTGGCACCCTCAGGCAGGTCCCCCTGGGCTGGTGGGCACCAGGGGAGTTCTCCCGGACAGGGTTGTGTCTCGCAGGATGAGACAGCGGTCACGACGACACAGCAGCCATGCGATGACGTGGGCCCGTCCCCCACCCCGGCCACTTGCCTCTCCCCTGCTGCTCCACCGACTCCTCCCAGCCTGCAGGTGACCCGGACGTGCTGCCTCACCTGTAGATGCCACTTTGTTCATCTGTGAGACTACGCTGGGAAAATGGGCTCACTGCAGATCTTGCATTGGGTACTTTTTAAATCTCTCTGGGCATCTGTTAAATGGCATAATGACTATCTGTGCTTACATCTTAAGCTTCTATTTTGCTTTTTTGTTTGTTTGAGATGGAGTTTTGCTCTTGTTGCCCAGGCTGGAGTGCAATGGTGCCATCTCAGCTCACTGCAACCTCCGCCTCCAGGGTTCAGGTGATTATCCCATCTCAGCCTCCCGAGTAGCTGGAATTACAGGCATGCGCCACCGTGCCCGGCTAATTTTGTATTTTTAGTAGAGACGGGGTTTCACCATGTTGGTCAGGCTGGTCTCGAACTCCCGACCTCAGATGGTCTACCCGCCTTGGCCTCCCAAAATGCTGGGATTACAGGGCATGAGCCACCACACCCAGCCAGCTTCTGTTTTCTTTAACTTAGGGATATATCAGAGAAAAATAGAATGATGTATCCAATATTCATCCTTCTCCCAGAGTTTGTTCATTTTTTAAAAATAATTTAGTTTTAAATAACAAATATAATAAACCTACTTAAAAAATACAGAAGCACAGGCCATGTGCAGTGGCTCACGCTGTAATCCCAACACTTTGGGAGGCCGAGGCAGGAGGATCGCTTGAACCCAAGAGTTTGAGACCAGTCTGGACAACACAGGAGGGCTCCATCTCTATAATATGTGTGTATGTGTGTGTGTGTATATATATATAATATATATATTATATAATATATATAATTTATATATATTATATATAAAATATATATTATATAATTTATATACATAATATATATTATATAATACATAATATATATAATTATATATTATATAATATACAATTGTATATAATATAAATATAATATATACAATTGTATATAATATAAATATAATATATACAATTGTATATAATATAATTGTATATACAATTGTATATAATATAATTGTATATACAATTATATATAATATATAACATTTACATATTATATAATATAATATTTATATATAATTATATATATTTTATATGCCAGGCTATATATATAATATATATAGCCTGGCATATAAATAATATATATATAATATATATATATATTATATATATAGCCTGGCATGATGGCACACGCCTGTAGTCCCAGCTATTTGGGAGGCTGGGACAGGAGGATCACTTGAGCCCTATGATCGCACCACTGCACTTCAGCTTCGGCAACAGAGTGAGATTCTGTCTCATAAGATAAAATAATAAATAAAATAAGATATAAAACGAATAAATAGAAGCATAGAGAAGAGTGGAAAGACTATAGCTTGACCACTCAGGAATAATCACGATAAATATTTTGTTTTATAATTCTTCCTTAAGTTTTCCCTTTCATACCCCAAATGTGTATGTGTGCATAATATAGGACAGATGGGATTGCATCAAACACCATTCTGAAGCTTTTTCCCACTTACAAGTACATGGAGCTCTTGCCGTGTGATCAATGGAGAAGCAGTGTCACTGAACTGTCCTCACAGTTCATTTAACCCATTTTCTCCTGATGGACCTTTCAGTCCTTCTCAGTCTTTTCGTGTGTAGACGCCTGGGTATTTCCTTAGGACAAATGCCTAGGTGTTGAGTTACCAGATCAAAAGGCTTGTAATTTTAAAAGCCTTCTGAAACAAGCTTGAAATCTCCCCACATGGATGGGAGTGGCCATTTTTTCTCATGCACTATCCAGTCATATCCCTCACCATTTCCTGTTGGAGTTTTTGATTTCATTAGTTTATATAAACTCTGTATATGTACGTTTATACCTTTAGGTTTGTGTATTTATGATGTCATAAAAATTTCCCAGTTTGTCATGCAATTAGAGAAATACACACACACACACACACACACACACACAGTTTTTTTCTTTCCGTCGAGACGGGTTCTCACTGTGTCAGCCAGGCTGGAGGGCAGAGGTGTGATCTCGGATCACTGCAGCCTTGACCTCCCCAGGCTCAAGTGATCCTCCCATCTCAGCACCCCCGAGTAGCTGGGACTACAGAGGCATGCCACCATGACTGGCTAATTTTCTATTTATTTTTATTTTTTATTTTTTTTTGTACAGATGGGATTTTGCCATGTTTCCCAGGCTAGTCTCGAACTTGTGGCCTCAAGTGATCCACCTGCCCCGGCCTCCCAAAGTGCTGAGATTACAGGTGTTAGACACCACACCCAGCCAAAAATCATCCTTTTGCAACCTCTTTTTGGTTCTAAGAAAGAGGGCCGGGCACGGTGGCTCATGCCTGTAATCCCAGAAAGAGCATTCCCACCCCAAAACTATAAAAGGTTATTAAATTTTAAAATATTTCTGTGGATATTTTTGTTCCATTTAAAAATACTATCTATTTACAGTTTCTATTTGAAATTTATTTTGTAATAGGATGTGAGAGGGAGCTCACCTTATTTTTTTCCTTCAAATATTCAGAAAATTGTTCCGACTGAGTTATTTCTCTCCTGTCCCCTTAACTGGCAAGCCCCCTCCAGCCAACCCGAGTGCTGCCAGTGGCTTGCCTGCCCATTCAGGGAGATGGTGATGGTTTTCCTCCCTGCCCTCTTCTGAAGACGAGCGCCCTGAGAGCAGGAGTAGGAGGTGCTCAGGCAGTGTAGGGTGAGTGGCATCGTGCGTTGAGGTAGAGTTTAGGAAACCCTTAGTGCAGGGCTTGGCACCGGCAGACCTCACTGGTGGGCAGGTATTCCTGTGCTCGCAGATGGAACTGAGTGAACCTGGTGAGGATGGATTGTCACGCATTTGGTTCCTCCAGCTCCTTTTGTTTGATTTAAGCATAGTTGTTATCGATTCAAGGCAGCGTGGCTTGGTGGCAAGGCTTGTGTGCTCTGGTAGCCGTGAGTGCTGTGTGTGAATCCCAGCTCTGCCTGTCAGACACCTCGGACCACATCTGTAGGATGGGGATCCTGCCTGCCTTGCCCGTGGTAAGGATTAAAGGAGCTGATTTGCCTGAAGGGGTCTGCATTGTACCTGACACAATGGTGGTGGCCATTGCTTCTTCAATTATGGGAACTTATGTTAAAAAGGGAAGTAAACATTTTATGTAAATATTGAGAAAAGTACTAGGTATCTAGGATGAATCAGTTACTGTAAAAGGGCACAAAGTTTTTTTTTTTTTTTTTTTTTAACTTTCCTAGCTGCTTAGCACAGATACGAGGCATGAGGGTGGCAGATCAGTGTATGTCGGCCGGGCACAGTGGCTCACACCTGTAATCCCAGCACTTTGGGAGGCCGAGGCGGGTGGATCACCTGAGGTCAGGAGTTTGAGACCAGCCTGGCCAACATGGTGAAACCCCGTCCCTACTAAAAATACAAGCATTAGCTGGGTATGGTGATGCACGCCTGTAATCCCAGCTACTCGGGAGGCTGAGGTGGGAGAATCACTTGAACCCAGGAGGCAGAGGTTGCAGTGAGCTGAGATCACGCCACTGCACTCCAGCCTGGGCGGCAGCGAGACTCCATCTCAAAAAAAAAGTTTTGGTCTATTTTTATTGATACGTAATAGGTGTATATATTTTCAGGGAACATACATGTGTTAGGTAGGTCAGATTCTTGTATGTTTTGGGTGAAAAAAGGATTCAGTTTGGAGAACAAGACTCTTTCTGAAGTACAAGAGATGTCACATGGACCCTCATCAGGGCGGTCAGCTGATTTGATGGCTGATGTTGGTGGAGGGGCAAACTGGAAATCACAGTCCTAGCCCTGTGGTCTGCTGCCCAGGTGCCCTGGCTGTCACCTCACCCCATGGAGCTCCTGGCTCCTCAGCTGTGCAATGAAGACAAGTCCAAGAGCGAGGACATGAGAAGAGACAAGAATGTGCTGGAAGTCTTGTACTGGAGTAATGTTGATGCTGGAGAAATGTTGGCTTCTTAGTTGAAACAGGCTGGGTGCTGTGGTGCATGCCTGGAATCTCAGCACTTTGGGAGGCCAAGGCAGGAGGATCACTTGAGGCCAGGAGTTTGAGACCAGCCTGGGTGACATAGCAAGACCCCTGTCTCTACTAAAAAGGATAAAATATAAAATAAACAAACAAACAGTAAAGACTATTTGTAAAAGGTAGAGTAATAGCCTTCCTATGGATACCTTATGGTTTTGTCCTAAAAACACTTGGGATTGAGTCATAAACCCATAAGGCATTTTTACTAAGAGTTGGTGTAACAAGAAGATATTCTTTTATTCATCTGTGTATTCATTCAGTCAACAGTTGCACAAAAACAGACACAGTCCTTGCTATATTGCAGTGCCTACATTCTAGTGGGAGAGGCAGATACAGAGTCGGAATCACAAAAGAAATCTAGAGTTGAAACCAGAAAAGGCTGTAGAGAAGAGTCAGAGAAATGTACGCATAAGGCATTCTTCATGTCTCCACTGAGAGGTGTCAGGCTTCGAGCAGCCCTGGACCAGCGTGCGGGTCTGTCTTGGTAGGGCCGGTGGTTGAGATGCTGTGGTCTCATCAGTTGCCCCGATTGGGGAATGTTTCTGTAGGAGATAACTTACATTTTACCAGTATTCCTTTAATTCCTCTTTGTCTTTATTATAGTATTTTTTTTTTTTTTGAGACAGAGTTTTGCTCTTGTTGCTCAGGCAGGAGTACAAGGGTGCGATCTCAGTTCACTGCAACCTTCACCTCCCGGGTTCAAGTGATTCTCCTGCCTCAGCCTCCCAAATAGCTGGGACTGCAGGTGCCTGCCACCATGCCTGGCTAATTTTTGTATTTTTAGTAGAGATGAGGTTTCACCATGTTGGTCAGGTTGGCCTTGAACTCCTGACCTCAGGTGATCCACCTGCCTCAGCCTCCCAAAGTGCTGAGATTACAGGCTTGAGCCACTGTGCCTGGCCTTATTACAGTATTTCTAATATTGTTCAGTAAAGACAGATGGTGGATCAAAGAGGATGTTTTTGACTTGTGAGGAAAAATGTATTCATAATTTATGGGGAAAAGTTTTCTTCGTAAAGATCACAGGGGTGGCTTTCAGGACCATTTCTCAAAGAGATAATGGTGGTTGCAGTTTCAGGTTGAACCACAAACATTTATTTTAAAAAACCCCAACAGGAAATTCCGTGTTGATGGTTAGTCATCTGCGGGAGCTTAGGTGTTTGTTTATAGTCAGTCCTAGACTGTACGGGTGTGTCATGCTCTTCCTGTGCACGCTGTATTGCTCACTAAAATAAGGTTAACATATTTTCAGGCTATTACTCATTAAACCAAAAGAGGGGAGCAAGTGGTTTAGGGATGATCATCAGTCTGATCTGGAGGCGCAGGCTGCCTGTGTCGGCCTCAGCGCAGCGTTCCAGTCTTCCCTGGGGGAGTTCTCCCTGCTGTCCTTGCCCAGCACCTTCTACAGCCCCTGCCTTTGGGGTGACTGCTCCCCTGCTCACGTTGCCTCCCATGGCCCATTCTTTTGGTGTTGCCAAGAACCAGGCTGAGACAGGTTGGAAATGCTCCAATAATTTCTACTCAGGGAGAACAGAAACGAAAGCCTTCCAGGAACCGCGCCTGCAGAACACAGAAGTGCTCAACAGAAGTGCGAAGATGCTGCTGAGGACAGCTCCGCTGCCCCCGCTGTGAGGACTGCCCCCACCCGGGGCTGCACCCAGAGCTGCACCCAGAGCTTCCTTCCCTCCTTCATTCCGACCCAGCCTTCCCATGGGCCCAAGGGAGTGAAGGCAAAAGCTCCTTCTCAGCGTGTGGATGCAGCCAGGGAGCAGTGGTGGATGGCTACATCCTGTGTCCCCATGCCCACAGGAGGAGGGGTAGGGGCCATTTCCTAAGCTGGGACCCATGAGGTCCTGAGGCTGCAGCAGGATCTGTCCCCAGGGCAAAGGGGCCCTAGGGCTCTGGTTGATGGCCAGCATTCCCCAGAACGTATTCTCTGAGCCTGTGCACCAGCTCCCCGTTGCCACACTGAGACCCCCTTGGTGGCATCAGCTGGCTCCTGAGACGATGCCCCTGGTTCCGAGGAGCACTGATGCAGTGGCTCCTGCTCAGGGCTGGAGGGTGCACTCTTCCTTCCTGATGCAGAGCTCTGGCTAGAGGCAGGAGCAGCCTCCCCTGTGGAGGTGGGTGACCGGTGGCCAGCGAGGTGGGTTCTGTTGACTCCCTTCCACCGTGGGGCATGTTTGTGCCTCCGCTTCCTCGGCGTCTGTTTTCGGACAGGTTTTGTGGCCAGAAACCTGGGACCCCCATCTGTGCCTCTGCTTCCTTGGTATCCGTATTTGGATGGGTTCTGTGGCCAGGGACCTGGGACCCCCATCTGTGCCTCCGCTTCCTCGGCGTCCGTGTTTGGGCAGCTTCTGTGGCCAGGGACCTGGGACCCCCAAAGTGCGAGGGTTCCTTTTCCTCCCCGTCTTGTCACATTTGACTTTTGGTGTGTCCTCACAGATCTGGGGGGCTCCAGAGCCCCTGTCGAGGTCAGTTTGCCCCAGTTTGGGAGTCAGACCGGGGGGAGGGGGTAGAACGCATCAGCTGGGGACCCAGCTCCAGCCATCCCTGCACAGCTGTGACGCCTGGGCCAGACGCGTCTCTGTGAACGTGGGCTGGGTGAGGCTTTGACTTCGGCTCACCGTGGGCTCATTGGTGGCCCGGGCCTGGCATGGGAGACAGCATACAGTTGTCTGCACTCCGGCTGACAGGAGCAGATGTTCCGACTGCATTCCCAGCACACATTCTGAGACCGTCTCTGTCCATTTCACCAAAAAAGCTGCCATGACTGTGTTTAGCGTCAACTTGGGTGGCCATAAGGGAGGCTTGCTTGTGTAGACAACAGGTGAGTTGTCACCCTCGTGTCCTGATTTTAGCAGGAGAGTACAGCTTGATAGCATCTACTCTCTGGTCTGTACTCACTGAGCCATCACTCCGTCCTGTTCTGCGGCTCGTGCTGATGGCACGGATCTCGGTGGCTGCTGTGCCATTGCCTGGCCAGGGCATCCTGTCCTGGCATCACAGAGACCATATCTGCACCTGGCTTGGCCCAGGGTATGGCACAGAAGTGTTTAGCAGCCCTGAGCTATCCTTCTCACTTTCTTTGGCCTGCACGTTTTCTGGCTGATGCCCAGTGTAATGAATGCAGAGTTCTAGGAGGACCATCGGGAAGCATGGCTTTGAATAATGACTCACTTTGGAGCTCTGGAAACAGCTTTGCATGTCATTTGGGTGGCAGATGTTTAACCGTTTACATCCCCTGATTCATGGGTGCTGAGCACTGGGCCGGCTTCCTAGGAGACAGCCCTGGGCCCCTGTGCCAGCCTCACAGCGAGGCTGCCACCCAAGCTCAGGTGGCAGCTGCGCAGCCTATGGGTGCTGACCCGGGCCTGTGGTTCACCCGCCGGTAGCCAAAGCGGCTTCACGGAAGAGCTGGGCTATTCATTTATTTAATGACTCTGAATTTCTGCAGCTGCTCTCCCCGCCTCAGGGTACACGTCTGCGGGGAATCCTGGCAGGCCTGCACTTTATTCTTCATGCACCAACTTTCCCCCATCCCTGTCCCTTACTTAGATGGCCCTCAGGGCAGGTGGCACAGAGTCTGCTCCACATCCCTCCCTGAAAAGTCGGGGAGGAGCCAACTCCGAAAGGAGTTTCTTCAGGGGACCGCCTGCTCCTGCAGGAGGCTCGCCTGCCGCCCACCTCTGCTGACGTCCGCTGTGTATACTGAAATTTTTTGTTCCCTGTGACCCAGTTGCTCACACAGGAAGCCGATTACTCATTCACTATTTTTCCCTTTCACTGTGTGAGATGCGGCTCTAAAAATGGAATCTTAAACAAATGTGCTGAGTGATGCCGATTCAGTGAACACGGCACGGCTGTGTACATGACGCTGCGCTGGGTTCCGGGCCTTGCCCTCCGAACTCGCTCTCTAAGGAATGGGTATGGCCTTAAGTGCAGAGGGCCCGCCAGCCCTGGGCCCCGGGGAGCCATCGCCCCTCCCAGGAGCAGCTGAGGTCCCTTCCAACCACAGGTACACCTTACTTTATTGCCCTGCACAAAGAATGTATGCTTTTTTCCTTCCTTCCTTCCCTCCCTCCCTCCTTTCCTCCTTCCTTCCCTTCCTCCTTTCCTCCCTCCCTCCCTCCCTCCCTCTCTCCCTGCCTCCCTTCTTTACTCCCTCCCTCCTTCCCTCACAAATGGAATGTTTGTAGTAGCCTGAGGAACTCTTTTGGCGCCATTCTTCCAGTAACATGTGCTCACTTAGTGTCTCTGTCAGCATTTTTTAAGCAATAAAGTATTTTTAAATTAAGATATGTACATTATTTACACACTGCTATTACACACTTGGTAGACTACAGTATAGTGCAAACAACTTTTGTATGCACTGGGACACCAAAGCATTGGTGTGACCTGCTTTATTGTGGCAATCTGGAACCGAGCCTGCAGTGTGACTGAGGTGCGCTGTGCTAGAATCCTGGGATTCCTGAATGAAAGGATTTGCCTTTCTGTTCCCAAAGGTTTCAACCTTCAATGCAGAGACAAGACTAACACTTATGGAAGCAACTGAAAGCCCATTTAAAGCCCATTTAAAATAAGACTGGGTAGGACATGTGGCAGGGCGTGCCACCTGTGGCCTGGGGAGGAGGTGCCCATGGGGTGTCTGGAGAGAGCGTCCACGGAGAGGTGGAACCTCGATTACTCCTTGGAGCATCCTTGGAGGATGGAGGAGATGGGGGAGGATGGCTGCTTCCAGTGGGCCTGGAAGTAGTGGGGAGGTGAGGTCGAGTCTTGGATGCAGGCCAGGGATTTGGGACTCGGCTGTTGGACAGGCAGTGGGAGCCAGGACCTGCTCCGTGAATGCCAGTGTGGTGGCATCTTCTTGGTGAAGGCATCCCAGATGTCTCCTCCTTGTGGGCTTTCGTTTCTTTAACAGAGAGCACATGGAGAGCGCATCCCTAGGTGGTGTTAGAATTCCCTTTTGGAACCATCCGTGTCAAATGTGACAAGTGCGTATGTGGCCCATCCGTGTCTTGTGGCCTCTTGTACATGTGGTCCACACCTTGGTGCATTATTCACCTGTCGGGGCCAGGGGCTCACAGCCCAGGGTGGGCATCCAGTGCCCTTCTTGTCATCCCCATCTTCCTCGTGCATGGGGGTTGTGTCTGCACACTTCTGCTCTGTCTCCTCTTGCACGCTTTGGCTTTGATCCTCCAGCTTGTATCTGCAGCTTACACGTGGGACTCCCTGTGAGTGATCAGAGTGGATTTCAGGCACCCCAAGGTCTAAGGCCTGCAGAGGCGTCCTTGGCAGTGGAGTTGCCTTCCTGAAGGTACGGGAAGGTGGACCTTCCCTGGCCCCTCTGCCTGGAAAACTTTTACATCTTTAACTTGTAATTTTATATTCCACGTGCCTTCACGTGAAGTATCAGTATTTTCATTATTGAAAGCTAGAAGCAAGAAAGAACTATCTTAGGAAATTGCATGTTTTATGAATTACCGCTGTGTTTTCCCATTGCCTTTATTCACAGGGGTTAGTACCAGGCTGCGTGCAGGTTTCCCGCCTCCCATGCCAGGTGTTGCAGAGGAGGTAGTCTCGGGGAAGGCTTCTTAGGAGAAATAGGGTCAGCCTGAGCCCTGGGCTCGAGCTGCGTCTGTGCCTGGACTCTGCTTGGGGGCCCGGTGGAGGGGCCTGGTTTGGAGCCGGCCCAGCAGCTTTGCTTCACCTGCAAGTAGCTCGTGTTCCAGCCCAAAACCTTCTTGCAGCCAGCGGTGTGCCCCTTTGTGGTATGGTTGTGAGGCTCGGTTAAGTAACTGCATGAGCACCTTGTAAGCTGGGAGTCACCGAAGGACAGTGACTCTCCTCCCCGAGAGGAGCGTGCCCGACCCTGAAATCGAGATTGGCCACAGGGCCAGATTCCCGGGCTCTGTCCTAGACGTTTCCTGGGAGCCGTCTCACTGGGTGGTTGGAGCCACCTGAGAACAGGGCCACGTGTTGGCAAGTGCTTTGTTCTACTCCGGTGTGGCGTAGAGAGAAGCTCAGTCGGTCCTCAGGGGAGTGGCTGTCTCCACTGAACCCACCTGGACTGTGATGTCCACTCCCTGTCACGGTCAGGGTCCTTGCTGGGAAGGATCTTGGTGAGCTGCTGAGCTTATGAAAAGTCATCAGACGTCATCCTGTGGATGACTGACACCTGGAAACTGTCCCTGGTGGCAGCATGGGTGCTGCTTGAGGACTCAGTTTGTTTGTTTGTTTTGTTTATTTATTTAGAGATGGAGTCTCGCTCTGTCACCCAGGCTGGAGTGCAGTGGCATGATCTCGGCTCACTGCAACCTCCGCGTTCAAGCGGTTCTCCTGCCTCAGCCTCCTGAGTAGCTGGGACTACAGGCACGTGCCACCACATCCAGATAATTTTTGTATTTTTAGTAGAGATAGGGTTTCACCATGTTGGCCAGGCTGGTCTCAAACTCCTGACCTCAGGTAATCTACCCGCCTCAGCCTCCCAAAGTGCTGGGATTATAGGTGTGAGCCACTGCACCCAGCCTGACTTTATTTTTGTAGCCTTGGCCCAGGGCATGGTGCCCAGCCCACAGGGGCACCCGCTGAGTGCCATTGAAGGGTGGAGTGTCATGGAAGTCTGTAGATGTGTCATCTATGAAGTCATGGCGACTTGGTGGAAGGCCATGCTGCCATAACCATTTCCAAATGGTGTAACTCAGTGAGTTTAATAACCTTGAAAGCATGTTAGTTTTCTCATAGGAAACAAACAAACAAAAAAGCAAATAATTCAAGGAGTCTCTGAGTTTTTCTAGGTCAGAAATACAGTAAGAACAGCTCATATTATTTTTAGTAGAGTTCTTTTTCTTTCCAGTGAATGTCAATAGGGATTGAAGTACATGTGATTTTTTTTAAATGGAGAAGGGTTGTCTTTTTTTTAAACAGACATTTGAGTGAAAATTGAAAGCGTTCTATTATTGAAAAATGTTTATTTTTCTAAATCTACATTTTGAACTTTACTAATATGGAGCCACTGAAAACTTGAGTTGGGATGAAGTTTCTGCCGCTTATGCATAGTAAAAAGCGCTTCCTGAGTAAACGAGCGGTTTAAGCAGCAGCAAGGGAGGGGCACCGCCTTGACACTTTTGGGCTCTTTGCCTTGTCTCCCGTGCTAGTAATTCATGCTGCCTCATCTCTCCAGTGTCTGAGACAGGAAGAAAGAACAGGAATGGACATAGCAAGTTTGATCACCAATGAGTTGTTATGATACATTTTAAGTACATTATTGGCTTGACGTTGAGACGCCTCCTCTGTGGAATGCAATATTGGCCTGGACGTGAATGGAAACAGCAGAGGGGGGCATATAGTGGCTTGGGGCCGCGGGATGGGAAGGGCCGCAGAGCAAGCCTGCTCCCCCGTTAATGGGTGTTCTCTCTGCCATTCCAGCACTTGCACCTCCTGCGCCGCCGCCCCCCATCCAAGGATATGCCTTCAAGCCTCCACCTAGACCCGACTTTGGGACCTCCGGGAGAACAATCAAATTACAGGCCAATTTCTTCGAAATGGACATCCCCAAAATTGACATCTATCATTATGAATTGGATATCAAGCCAGAGAAGTGCCCGAGGAGAGTTAACAGGTATTACGTTTCATCCTTCATGACCTGTGTAAGTGGTCTGCGCGGACAGACACGGCATTTAAACTAATCAACTCTGAAATTCTCAGCAGATCCATCTGGGTTTTTTCCAGAACGTTTCAGCTGCATTTGCTTTTCAAAAACAGTTTTTCAGAGTCAAACCTACGGATTGAAAAAAATATATATATAAATATATACCAAGTTTTTGTATTGAGACACAGTTTCAGGATAGTGAAATACATACATCGTAAATGCACAACTGGAAGAATTTCGACAAATGTATATACTGATCACCCTAGAAAGTTGCCTCATACCCTCTTCCGGTTACCCCCAGCCCCTAAAGTCACGGCATTCTGATGTGTGTCACATAGATTAGTTTCCAGGTCTGTATAGTGACACACCCTCAATCCCGACTGCTTTTACTCAGCAGAATTTATGAGACCCACCTGCGCCGTTGTGTGTATTTGTAGCTTATTTTTATTGCTAAATACTCTATTGCCTATTTCGTAGTCTGTTTTTCATCTTCCTTTTAAACACATGGGCAGTCTAGGCTGTGGCCATTATGAATAAGACTGCTGTGAACGTTCTTGTTGAAGTTCTTTTTGTGGAGGTGTTTTCGTCTCTCTTAAATAAATACCTAGGAGTAGAATTGCTGGGCCGAAGGGCAGCTGTGTGTTTAGCTGCATGTGAACCTGCCAAATAAATGGTGTTCCCATGCTCCCATCACGTTTTCCTCCCGTCAGCTCCGCTGAGTGTTTCCAAGGCCACCCACCCCCACCAGCACGCGGTGTGGTCAGGCGTGTTTTTTTGTGTGTTTCGGTGGGTGAGTAGTGGTTTCTCATTGTGGTTAATTTTCATTTCTCTGGTACCTGATGAGCTGAGCATCTTTCCATGTGTTTATATATTATTTTCATCGATTAAGTGATATATTATTTCCAGCAAAGTGTTGAAGTATTTTGCCTGTTTTGTTTTTTTTTTTTTTTTTACTGAGTTTCTTGTCTTTTTGTTATTGATCCGTGAGAGTTTTTAGTATATTCTAGATGTACATTGCATTTGTAAGCATCCTCCGGAGCGACAGAACCAATAGGATAGAGATACAGTCATGTACCGCATGACAACGTTTGGCCAGTGACAGACACATATACCACCGTGGTCCCAAAAGATTGTAAGGGAGCTGAAATCATAGCCCACGTAACGTAGTAGAGCAATGCGCTACCCTTTCTGAGTTTAGATTTTTTTATTTTTTCTTTTGAGATGGAGTCTTGCTCTGTCACCCTGGAGTCCAGTGGCATGAACTCAGTTCACTGTAGTCTCCACCTCCTGGGTTCAAGTGATTCTCCTGCCTCATCCTCCCAAGTAGCTGGGATTACAGGCACCTGCCACCACACCTGGCTAATTTTTTGTATTTTTAGTAGAGACAGGATTTCACCATATTGGCCAGGCTACTCTTGAACTCCTGACCTCAAGTGATCTGCCTGCTTCAGCCTCTCAGAGTGCTGGGATTACAGGCATGAGCCACTGGGCCCGACCTAGGTATATGTAGATGTACACATCCTTACCATGGTGTTACAATTGCCTGCCGTGTTCAGCAGTCGTGTGCTGTACAGGTTTGTGGCCTAGGTGTGTGGTAGACTCTACCTCCTGGGTATATGTAAATATACTCTATGATGTTCACACTGCAATGAAATTGCCTGAGTGAATTTCTCAGGCCATATCCCCATGGTTAAGCCACGCATGACTGTACATATATCTATAGATATGAGAGGGGATTTATTAGGGGAATTGGCTCACATGATTGTAGAGGCTAAGATGTCCCACAGCAGGCCATTTACAAGCTGGAGACCCTGGAGTGTCAGTAGCGGGGCTCAGGCCAAGTCTGAAAGCCTTATAATCAGGGAAGCCAAAGACCTGGAACCCACAGGGCTGCTGCTATAAGTCCTAGAGCCCAAAGGCCAAGGGAGCCTGAAGTTCTGATGTCCGAGGCAGGAGGAAGACAGTGCCCCAGCCCCAGGAGGGAGAGAAGAAATCACTCTTTCTCTCCTTTTTTTCTGTCTGTGTCCCCAGCTGATTGGATGGCACTACCCACACTGGGGGCAGATCCCCACCTGGTCCCTGACTAACACGCAGTCTCCTCTGGAAGCAGCCACACAGACATGCCCAGAAGTCAAGCTTTACCAGTTCTCTGGATTATTCTTTAATCTAGACACATTGGCACCTAAAAATCAGCATCATACAAGTCTATACTGGGAATATTTTCTCCTAGTCCAAAGTTTGTCATCTCACCTTCCTGTTGGTGTCTTTCTTTTAATGAGTAGAACTTTTTAGTTTTGTTGAAGTCCAATTTATAAATTTTTAAAAATAGCTGTTACATAGTGTATTCTCTCTAGGAAATTTTTGCCTACCTAGGGATCATAAAGATATTCTCCTGTTTTTATTTTAGAATTATAGTTTTTGCTTGCATATTTAGTCCACGATCCATCTTGAATTAATTTTTATGTATGTTGTGAGGTAAGGGTCTGTTGAAAATACTTTTCTTTCCCCACTGATTTACCTGTTGACCTTTAAAAAAAATAATTTGATTGTACAGGTTGAGTATCCCTTACTGAAAATGCTTAGGACTAGAAGTGTTTCAAGTTTTCATTTATTTATTTATTTATTTGAATTTTGGAATATTTCCGTTACGCTTACCAGTTGAGCATTGCAGATCTGAAAACCTGACACCCAAAATGCTCCAATGAGCATTTCCTTTGAGCGTCATGTTGGTGCTCATAAAGTTTCAGATTTTGGAGCATTTTGGATTTGGGGTTTTCAGATTAGGGGTGCTCAACCTGTATATGTGGGTGGATCTATTTCTGGATTCTCTTCTGTGTTGTCTTTAGGCCAGGAACTCTTGGTCATTTTAACTATAGTTAAGTGGTAAGGCTTGAAATCCGATTAAATAATTCCTCCAAATTTGTTGTTCTTTACAATTGTTTTAGCTATTCTAGATCTATTGCTTTTCCAAGTATATAGAATAATAAATATAAATAACTTATCAATTTCTGCTAGAAAGCCCCTTTGAATTTTTTATTGTGGTCACTATGAATCTAAAGTATGCTATGTTCTTGGATGCTATTATAAATGGTTGTGTAAATTTTTCTTTTCCTGGAATGGTGGGGAGTGACTGCTGTTGAGTATAGTGTTGATTTTGGGGGTGGTAAAAATGTTCTAAGCCATGGTGATGGTTGCAGAACTCTGAATATGCTAAGAGAGAGAATGTCTGGGGACTTAGTTCTCATATCTGTAAAACTAAACAGTTGGATTCACTCAACATGTCCAGAGTATGTTGAGAGTTCTATGAGGTTCTTTAAATATGCACTTACTAAAACCATGTATTTCTGAACAAAAACTATGTGCACCACTGGGTTAAGCAGCTTTCTTTACTAAAGGTCTTCCTAGATCTTTTAGTATATCTCACTGCTGTGTGGCTCTCCATCAGTGGGACTGCTGGTTTGTTTTTGCGTTTCCCTGGGATAGAACCCTGTGTGAATCTGTGATTTAGGGGGTACTCCTAGAACCAGAATGAGAGCATAAAGCAGTATACACATTTCCTTTTTTTTTTTAGAGACAGGATCTTGCTCTGTTGCCCAGGTTGGAGTGCAGTGGCATGATCTGGGCTCACTGCAACCTTCACCTCCTGGGTTCAAGCGATTCTCGTGCCTCAGCTACCCGTCCGGAGTAGCTGGGATTGCAGGCATGCGCCACCACACCCGGCTAATTTTGCATTTTTAGTAGAGACTGGGTTTCACCATGTTGCTCAGGCTGGTCTCAAACTCCTGGCGTCTTGTGATCTGCCTGCCTTGGCCTCTCAAAGTGCTAGAATTACAGGCGTGAGCCTGTTTAGTAGAGACAGGGTTTCACCATGTTGCCCAGGCTGGTCTCAAACTCCTGGCCTCAAGCAGTCTGCTCACCTTGGCCTCCCAAAGTGCTGGGATTACAGGTGTGAGCCACTGTGCCTGGCCCACATTTTCTGGGCTGTTGACTGGTGCGGTAGCAGGGGGGCCCTTAGGCCATCGACCACAGTACACAAGCAGCTTTCTTTTACGAAACTAGGCATGGCCAAGGCTTCGTTATCTGACACCAGAAAGAAGCTGAGGGTGATGAGAACGTGATGTCTTTCCAGGACTGTGCTACTACACTCCTGTGGTTTCGCCTGCCAGGCTCAGGTCACGCAGTTGGTAAGCAGCAAATGCAGGGCAAGAGCTGCATGCACAGGGCCAAGGCCAACCTGCTAGGCTATGAGCAAGCTTGAGAGTGGCTGCCTAGACGGAGGAACCTTTAGGCCCTATCTCAAAATTATAATCAATCAAAACAGCATAGGAAAATGTCAGAAGTAAAATGTTTGTGCTCACAAGACCTGTGTGGGAGCCCTGGCCTACCTCCTGCCTCCTCCCATGACCCACCTTCCTGAGACCCCCCGCTCACACATCAGTTGCAGTGCCCTGGGGGTGCAGTGGTGGCTGAGGCAGACATGGCTCCTGTCCCCAGTGGGGAGGTGGATGGTGCTCATGGTCAGCGCCGCTGGAGGGGAGCTCCGAGTGGAAAGGGAGACGAAGGTGGGGCCCTGAGCCCATCATGAGTCTGGGCTCCTCCGTCGTGCTGCTCAGCATCTCCTTCCCATTTCTCTTACCACACTGCAGCCTCTGTGAGAGCAAGGATGGCGTCTTAGTCGTGAGTTCCCAAAACCTTGTACAATGCCCCGGGTAGATGTTTAATGAGTCCAACACAGAGGCTTTATCCAAGGCCATGAGAAAAATGCCCTTGCACCTCAGTTACCTCTGTGACATTCTGACAACTACACAGTGAAGCAGCCTCAGTGCCCTCAGGCCCTGCAGTATAGTCCACCCCTTTCCCGGGGCTGCCGGGGTGGGGTTTGGTGCAAGCAAGACCCTTCCTCCCAGGAGCGTCCCGTACAGCTGTGGGCACCAAGGTGGCTGCACAACACAGCCAGTCTTGAGCCAGCCCCGAGAAAGAATGGGGGCAAGGCCCACACGACCTAAGCCTTGCTGAAGTCACGTGGGCCTTGCCCCCATGCTCTGTTCCGAGAAGCACGGGTGGGCTGCGAGGAGGAGGTGGGCTCCTCTCCCTTCCCCTGCCCCTCTTCCTCCTTGTTCGTCTTGAGCTCCGTCAAGTGGCCCCAGAAGAACCAGCAGATGCGATGGCCCTGTGCCTGTGGAGCAGGGGGCCAGGCAGCATGGCTGTGTCACACTCAGCCTTGCGCCTAGAGCTCTGTGACTCTGGGCATGAGCCACTCACGGGAATGCAGGTGGACCCTGCCTGTTTACAAGACAGTCTGGTGCGGGTATTGCAGGTATTAAAGCAGAAACATCGTGTACCCTCTGACCCACCCGTTCTCCTTCTCAGTCTCTATATCTCAAGGAGATGTATAGGATGACTACTCTGAAAAAAAAAAAAGAACAACAAAAGACACCATCTAAGTATCAGTAGGAAGTGGTGGGTTAGAGGAGTGCGCTGGGGCATGCAGTGTGGTGCTTAGCAGGAGTGGAATGGGGCTCCCAGGCTGACCTCCAAGCTCAGAAACACAGGCAACTAAGTAGCAAGTGGTTAGGTGGTAACACTAAGGCACATGATTACCGTGTCTGTAGTTCTAGACCTAGTGGCGACATTGTATACAGTTAGGAGGAAAGATCCCAAAGACACAGAGTAGGAAAATGGGCGCCTCAGAAGTGTGGGTTTGATACCATGTGTATAAAAATAATAAAACAATGTATTTCTGGATAGCTGTGTGTTTATGTGAAAGCATAGGTTTGAAAAGGATAAGGTTACTTCTTAGAATGGGGATTGAAATGAGTGGGTACTGTAAACAGACTTTTAGCTTTTTGTTTTTTTTTTTCTTTTTGAAACAGTGTCTCCCTCTGTTACCCAGGCTGGAGTGCAGTGACGCAGTGATGGCTCACTGCAACCTCAACCTCCCGAGGTCAAGCAATCCTTCCACCTCAGCCTCCCAAGTAGCTGGGACCACAGGCGCGCACCACCACACTCCACTAATTTTTAAATACGTTGTAGAGATGGGGTCTCTCTGTGTTGCCCAGGCTGGGACTTTTAGCTTTATCGTTATGTGAAACTTTTGGTGAGAATGTATTAAGGCAAAAGCTGTGTAATTAGAAATTAATGAAAGGATGACATTTGTAAAAGAGGGAACCTCTCAGAATTATGACAAAAGGGCAAACAGGCAAACGGGGCAGACACTTGCTTCTCGGCATTAGCAACACGCTCCGGCTTCTGCAAGGCGGCCCCGGCCCCGTGCGGGGTGCTGCTTGGCGCTGCCCTTTCCCTGGGTGGCGACTGAAGAGGGAGCTGTCCCCACTAAGAACTTGGCAGAACGAGCACTAACAGCTTGGCCGTGGTTCTCCTTTTCCTTCGTTTCAACATGGGTCACTCTCTTAGAGGCTGGGGCCCCACTGGTGGACGGAATGCATGCAAATGAACTCCTGGGCTGTCATCTTTTTTGGGAGGTCAAGGGCAAGCCTGAGACCTGGGTGGCCAGCAGAGCTGGCTCTGCAGAAGCAGGGACGCTTGCTCACTTTCCAGTGCCTGCGCCGGCTCGAAACGAAGGACCAGATTCAGGGACTCCGCGAGCAGGGTCCCCAGGTGGCTCCGTGGGCTGGCTGGGAAGTTAGTGCCTCACAGGTACAGTTTCACTTTGGGGAAGTGAAAATCATTTGTGGACAGAGGGTGGTGATGGTCGCACAACAGCATGGACACACTCAATGCCGCTGAACTGAACACTTAGTTGAAATGGTCAATTTTATGTTATCTGTATTTTATCACAGTTTTACAAAGAAAGAAAATTAACTGCCAAATACGTGGTCATGTGTGTTTGAGGAGGGAAGGGACCCCCCGTGTTAGAATTAGGCAGCAAGGTGCCATCCTGCTGCCACAGCCACGAGGTCCAGTTTCTCTGCTTTACACAAGATCGGCCCCTCCTCACCCTCGGCACTGGGCCCCGAGGCATGGGGGCTGCGAGCCGGTGGCCAGGGATGCTCTCTCTGGGCGGCGGAGGCCTGAGTGGTGGCCAGGATTGTCTGCCAGCCGACTCCACGGGTGTGCATTGTAGCCCCTCAGGGCACTGCCTCACTGGCATGACCGAACAGCCTCCTTCTCTTGAGAGATCCGCCCAGCCCAAGCCGCACGCCGTGCTGGGTGTGCAGGATGAGCTGGACCTGACCCCGCCTCCAGGGGCCTGCAGGACCGTCAGTGAGCGGAGTGATCATGCCGAGTGCTGGATGGGGCTCGGAACAGTGAATGTTCATCCAGAGGAGTGTCTCCAGTAGTGGGGCTCGGTTGTATTTCCTTGAATCCTGGGTGTGTGTGGTTGCCTGCCATAAGTCATTGAGAAGTGTGTCCTGCCCTCTGTCTCCTGCCACCCCCATCCCTGGGCCTGTTTCTGGGCTCTGGACTCTGGGCTCTGTCCCGAGCTCTCTGCCTGCCCCAGCGCCATGGCCTCCCTCCAGCTGCTCCTCCTCAAGAATACCTGCCAGCCTTTGTCCTCAGATTTCTACTTCTATTTTAGGATGAGTTTGTTAAATCCTATCAAATAAAAATACATCCCTCTCTGGATTTTTACTGAAATTACCTTTATGTAGGCCTATGATCTTTAAAAAAGGTATACACTCCTGTAAGAACCACCACAATCAATAGGACATGCTAACAACCCCAAAGCACCTGCCCCATTGCAGTTAAGTGTGTTGTCCCTTGCCCCAAGGCAAACACAGACCTGCATTCTGTCAGTGTAGATTGTTTTTGCCTGTCAAAGGGTTTCCTATACGTGGAATCATTATCATTGTATACCTGTTCCTCCTGGTGGCTGGCTTCGTTCCCCAGGCATGTTTCTTTTTTTTTTTTTTTTTTTTTGAGATGGAGTCTTGCTCTGTCGCCCAGGCTGGAGTGCAGTGATGTGATCTCGGCTCACTGCAAGCTCCGCCTCCCGGGTTCACGCCATTCTCGTGCCTCAGCCTCCCGAGTAGCTGGGACTACAGGTGCCCGCCACCACGTCCAGCTAATTTTTTGTATTTTTAAGTAGAGACAGGGTTTCATTGTGTTAGCCAGGGTGGTCTCGATCTCCTGATCTCGTGATCCACCTGCTTCGGCCTCCCAAAGTGTTGGGATTACAGGTGTGAGCCATCGCGCCTGGCCCGCCAAGCGTGTTTCTAAGACACCCGTCGTGTTGCGTGTAGCGGTGGATTCAAGTATTGCATTGTGCGGGTGTGGCATCATGGGTTTGTCCACTCATCAGCTGATGGACATTGATTTGAATTGTTTCCAGTCTGGAGCTGTTATACACATTTGTATGCAAATGTTTGCGTGGATGTGTGTTTTCATTTTTCTTGTGTCAGAAGTTGCTAGACAGGGTGGTAAATAGACACTGAAACCACACTTTTTCCCCAAAGCAGTTGCATCAGCCTCGTAGAAGAGAGCATTTCCCTCCGCCTTCACCAGCTCTTGGTATTGTTACCCTGTCTGATTTTAGCCTTTCTGCTGGATGTCTGTGGCTTCATTTCCATTTCCCTAAAGCCGAGTGATGAACACCCTTTGATGTGCTTACCCGCCATTTGTGTATCCTCTTCTGCCATGTGTCTGGTCAAATATTTTGCTCATTGAAGTTGGATTATCTTCTTACTGAGTTGTAAGAATTTTCCTAAATACATTATGCATACAAGTTCTTTGTTAGATGTGTGTCTTTGTGATTATGGAATATTTCCTCCCAGTTGATTGCTCATCTTTTTGTTTTTGTTTGTTTGTTTTTGAGATAGAGTCTCACTCTGTCATGCCCAGGCTGGAGTGCAGTGGCACAATCTCGGCTCACTGCAACCTCTGCCTCCTGGGTTCAAACGATTCTCCCGCCTCAGTCTCCCAAGTTGCTGGGATTACAGGTACCCACCACTACACCCAGCTAATTTTTTGTATTTTTAGTAGAGACGGGGTTTCACCATATTGGCCAGGCTGGTCTCAAACTCCTGATCCCAAGTGATCCGCCTGCCTCCCAAAGTGCTGAGATTATAGGCGTGAGCCACCGCGCCTGGCCTTGTCTTTTCATTTTTATAATGGTGCCTCTCTCTCTCTTTTTTTTAAGAGATGGGTGAAAGTTATTAATTTTAATGGAGCCTAGTTTATGAATTTTTCCTTTAGGGACATTTCTTAGAAATTTTTGTCTATCCCAAGTTTTAGGAACGTTTTTATCTTATGTTTTCTTCTAGGCATTTCTCAGTTATAGCTTTTAGGTTTATAACCTGTTTCATGTTAATTAATTTTATAATGTTAAATACAACCTTTTGTTTCTGGTATCGACTGAACTTTGACATGATGATTTATTTTTGAACATGTTGCTAGATTCAGCTTGTTAATGTCTTGTTCCTGCTTCTGTTTGTAAGTGATTGGCCCATGATTTCTTAGTACTCTTCCTGTCTGGTTTCAACCTAAAGGTTTTGCTAGCCTCATGAAATGAGTCAGGGTGTGTGCCATCTTACTCTGTTCAGGTCAGGTTTGAATTAGGCCAGAATGATTTGTTCTTTGAATGTGAGTAGAACCCACCTTCCCCTCCAATGGAGCCATCTGCACCTCAAGTTGATTGTGCAGTCCTGGCCAGGGAGATGAGGGCCTCCGAAGGTTGGGGACCCTTTGTAATGTTTGGAGAGTGCAGAGGAATGAGCTGTCCTCTTGCGAGAGCTGCAGGGCATCCCTTGTCTTGGGCAGCCCAGAGCAGGTCAGGGAGGTGCCAGGTGAGATTGTGCCCTGGCTGCCAGGGAGGTGCCAGGTGAGATTGTGCCCTGGCTGCCAGGGAGGTGCCAGGTGAGATTGTGCCCTGGCTGCCAGGGAGGTGCCAGGGGAGATTGTGCCGTGGCTGCCAGGTAGGCATGGCAGGGATGGATGCCAGGGCCATGCTGACGGCCTTCGGGGCTGTTCCCTGCCCAGGCTGGATCTCCCAGCACTGTCAGAGGCGGGTGCAGCTTGGTGGAGCCCTCAAAGATGTCACTGAGAGGCTCTGGGCATCTGCCACGGGCACTCCCCAGACCGCAGGTGTTGAGGGCAGGTTAGCTGGATCCCTGAGACCCTCTTCCTGTGGCTGTTGGAGGTGGACCAAGCAAAGCCATTCTGAATAAGGAAAGCCCTCCAGGCCAGCTTGCCTCGACTTTTGGGAAAGGAATGGAAGGAGTTGGCAGGTTCTTGCTTCCTGAGAGATGACTGAGGCTCTGCCCAAGAGAAAGACCATTCTAGCCACGCTCCAATCCCACCTCCCTTCAGAAGTCTGTCAGTGACTCCCCCGCCCCCACCTTACCCTGCTGGTGGACTCCTCTCTCGCTCTTTACCACATCCCCTGAGCTGGCATTTCCTGGTAAAAAATCAAGATGTTAAGCACCCCATGGGCCTCTGCATTTCCCTCACATGGGCCTTTGTGGGCAGGCAGGGACCCCAGCTCTTCATATTTGCACTTTATCAGGCGTAGTGTGCGAGGGCAGGCATTTAGTGAGTTGGGTCAAAATGCCTCAGAACCCCCCTGAGCTGGGCACAGTGACTCATGCCGGTACTCCCAGCACTTTAGGAGGCAAAGGCAGGAGGATTGCCTGAGCCCAGGAGTTCGAGACCAGCCTGAGCAACATAAGGGAGGCCCCATCTCTACAAAAAAATTTAAAAATTAACTGGGCATAGTGGCCTGGGCGTGTAGTTCCGGCCGCTTGGGAGGCTGGGATGGGAGGATTGCCTCTGCCCGGGAGGTCAAGGCTGCAGTGAGCAGTAATCATGCCAGTGTACTCCAGTGATAGAGCGAGACTCTGTCTCTAATAAAATAAAATAAAACAAGCACCTGAAATGCCAGGAGAGTACTATGCCAAGCTGGTACCTCTTTGGAACAGAGCTGAAGGCCAGCAGGAGGTTTGCAGAGTGTGTTTCTGGAGGCCTCTCTGTCACGGTGGGGAAGTGGGGGTTGGGGGGTGGAGGGTGGGGGTCGTGGATCTCTGCTCATGGAGCCCTGCAGAGCAGCTCCCTTGCATCTAGCAGCCTTCTGCCATTGGAATGCCTGAGCCCCCAACACCAAAACCCCAGTCTCTCCCAGCAGCAAGCATCCGTCTCATACCATGGCTCTGCAAGTGGGCTGAGGTTTGGCTGGGCCCCTGGGTCAGGCTGGACTGGAGGGGTAGCAGCACCCGGGACTCATTCTTCTGGCAATCAGAGGAGCACAGAAGGCCAAGCCAGTCTCACAAACCCCTTGACTGGGGCTACAGAGCAAATCCTAGTGGCCACAGCAAGGCCCACAGCCGAGCTGAGCCACACCTGTCAGTCTGTGTGCACAGTGGGTAGCTGTGCAGAGGCATGGGCGCCTGACCCTACCTCCATGGAACACAAATGTCACAAGCTCTGTTCTTCTCGTCAGTGCCTTCACAGAGCTCCGGAGGTTCTGGAAGTGTCTGTCATCTGCTGTATGTGGCATATAAAGTGCCCAGCGCGTATCAGGTTCTCCCGTGTTTCACTAAAATGCACAAGCACAAACCCACTCATGGGTCTAGTTTGCTTCTTTATAGAAGTTGGAAGTCATGTTGCCCAAAGGAGCCACAGGTCTTGCAAAATTGCTTTAAAAATAGCATCAGAGGGCTGGGTGCGGTGGCTCACGCCTGTAATTCCAGCATTTGGGAGGCCAAGGCGGGTGGATCACTTGAGGTTGGGAGTTTGAGACCAGCCCGGCCAACATGATGAAACCTTGTATCTACTAAAAAAAAAAAAATACAAAAAATTAGCCAAGTGTGGTGGCGGGCACCTGTAATCCTAGCTACTTGGGAGGCTGAGGCAGGAGAATCACTTGAACCCAGGAGGCGTAGATTGCAGTGAGCCAAGATCGTGCCACTGCACTCCAGCCCGGGCAACAAGAGCGAAACTCCGTCTCAAAAAAAAAAGAAAAAATTAGCCGGGCGTGGTGGCGTTAATCCCAGCTACTTGTGAGGTTAAGGGAGGAGAATTGCTTGAACCCAGGAGGCAGAGGTTGCAGTGAGCTGAGATCACGCCATTGCACTCCAGCCTGGGCCACAAGAGCAAGACTCCATCTCAAAAAAAAAAAAAAAAATAGCGTCAGAAAAATGTCCTTGTATGCCATTTTCTCCATTTTATTGACATTTTGCCCGACTTTTGTCTTTGTTTCAGGGAAATCGTGGAACACATGGTCCAGCACTTTAAAACACAGATCTTTGGGGATCGGAAGCCCGTGTTTGACGGCAGGAAGAATCTATACACAGCCATGCCCCTTCCGATTGGGAGGGACAAGGTAAGCTCGCCGGGATGCCCTTGGTGGAGTAACATACGGTGAAGTAAAGCTCACACATGTTGTAAAGTCTGTCATGCCTGTTCTCATACACGAAACTATTTCACTGAGGAGGAGAGAGCAGTTCACTGCCACATGCTTCGTCCTGAGATCCATAAAAACTACCTTCTCTGTGTTGTGGCTTTCAGTGATGGGGGTTTAACTTGTCTAGGTCCAGACACGGATATCGAGAACTTGCTGAAACCACCAAACTTTAAGTACAAAGTACACATGCTAAACACAAGCCACAAACCACCGCCAGACAAGAGCTTAGAGTAAGCACCAGTATTATAAAGACCTACAGAGGCCAAGGCAGGAAGATGGCTTGAGCTGAGGAGTTCAAGGCTGAAGTGAGCTATCTCAGTGCGCCACGAATTCCATCCTGGGTGACAGAATGAGACTCCATCTCCACAAGAAGACCTATGGAAAATTACGTTCATATAGGGGTATGTGAGAGAGAGACATGGCAGTGAGGCCCAGTTAACATTCTGCTCTAGCCAGTGACTCATCTGAAATTAGAATGATGGTGATTAGTCAACCCGGAGGGAGGGGGTGTATTAAAATGTCACCTTCTTTTATTACCTTTAGCCTTATCGTGGCTTTATTTAAAAAGTAATAAAATTTCTGCCCAGAAGTTGTCACTTCTTGAGAATATCTTTCAACAAATGTGCTGCTGCAGAGTGATACGGGTGTTATTCGTAAGTAGAAGAAGAGCAGAAACCCGGCTCAGAAATAATCTTTACAGGCCGGGCGCGGTGGCTCACACCTGTAACCCCAGCACTTTGGGAGGCCGAGGTGGGCGGATCACAAGATCAGGAGTTCGAGACCAGCCTGGCCAGTATGGTGAAACCCCGTCTCTACTAAAAATATAAAAATTAGCTAGGTGCCTGTAATCCCACCTACTTGGGAAGCTAAGGCAGGAAAATCGCTTGAACCTGGGAGGCGAAGGTTATGGTGAGCTGATATCGTGCCACTGCACTCCAACCTGGGCAACAGAGTGAGACTCAGTCTCAAAAAAATAAAAAATAATCTTTACACATACTTTAAGAAGCAAACACATCAGAAACCAGGAGTTTAACAACTATGAGAATGAAAGGCTGATTCCCTCTGGGAACAACATACACAGTTTGCTTTTTAAACCCTGAGTTCCTGAGAAAGAAGCCAGCTCCGTATGCAAAGGGTCTCAAGTTGCTGTCAGGGATGTCTGTTTTAGTGGGAGAGCAAGTGGCCTGCAAGCAGCTCTCTCTACAGACGTTCAGTCTTCTTCCTTTTGCTTTTGAGACAGGGTCTGGCTCTGTCGCCCAGGCTGGAAAGCAATGGTGCAATCACGCTTGCTGTAGCCTTCAATTTCCAGGCTCAAGCGATCCTCCCACGTCAGCCTCCAGAGTGGCTGGTTTTTCATTTTGATGATAATCTTGAAATGAATAAGCTCCTTTCAGCCTTTCTGGATGGTCAGCAGGGCCCAGCAATCTCAGTGCCCAGTGATGCTCCTTCACCTTATCACGCTCTGACAAAGGGAGAACGTGCTGTGACTGAGCAGAGACCGAGTTACGATATAGGGCTCTGCATAAAGCGATCTCATGGTTCTAAGAGGGGCAGTGGTCTGTGCGTTGTCACTGCCAGCCCAGGGTGATAGACGTTGGTTTTCCCAAGAGGAGCAAGTCCTAGACCAAATGCACATCAGTCAAGCACGATCACCCCTTGCAAACTAGTGTGCTGTGGAGCTGAAATGTAGTCATTTTAAAGTTCTGTGCTTAATTTGCATTTGTTTTTACTTATAGTTTTATAAGAAAGAAAAGCATAAGGAGTTTGTGCACAGTTTTGTCTGTATATGTTTATATTTACACACAAGGCGGGCATCAGGGTAGTTTTTCTGAAAAGGGGCTGAGGGCGTCTATATGGTATTTGATATTTAAATTTGAGACCTGTCATTGTGGAAATTAACTGTGCACAAACTCTGGGGTAAAACTAGATATGGGTGTGAGGCCTGGCTCCACCCTTCCTGTGGTGGGACCTGGGGCACCTCAACTGGCCAAGCCTCAACTGCCTCACCTGTAAAACGGAGAGATGGCAATAAAAACTACTTCCCAGGGGCTTTGTGAGACTTCAGTGAGCATGTACATCCCCGTCCGGTGCCTGTGCCCCACGGTCCTGGGTGGTGCATCTCCCACCAGCCCTAGCCGGTGCCTGTGCTGCTGGCCCCATGCCACATGTTGAGTAGCGAGAGTTTAAAATTCTTTGTTTAAGGCTAGGTGCAGTGGCTCATGCCTGTAATCCCAGCAATTTGGGAGGCCGAGGCAGGCGGATCACTTGAGGCCAGGAGTACGAGACCAGCCTGGCCAACATGACTAAATCCCGTCTGTACTAAAAATACAAAAAAAAAATAGCCAAGCATAGGGGCACACGCCTATAGTCACAGCTACTTGGGAGGCTGAAGCATGAGAATCACTCGAACCCGGGAGATGGAGGTTGCAGTGAGCCAAGATCACACCATTGCACTCCAGCCTTGGGCAACAAGAGCAAAACTCCATCTCCAAAACAAAGGAAAAAAGAAAAGCTCATGTCCCAGAGAGCATAGAGAACCTACTCAAAGCCACTGTGTTCGGTTAGCATGGGGGTACCCCGGCTGCAGACCACGCTCCTCCCACTGGTTTGGGGGTTCTGTAGGATCTCTGCAGGGTGCAGAAATTAACCTTCTGTGTGAGAGCCTGCGTAAGGCGGTGTCCCATGTCCATCTTCTCGCATCGTGTCCCAGTGTCGTCTTTGGGTTTTGTCTTTTTTCTGTGAAGTACTTTTTCGTGCCTCACTTGTGGTAAGAGCGGAATCGTTCTGATGCTCCATTACCCTGGAGGCTCGTGGGGACTCTGGCGGCTCTGGTCCAGGCCTCTGCACAGGGGGCCCGTGTCACATCGCCCTTACACACGAAGCTCCTAAATCTCCTACTGCAATGTTAGCCTGCCTGCCTTCATCCCAGCCCCTGTGTGGAAAGAGAGACGAGTTCTCCCAGGCCCGGGAGACGCTGGGACCGCCCAGCCTCACTCCTTCACCTCCCAGAACTGGAGGTGGAGACAGGAAACTATACAAGTTGATCAGCATTTTGGGTTGAACTCCTGGGTTCTTCTTTGAAGGCATGATTTGTGTCGTCTGGTCTTCTTGGCTCTGGGTCCAGCTCCATGCCTGCCCTTGTTGGGTCCCATGGAAGGTCTGCAGCTCCCTGGAGCTTCTCTGCTCAGTTGAATAGAAAATTTAGGAAGGTGGCCAGAAGGAGCACTGTTTAGGAACATATGGAGACAACTATAAACTCCCTAAATAACAAAAGACAAGTGGCTTTGGCCTGGAAGGGATTTGGGTGGTGGAAGATGAACCTGAGAATTTATTCCCACATCTCACTGAATGATCAAATTGAGCGTCTGGGTTGACACGGTCTAGGAGTGGTGGTGGACAGCACCGGTGTCTCCTTCCCAGAAGGAAGTTAGGGCAGACCCACAGCTCAGAACAATAGCAGACCCTGCCTGGAAGCAGTGTACCTTGGGAGAAGACAGCCACGCACAGAGTTCACTGTTGAAGGACATGGTAGTTCGGCACTCCTGCCTGTCCGCCTCTCTGTGCAGCTCAGCCATGCCATGGCCACAGGAGTGCCGGGCTGTTGCCTGCTGACCTGGGATGGGGGTGTCTGGCAGCAAGGGAGGCCAAGGGCTCCCAAGGCAGTGAAGCTTCTGCACCTGAAGGCTTGGGGAGAGAAGGCGGGCGGGGGCGAGGAGAGGCCTAGGAAGCCATGGGGGGCTCCGCTTGGGCAGTGTGCGGCAGGGAGCCTGCCCAGCCTGGGCCTGGCGCAAGCATCTTTGGGGCTGACCTGCAACCTCTCAGGGCCAAGGGTCCCCTCGAATGAGCCAGGTGCTTTGACCCAAGCCCACCCCAATACAAGCTGGTCAGGAGGTGGTGCCGAGCCCTAACCGAGCAGCCACTCCCTGTACCTGCTCTGTCATCTGCCAGGTGACTTTGAATTCCCACTACACTTTGCAGACATGATGGGTGGGACTGGTTTTGGTGCTGAGGTCTTTTGGGGGTCAGTGATCTGCCTTTCGAGAGCTGCTGCCCTACAGAGTCACAGGATGCCTTTAGACCTCAGCACCTGGCACATTTCAACAAGACATGAACTGCACGGCCCCTCCTGGCAGGGGCATGTGGCACGCAGCCTGGCAGCTGTCTCTCGGCCTGGGCTCGGCAGGCATAGCGGGTGTGGTCGCTCTTCCTGCCGCCCCAGGGAGGCCCCGTCCAGGTCAGGATCCTCGTGGCCAGCCAGACATGCCACGCCTGCAGTGCCTCCCTCGCTCCCTCCTCAGCAGCAGTGGACAGGGAGGCCGTGGGCTCAGCCAGGGCCATAGCCAAGCTGAGTGCAGGAACAGCCTTTTGAAAGGCAGCTGCGCCTCTGTGCCTTTTCCCTGGCTTCATACACAGTTTCTTTGTGCTCTCTCTTTTTTTTTTTTTCCCCCAGACATGGTCTCGCTCTGTCACCCAGGCTAGAGTGCAGTAGCACGATGTCAGCTCACTGTAACCTCCACCTCCCAGGCTCAAGTGAGCCTCCCACCTCAGCCTCCTGAGTAGCTGGGACTACAGGCATGTGCCACCATGCCCGGCTAATTTTCTTTTCTTTTTTTTTTTTTTTTTTTTTGTATTTTTAGTAGAGACGGGGTTTTACCATGTTGGTCAGGCTGGTCTCAAACTCCTGACCTTGTGATCCACCTGCCTGGGCCTCCCAAAGTGCTGAGATTACAGGTGTGAGCCACTGTGCCCCGCCACTAATTTTCTTTTTGTAGGGACAGAGTTTTGCCACATTGCCCGGGCTGGTCTGCAACTCCTGAGCTCAAGCGATCCAGCCCGCCTCGGCCTCCCACGGTACTGGGATTACAGGCGTGAGCCCCAGGCTGGCCTCTTTGCATTCTTTAGAGTGCTGTTTTCCCTTTGTTGCTGAGTTGTGTGACGACCCCAAAGAGGAATCACCCCATGACAGTCCTACTTCTCTCGCCCTGAGGATTTCCGGACAGGGAGGCCAGCCTGCGGGTTTGGCTTGTCTGGGGAGATTGGATGTCACAGGTGCCTCGCCGTGCTCCAGGCCTTGGATCGAGTCCTGGGCTGACATTTTCTATTATCCATGTTCAGAAAATGGCAGTTGGGCCACTCCCAGATTGTAGCGCTGCAACACAATTGGCACCAGTGCCCTGTGAGGTGGGCGGGGCCACCTGCTTGTCCCCTTGTGTGCAGGAAGCCAACGGAGCCACCTGCCCGAGGTTAGAACACGGGAGGCAGCAGGGCTGGGAGTGACCTTCAGATGTCATGTCATTGGGACCGAGCGCTTTGGGCTGTTGAGAGGCGGCAGTGTCTCGGGTGTGGACCACCTGCTGCTGGCAGCCCAGACGCACACGGTGCCTGTCCCTTGGAGAGCCATGTGCCTCCTGCCCTCGTGGCGTGATGGCCGTCGTAAAATCTCCATGCAGCCCTAAGCTGCCACACACGAGCACCAGCCAGCCACTGTGGACGTGGGATGGGCAGATAGTTACAGAGCCCGGGGTGACTCTGCTGTCCTTTCTCTGCAGGCCAAGCGGAGGCTGGACTGAAATACATTTACAAATTAGAATGTATTTTGCTGTGGGAAAATAGACCCCTTGCCATTGCCCCTCGGTGTTGACTACAGAGGTTTTTGAAAGGTGGCATTGACAGGCATCCGATCCGTGCCAGGGCACAGCACTGTAGGCTGGATGCCGAGTGCTGTTGCCGCAGATGTACTCGGGCCTAAAGTACCTCCTGGCTGGGGCGTGTGTGAGCTGGAAATGCACGCGCTCTCCCACTCCCAAGCTCACTCCACTTGCACGCCGTGACCTGGACGTGCTGTTTCTGGACAAGGGGAATGGCACTCCCTTCTCAGCGACCGGCTACTCCTGTTGGGACCCAGTAGCTGCCAGTCCGTACTGGAATTGTCCCCCCATGCCCAGCCAAGCCACTGGTCCTGGGCCCATAGAGACTCTGTCTCCCTTTCTGGAGTCAGACAGTTTGACAGGGGCACTCGCCCCTCTGCTTCCTGCCACCTGGCCCGGGGCGCCTCAGTCAGCCCCTCCAGATCTGTTTCTTTAACTGAGAGCGGGACACCTTCCCCCCCCCCAAAAAAAAAAAAAAAAGAAAGTAAAGGGGGGAACCAGTGAGTGCAGGAATGTCTGCCATGTTGCCAGTGTTATGCCAAATGTGCATTTTCAGTTACTGTTACTTGTGTGTGACTTATTTAGAATTTTATTATGAAGTAGCACTAATGAAAAAGAAATATATGTACAGTTGGCCTTTGAACA
Source organism: Homo sapiens (assembly GCF_000001405.40). Classification (NCBI taxonomy): domain Eukaryota; kingdom Metazoa; phylum Chordata; class Mammalia; order Primates; family Hominidae; genus Homo; species Homo sapiens. Next base: position 140,566,437 of record NC_000008.11, on the reverse strand, counting down.
ACAAAAAGGTTAATGGTGCTGTATTAGCCAATTTTCATGCTGTTGATAAAGACTGGGCAATTTACAAAAGAAAAAGTTTAATTGGACATACAGTTCCATGTGGCTAGGGAAGCATCACAGTCATGGTGGAGGACAAAAGGCACTTCTTACATGGCGGCAGCAAGAGAGAATGACGAAGAAGCAAAAGCAGAAACCACTGATAAACCAATTGGATCACTGTCACAAGAATAGCACGGGAAAGACCAGCCCCCATGATTCAGTCACCTTCCTGGATTCCTACCACAACATGTGGGAATTCTAGGAGATACAATTCAAGTGAGATTTGGGTGGGGACATAGCCAAACATAACAGGCGCTGATTCCCCATGCAGTCAAAAATTCATTCATAACTTTTTTTTTTTTTTTGAAACAATTTCTCTGTTACCCAGGCTGGAGAGCAATGGCACAATCACAGCTCACTATAGCCTTGACTTCCCTGGGCTCAAGCGATCCTCCTATCTCAGCCTCCTGAGTAACTGGGAGCACAGAGATGGGGTCTCCCTATATTGCCTAGGCTGGTCTCCAACTCTGGACTCAAACCATCCTCCCACCTCAGCCACCCAAAGAGCTGGGATTATAGGCGTGAACCACTGCACCTAGCTATGTATGACTTTTGACTCCCCCAAAACGTAAACTACTACTAATAGTCTGTTGTTGACCAGAAGCCTTACCAATAACATAAACTGTAAATTAACACATATTTTATAGGTTACATGTATTATATAGTTTATTCTTCTTCTTCTTCTTTTTTTTTTTTTGAGACAGAGTCTCACTCTGATCCCCAGGGCTGGAGTGCAGTGGTGCTGTCTCGGCTCACTGCAACCTTCACCTCCTGGGTTCAAATGATTCTCCTGCCTCAGCCTCCCAGGTAGCTGGGATTAAGGCGCCCACCACCATACCCGACTAATTTTTGTATTTTTTTGTTTTTTGTTTTTTGGTTTTTGGGTTTTTTTTTTTTTTTGAGACAGAGTCTTGCTCTGTCGCCCAGGCTGGAGTGCAGTGGCGCGATCTCGGCTCACTGCAACCTCTGCCTCCCAGGTTCATGCCATTCTCCTGCCTCAGCCTCCCCAGTAGCTGGGACTACAGGCGCCCGCCACCACGCCCGGCTAATTTTTTGTATTTTTAGTAGAGACAGGATTTCACCATGTTAGCCAGGATGGTCTCGATCTCCTGATCTCGTGATCCCCCCACCTCAGCCTCCCAAAGTGCTGGGATTACAGGTGTGAGCCACCGTGCCTGGCTTTTGTTTTGTTTTGTTGAGTTTTTTTGAGATAGCGTTTCACTCTTGTCGCCCAAGCTGGAGTATGGTGCGATCTCGGCTCACTGCAACCTCTGCCTCCCAGGTTTAAGCGATTCTCCTGCCCCAGCCTCCCAAGTAGCTGGGATTATAGGCACGTGCCACCATACCCAGCTAGTTTTTTTGTATTTTTAGTAGAGACGAGGTTTCACTATGGGCCGGGGTGGTCTCGAACTCCTGACCTCGTGATCCACCCGCCTTGGCCTCCCAAAGTGCTGGGATTACAGGTGTGAGCCACTGCGCCCAGCTGGTCTTGTTCCTTTTTATGGCTGCATATTATTCCACAGTGTATGATATTGTTACAGCTAGTTTTTGTATTTTTAGTAGAGATGGGGTTTTGCCACATTGGCCAGGCTGGTCTTGAACTCCTGACCTTAGGTGATCCATCTGCCTCAGCCTCCCAAAGTGCTGGGATTACAGGCATGAGCCACTGTGCCTGGCCCTATATAGTTTATTCTTACATGCTTAAGCTGGAGGAAAGTTATTTAAGAAATCATAAGGTAAAGAAAATATGTCTACTTTTCATTAAGTGGAAGTGGATTATTATAAAGGATCCCCTCTGTCTTCATGCTGAGGAGAGAAAGGAGGAGCTTGGTCTTGCTATCTCAGGGGTAACAGAGGCTGAAGGAAATCCATATATAACTCCGCTTGCGTAGTTCCAACCCATGTTGTGCAAGGGCCAGCTATGTACATTTATTTAAAGAGTGGTATTAAACCACATCCTGTACCCCCAACCCAGGCCCAGCTGTTCCCTCCTCCCACCCTGAAATCCCCCATGGGCGAAGCCTTGATTGCGTCCCCCCACCGCCACCCCCTCCGCTGTCCTGATGAGTTGAGTGAAGCTGGCCCTTTCCTCTGTTGGTTTCCTCAGCTGTGCTGCATCCCCTGTGCGTATGGCTCTGATGTCTGGAAGGAATCGTGCTGCGGCGCCCTTCTGTGGCTTGCTGCTTTTCTTGCTATTCGATGTTTGAAGTCTATCCGGCTGGAAGGATTCGATCCTTTTTCCCTGCCCTCATCTTTTGCAGATGGTCCTCGGGGCGCGGCCAGTTTGGGGCCATCGGGCACAACAGTGCTCTGAGGGCTCGTGGGCGTCTGCCAGAGCCAGCCCAGGCCCAGGTGGAAAGGGTGTGTACCTGGGACCCAGGTGTGCAGGTGACGCCCGCAGAGTCTGGTCGTAGCTCCGTGAGGTTCAAACAAGGTGTGGCAAGAGGCCAGGCCCTGGGCGACAAGGATGAGCAGATGGGAGCTGGGCATGGGCATGGCGGGCAGTGGGCGAGCGAGCAAATGTGCCTGGTGCCACCAAACAACACTGGACCTGGGCATGCTGGCACACTGGGGTTTGTGGTCCTGAATCAGGGAGGGCACCTCAGGTGCACAGAGCAGAGGCAGCAGGCCCTGGGCAGGCTAGGAGAGGCCGGTGCTGAAGACCTGGGACCCTGGCATCACACATGGAGTGGGAAGGCCTTCGGGGTCCAGATCCCGTCTCTGCCCTTTCATGGCTTTGTGGCCTTGGGTTATTTTTTTAAGTCTGGGTTTCTGTGGTTTCATGGATAAAAAGTGGTGAGTCGGCCAGGCACAATGGCTCACGCTTGTACTCCTAGCACTTTGAGAGGCCAAGGTGGGAGGATCCCTTGAGCCCAGGAGTTCAAAACCAGCACAGGTAACATGGTGAAGCTCCATCTCTACCAAATTAAAAATTAAAAAATTAGCCGAGTTTGGTGGCGTGTGCCTGTAGTTCCAGCTACTTGGAAGGCCAAGGCGAAAGGATCCCTTGAGCCTAAGAGGTCAAGGTCGAAGTGAGCCAATACTGCACCACTGCACTCCAGCCTGGGCCACAGTGAGACCCTGTCTCAACAAAAGTGGCGAATGAATTTTCCCTTGCTGGGGTCACTGGGCATGTGAGGATAACATATATACCATCTGTAACCTGTCACATCGGTGTTCCTCAGACACTGGGAAGCATGATTAGCAAATAGCAAAGTTGCTTCACGCGTCACCTGAGTGGGCTCGTGTGTGTCCACATATTTGGAGGTATGAGGGCCAGATCGCGATTCAACTGTGGGTTCTGAGTAGCGGAGTGGGGCTTGCAGGTGACGGCAGCATGATCTGGCGTTAGGTGCAACCCATAGGTGAGGGACGGGGCGATTCAGAGACTGGGAGGAGAGAGGTAGTGAGTTCATTGTTTGGGGGTGAAACGAGGATACGTTTTCGACCACTGTGAGTACACCAGCCACTGCCACATGTGGCTCTGTACATTTAAATTCATCAAAAGTAAGTGAATAAAGTTTAAAATTCAGTTCCTTGGTCATATTTCAAGTGCTCCATAGCCACATGTGGCTAGTGGTTGGCTAGAGGCCTGGGCGGGGACTTCCTCACCCAGGAGTGTCTGGAAGCCAACCACTGCCAGGCTGCGTCCTCCCTGGGGCTTCGCAGGAGGGAGTAACCTTGTGTGCCTTGGATCCTCGCAGGTGGAGCTGGAGGTCACGCTGCCAGGAGAAGGCAAGGATCGCATCTTCAAGGTGTCCATCAAGTGGGTGTCCTGCGTGAGCTTGCAGGCGTTACACGATGCACTTTCAGGGCGGCTGCCCAGCGTCCCTTTTGAGACGATCCAGGCCCTGGACGTGGTCATGAGGCACTTGCCATCCATGAGGTGAGGGCGCCACACGGGACCAAGGGCGGGGGACTCCCCTGCAGCTCCGAGGGCCCCCCGCAGGGTCTGAAATCTGTCCGAGGAACGGCTCATTCTTGGATCCAGGGTGGGAGTGGTCACGTGGGTTTTCTGTGATGAAGATAACACAAATGGTGCTAAGGTGGAAACAGTGTTAATATAAACATAAGTCACCAGCATTTTCGGCCTGGCCCGGAACGTTGGCCTCCCTATTTGTGTGCACGCTGGTGCCTTCGTGTTCCGCGCAGCCCTCTGCACCCAGCACTTTTCTGCTCATCTCTTGCCCTTGGGACTCGTGATAGGAGAGTAATGCTGTGTTCCCAGTTTCGTGCTGCATGCATGTCTGCAACTCTAGGGACCATCACCGCTGCTTTTTGTGACTGTTGGGGACGTCCTTTTTCTCAGGATTACTCTTTTACCACAAATGGCCACACTTGCGATTGCTGGGAGAGGGTGTAGGGGAGCAGTTGAAGGACTCACAAGCTGCCCGGTTGCTGGGCAGAGGGTTGCACTAATTTCCTGAGTGGCCCGCTGTTGCAGGAGCAAGGCCAGCTCAGCGCGTCAGCCCTCAGCACACCTGCCCTCACACTGGTGCCCGGGAACAAGTTGAGTTTTCAAGTTTCATCTCTTTCGAACCAAAGCCGAAACCAAAACAAACCCCACAGTGACAAACCCCAGGACTGACCAAAGCTTTAAGATTCCAGGAGAGAGTTGGGGCTTCCCTCATAGAAGAGAAGGTGCTTTGAGGCCATGTGTAAGATTTTTAGAAGGGACCATGGTGTTCTCAGTCTTCAGGCATGGGAGGAGGTGACCAAATACAGGACAGGCTGTCACTCCCGGCAGGAACACACCTTCCCCCACGTGTAATCTGTCTCTGCTTTGAACTATCGGTGGAGGAAGGCCGTAGGTACGTGGAGAAACACTCTAGGAGGATGGTTGCCAAAATGGCATCTACCTTGTTAATAGAGTTGCAGAAATGACTGTGATTCTTTTCCGAATTCCTTTGGATTACTTACATTAATTTTATAATCAGGGAGGAAACTGCTGTTTTCATTCTGGGAAAAGAAGAGCAGTAGAGGCGGGATTATTAGCACGTCTCAGGTGGAAAGTGAAAGGGCCGTGTAGGTGATTAGATCAGCGCAGCCCACAAGTAGGGAGCATCGAGGCTCACAGCGTGTTTTCCCTTCAGAATCATTAGTGACGGCGCCTCCCGGGCCACCAGACCCCACGGTGCCCGTGCAGCAGGTGAGGCTGCTGTGCTGGAGAATGCGTCTGCTTCAGTCGAGTAGCTCCAGCCGGGTCAGCGCAGCATCCCTAGCAGGCCCGGAAGAGGTTGTGAAGCCCTCACGCTGGCCCTTCCACCTCCTACGGGGGAGCCCACAGCGGGCAGCTCCGGGGCCTCGGAGCCTACCTGGGGAGCCCACGGCTAAAGGAGCCGGCAGATGCTGGGTCATGCGTGGACAGCCACTGGCCAGAAGCAACACGTCTCCCCACGGCTGGGGCTGGGCCTGGCTGGGGCTGGCACTTGGCAGGTGCCCAATTCTATCTGCGCTTGGGGACACAGGCCCCAAGAGGTGAAGAGTAGACAGTGAGGACAGTAAGGCGAGGCAAAGCCAGGACAGGGAGTCTGGACCAGAAACACGCCAGGTCCTGGGGGCTTGTGATCCACCTGTGCGGTGTCTTTAAACGTCTTTCACCATCCCCCAGTGAGGCCACGGGTCCCCCAGCCTGCTGCTGTCACAGTGTCCCACACAGCAGGCCATGCACACAGGCTGGAGTGCCGTGTGGTAAACGTGGATTTAAAAGGAGGGGAAACGGAACTCTGATGAGGGTGTGGTGGGCGCAGGCGAAGCCCACCCAGAGGCAGCTGTTCCTTCCGGAAGACACATCTGACGGGAGGCGGGGTGGGGTCTCTTGGTTCCAGGTACACCCCCGTGGGCCGCTCCTTCTTCACCGCGTCCGAAGGCTGCTCTAACCCTCTTGGCGGGGGCCGAGAAGTGTGGTTTGGCTTCCATCAGTCCGTCCGGCCTTCTCTCTGGAAAATGATGCTGAATATTGATGGTAAGCAGCGCCCTGGGGTCTTCACTGCAGGGCAGGGTTGGGCATGGGCTGGGGGGTCAGGACCCCGGTCGGGGGGTGGCATGTGGCCAGCTCCACGCATGGCCTCTGTCAGAGCCAGCGCCGCTGCGTGACACCTGGCTGGTCTCACCTGCAGTGTTGGGTGGGTTACGGCAGTGGCTCTCAGGCCAGCGTGAAGCCACGAGATGGTCGCACCCTCAGAGGCTGTGGTCAGGGGCTGAGGCGGGCCTGAGGATCCGGGGCTTCCTTGCTGCTGGCCTCCTGTAGGCCTGGGTTTGACTGTAGCCTGGGTGTGGCCTGTCCCTCTCTTGGGAGGCTTAGTCGCTGCTCTGTGCAGGACATCCGCTGCCCTCTCTGTGAAAAAGACGAGAGTGAAGGCCAGCGAAAAGGATCTGTCTTCTCATTTGGGAGCTGATTATTATGAAAAGCTCTAGAAAGCAATGAGAATTTGATCTTGCTCAGTTATACATTTATTGAAAAAGAACTACATAAAAGGAAATGGTGAATTTCAGAAATATCTACACCAGACGGTAACCAGAAAATCCTACAACACTGGCTTCATTCTCGGAGGGTGACTTTAGTCTTTAACTAATCAGCCAGCTCCTTTCTGTCACCCTGACCAGAGGGAGGCCAGCAGCTAGGGCCTGGGCTTGTCACTGCTGGCCTGCCCGTGTCTGGGCCTGAGGCTAGCCTCAGTAGGGAGTGAGAACCCCGGCCGGGTGTCCCCACCATGGCTGGCCTGGCCTATGAGGCCCCTCCAGGACTATGGGCCCGTCCAGCAGCCCCACAGTCATGCTTAGGCCTTTGCCTCTTTTCTCGCCTACAGTGTCAGCAACAGCGTTTTACAAGGCACAGCCAGTAATCGAGTTTGTTTGTGAAGTTTTGGATTTTAAAAGTATTGAAGAACAACAAAAACCTCTGACAGATTCCCAAAGGGTAAAGTTTACCAAAGAAATTAAAGGTAATGAACTGTCCCAGCACACCTGGCTGAGGGCTGGGAGGCCCCTTCCCGGTCCGCCTCCGGGACCGCATTTTGCAGTTCTGGTTCTTGTGCGCATTTGGGGAGGTGGGGGTGGCAGAATGTAGCCATCAGATGAGGTAGCATGGAGATGAGTTAGATCCATTTCCCAGAGCGGGAGTGGGGGTTTCCTAAATAAATACAACCCCATGGGGTGAGGATGAGGTTGGGGAGTCAGTCACGTCTGAGTCATGATCTCAGGACTAGAAGCAGCAGCGTGGCTGTGATCAGCATTTCCTAACGCTGGAACCTAGGATGCGTTTTCTTTTGTCTTCATTTAATCCTTACACAGCCCGGCAGGTGTCTGTACCCAGTCAGCCTGCTTTCTACTCCAAGAAACTCAGATTGGGGGGGGTCTAGGACTTACCCGGGGTCCTTCTGCCCATCAGCAACAGAATGGGGGGCCCACCCCTGGCTCCACAAGCCCTGCCCGCTGAACCCGTCCTTTTGGAAGGCCATTTGCAGGGCCATCCACCGTACCCCGTGTTATCACGATGACCCATGGGGGGCGCAGAACAGCACGAGGGTGGACACCCCATGCTCTAAGCTGAGCCTCCCCTCCACCACGTGGTACTCTTGTAGGTGAGACGGACCCGGCTGGGGTGGCCTGGGGGTGACCTGTGGGTCACCCTCCCTAGGGGAGCCCTGCAGCCCCCCATAACTTGGGTCCCCAGCCACATTCCTATGAAAACTGATTCTCGCAAGTGGCGCCTGCACTCAGGTCGGGACAGCCCCGATGCCGATGCCTGTGTTCTGTGTCCCCAGGTCTAAAGGTGGAGATAACGCACTGTGGGCAGATGAAGAGGAAGTACCGCGTCTGCAATGTGACCCGGCGGCCCGCCAGTCACCAAACGTAACACGCCCTTCCTTTCAGACTCTCTTGGCTGGGGCCCCCACTGTCACTCCGACGGGCACACTCTGGAGCCATGATTCTGTGCCCATTCTCCAGAAAGGACCATTTCATGCTGTTTTTCAATCCCAAAATTGTCCCTTACATGGCTCAGTAGATTCCAGACTTCACCTAAGAAAATAAACTCAGATCATGAAATTCCCCCTGGGTGCTAGAAGGGCCGGCCCAGGCTCTCTCTCCCTCTTCCTTCCTGAGCCTCACAGAGGAGAGAAGGGTCTTTTGTGTTCATTGTCCCATCCTTAGTGCTGGAGGTGGCGGGTCTGTGGCCCTGACCCACGCCCCCTTCCCTGGGCCAGTCCGCGTGTCCCATCATTACGGCAAGAGCACGGTTTGGTACGCAGGCCGGAGTGGGGGGTGAGAGTGCACCGCTGTCCTGGGTTGTACTGGTGTTTCTTTGCGGGAGGAGGTGATAGATTTGGCCCCTGTGCCCCAGTTAATGTCTCCCAGGCCGGTAGGGTTCGTTTATTTCATGGATCATTCCATGGAAAGTGCCAGGCCTGTTGCCAGGCACTGGAGGTACCAAGATGCCCGTGGCTGAGGGAGCAGAAGGACGAGAGGGCCTGTGGCCTGGCAGAGGCTGCAGATGGCCCGGCAGTCTGGATTGGGGGAAGGGGTCTGTGCAGTAGAAACTGAGCCACGTGGCCCTTTGCCCTGCACTAGCAGCCCCCGTGCCCTCATCCCCACACAGAGGCCAACCCTTCCTGTGCCTGTGGGCCTCCCCCTCACTCACCCATACTGCACCCAGGCGTCTCCTGCCGTCACCGTGCGGCCGGAACCGGCCTGGCCTGCTTTCCTCGTCCTGTCCTGGGGGCTTCAGGCCTTCTGGGCACCGGGAGCGCGCGGCACGTAAAAGGCTTCCAGGGTCACCACGGTCTGCTGGAAGACGCGCAGGCCTTTCTGGTCGTGCCCATTCGTCCTGACTCCTTTACACACACTGTGACGTTGTGGATAATTTATGAGTAATGATGCATGTAGGTATTTTTTGTTTCCCAACTCCAGAAACAAAATGAGAATTTAGGGGCTCAGAAACATTCCAGATAACCCAAAGCACATGACATGGTTTTCACTCCCGGAAGTGCTCTGAATGTTTGCTCCTCACACGTCACCCTAAAAAGCAAACGCAAATGAAAAGCAGCGCAGGGGAAGGGGCTCCGGGATGCCCTCGGCCTGAACAGCCCCTTTGCTCCTCAGATTCCCGCTGCAGCAGGAGAGCGGGCAGACGGTGGAGTGCACGGTGGCCCAGTATTTCAAGGACAGGCACAAGTTGGTTCTGCGCTACCCCCACCTCCCATGTTTACAAGTCGGACAGGAGCAGAAACACACCTACCTTCCCCTGGAGGCAAGTCACCCTCTTCCTGTGTGTCTCTGGGGGCTTGGGAGGGCGGCGTCCCAGGCTGGGGCATGCAGCTTCGAGAAACCGCCGAGGCCCCAGTCAGATACAAATGGCACTGCCTCTGCTGCTGCAGGAATGCGGGTGGGTTAATGGGCTTTGTTACACCTCGGTTTTGCCTTCAGTAGAATGGGGTCTGCAGCTCTCTTGTGGGATTGGTGTGAACCTTGCCTGAGGTTGTGTGTAACGTGTCCAGCAGGCCCCGCAGCGCGAGGCAGGTGCTCCGTCACTGCACCGTTGCGTCATTCACTCTCCTCTAACATCACGACTCTTTGAAAAATCCTTGCCTTGGGAAAGGATCAAATTCCGACCCTGAGCCATGTGCTGTAACTCTTCCCTTGGTGTTTAGATCCTGTCATTCAGGTAGGGCTGGGCAGCTCCAGCACCTCGTCCCACAGGTAGACGTCTTTCGCACCTGCAGCTGCTTTCACGCCCGCAGCCACCGAAGACTGGAGAGAGCCCAGAAGTGCCGGTGTCAGGACACAGCCCCGCTCACCTGGTGGGCTGGGCACAGAGGCCGTGGGGTCTCTGTGTTCGCGTGACGTGGGGTTTACTTAACAGGCATTTCTGTTGTGAAGCGGAAGGCCGTGGAGCAGCCCCCACAGCAGACACCTGCACAGCACTTCATAGCCCAGGGATGAGGCAGAGACGGTCCCAAGCAGAGCCAGGCCACCAGCCCCTGAGCCCCCTGCCTGCTCCCCTGGTCACTCCAGTGCGGCACTGACGGCCTGTCTCTACGTCCTCTTCACAGGTCTGTAACATTGTGGCAGGACAAAGATGTATTAAAAAATTAACGGACAATCAGACCTCAACCATGATCAGAGCGACTGCTAGGTCGGCGCCCGATCGGCAAGAAGAGATTAGCAAATTGGTGAGTGTCAGTCCCGGGCAGGGCTGCCCTGTGGAATCCAGTCCGGTTGCCCTGGCACAGAAACCTCTGATGCTTGGAACGGACGCAGCTGCTAGAGAGATGGGAGGCCTCCACCCACTCCGTGCGTTTTCTTGTTTCCCTTTGCCAGATGCGAAGTGCAAGTTTCAACACAGATCCATACGTCCGTGAATTTGGAATCATGGTCAAAGATGAGATGACAGACGTGACTGGGCGGGTGCTGCAGCCGCCCTCCATCCTCTACGGGGGCAGGGTACGTGTGGGGCGGCGGGGAACGTGTGGCTGCGGGGCATGTCTCTGCCCTGCGACCCCTCTCAGGTTCTGAGCTATCGCCCGCGGTGTAGACTGTGTTCCATGCAGGAGAATCCTTTCTACTCCCGGCTGAGCCTGTAAAAGACGTGAGATTTCATAAAGGAATGGCTTTCCTTGGTCCTTTTTAAAGTTTTTCAGAATTATCCTTAATGTTTTCAGAAGATAATTTTTATTATCCCATGAAAGTTTAGAGAGCACCATTCTGTGTGTGACAGACACTCACCGAGGGTCGAATTATTTCCCAGAAGGCTGTACTGCTTTTCTATTCTTTAACTTTTGCTTTGGGGATGTTTGGTAACAGTTTTTTGTCCTTGCTAATTTAACTTCTGGTTTTGTTTGTTTTGAGGCAGGGTCTTGCTCTGTCACCCGAGCTAGAAGGCAGTGGCATGACCTGACTATAGGTCACTGCAGCCTCTAACTCCCGGGCTCAAACAAATCTCTCGCCTCAGCCTCCCAAGTAGCTGGGAATACAGGTGTGAGCCACTGTGTCCAGCCCTTAACTTCTCCTTTTTATCAGTGTGTAACCAAAGGTGTCCTGAACACTGAGCCCTCCAGGGTCTCCTCTCATTTCCTCCTGGGCTCGCTTGCATACCACGGTTGCAAGCATACCATGTCTGATGGGAGGGCCCAGAGGTGACCATGCTGGAAGGGACACCAGGGCTCTGCAGGGTCTTAGTGTCAGAGGTCACTGACTTTCTTAAGCACCTGGCATCTGTGTAAGAGTCTGCCTAACCTTTTACACCCTAGTTTCTACCTAATGGAATTTTATTCTCATCCTCAAGACCTGTAGCGAGGTTTTGGTTTGTTTTTTGTTTGTTTGTTTGTTTTTCTTGTCTTATTTTAAAATATGGGTTCTGAGCTGGGCGCAGTGAGTGGTTCACATCTGTAATCCCAGCACTTCGGGAGGCTGAGACGGGTGGATCGCTTGAGGTCAGGAGTTTGAGACCAGAAACCCTGTCTCTACTAAAAATACAAAAATTAGCCTGGAGTGGTGGTGCGCACCTGTAGTCCCGGCTTCTCAGGAGGATGAGGCAGGAGAATCCCTTGAACCCGGGAGGTGGAGGTTGCAGTGAGCTGAGATCACACCACTGCACTCAAGCCTGGGCGAAAGAGCAAGACTTGTCTCAAAAAATAAAAAATACTTAAAAAAAACAGTTCTGTTTTTTAAATGTTTCAGAATTCAGAAGATACAAAAGAATTAAAGGAAAAAGTATCTTTTTTCCCAGTTCTCAGTTGCCCTCTCAAGAAGCAGTTGGTGTTCCTTCTCCTTTGTAAAATCACCCAGGGATGATTCACCCCTTTTTGTGAAAATAATAGCATTACCTATATTTCTGTGCCTCGCTGTTTTCTAGCTAACATTTCCTTAGAGCTCACTGAGAGGCTGCTGGCCGTTCTGTGTTGCTGTTCGTGTGTGTCTTGTCCTCTAGCACTGCTGCGTGGCACCCCATCACGTGGGGGGGTCTGTGTCCCTGGTGGTGGGCATGGCCACTGCTTGTCTCTCTGAAGGGAGTCTGAGCAGGGCCCTTCAGCCCCTCCTTGGCTCGCTTGTCCCCCGAGGCCCCAGATGCTGTATAAACACAGCCCAAGCCCAGGAGGAAGAGCCCGTGATCCCCCTTCATGAGTTGGGGAGGAGACGCCCCGGGAGGGCAAGAGGAGTGCCTGGCCCCTGTGCGGGGATGGGGCTTTTGAACCCAGCACCGCTTCACAGCCCTGCTGGCTTCTGTTCCCTCGGGCTTCAGCTGTTAGCAAGGGCAGTGGTTGTCTGAAAAACAGAAGAGCTTGTGTAAGCCAACGTTGCAAAAATCTCAAGAGTGTAGGGATTAAGAGAGCTTGTAGGCTGGGTGCTGCGGCTCATGCCTGTAATCCCAGCACTTTGGGAGGCCAAGGCAGGAGGATCACCTGAGGTCAGGAGTTCGAGACCAGCCTCCGGTCAACATGGCGAAACCCTATCTCTACTAAAAAATACAAAAATTAGCTGGGCATGGTGGCATGCGCCTGTAATCCCAGCTACTCGGGAGACTGAGGCAGGAGAACCACTTGAACCTGGGAGGCAGAGGTTGCAGTGAGCCGAGATTGTGCCACTTTACTCCAGCCTGGGCAACAGAGTGAGACACTGTCTCAAAAAAAAGGCCAGGCATGGTGGCTCACACTTGTAATCCCAGCACTTTGGGAGGCTGAGGCAGGCAGATCACCTGAGGTCAGGAATTCGAGACCAGCCTGACCAACATGGAGAAATCCCGTCTCTACTAAAAATACAAAATTAGCTGGGTGTGGTGGCCTATGCCTGTAATCCCAGCTACTCGGGAGGCTGAGTCAGGAGAATCGCTTGAACCCAGGAGGCAGAGGTTGCGGTGAGCCAAGATCGTGCCATTGCACTCCAGCCTGGGCAACAAGAGCGAAACTCCGTCTCAAAAAAAAAAAAAAACAAAAAACAAAAAACTTGTAACTTGTTTGAGGCAGAGTGTTTCTCTGTTGCCCTGGCTCCAGTGCAGTGACGCGGTCATAGCTCACTACAGCCCTGACCTTCCGGGCTCAAGCGTTCCTCCCACCTCAGCCTCTCGAATTGCTGGGACCACAGCCACACCACCACACCCAGCTAGGTTTTTAATGTTTTGTAGAGACGAGGTCTCACTATGTTACCCAGGCTCATCTTGAACTCCTGGGCTCAAGCAGTCCTCCCACCTCAGCTGGGATTACAGGTGTAAGCCACTGCACCTGACTGAGCGTGTAATGCTTCTGTTAATACATGAATACATTTTTCCAGATCTCTAAAACATTATAATGTGAGGAAACATTCCTGTCCCCTACTCTACCTACCCCTGGTCCATTGTTAGTGCAAAAAAACAAAATATCCCTCAGAAAGCAATGTGTACAGCAGGAGTTCTCGACCAGGGATGATTTTGCCCCCCAGGGGACATCTGGCAGTGTCTGGAGACATTTTTTATTGTCACAACTTGGGGGTGAGTGGGATCGCCTACAGGGCACAGGACAGCCCCGTAACAAAGAATCATTGAGCTTCGGATGTCAGTTGTGCCGAGGTTGAGAAGCACCTGTATAGTAAGAGTGTGTGTGTGTGTGTGTGTGTGTGTGTGTGTGCGCGCGCGCGCGTGCATGTGCGTGTGTTCATGTGCATGTGAGTGCATGCGTGTGTGTGTGTGTGTGCACTCCCTGTCTGGAGCCCCAGGCTGTCTGTGAGACTCTTGCACACAGGGAGGCTGGTGGGAACAGGCAGTAGTTATAAAAATATAGGAAACAAAGCATTTGTTTCTATCACGTGTCTGATTTCTACAGCAGGCTTGTATTTTGTACGAAAGATGCTTCCTGCTAAAAAAAACAAAAACCTCTCCAGAGTAAATGACGGCAGCCCAGGCACAGCCGCATCCTTTAGCAATGCCCCCAGGCCTAGGAGTGCCTGTCCCTCCCACACGGGACCCTTCCTGGCCCACCCTTCCCTTGAGAATCACTTGAAGCCAGTTCAGAGATTCCTTAGGTGACAGTGCTCAGGGCTGGCTGAGAGCTGGCTGAGAGCTGACAGCGCATTTGCACAGCCCGCCTTTCTCTTCTCAAGTGGAAGTAGCTCCCGTTTCCGACACAGCTGCAGGCAGTGGCATGCTGAGTGGAAAAAGCTATGGGCTCAGTCCCAGCTCTGATCTCCCCTTCCCACATCATTGGTGATAGAGGAGGGGAAATGAGGGAAAGCTCTGTATAGAACAGGAGGCCTTCCTGTAGCATGGCAAGGCCTGTAGCATGGCAAGGCACTTCTCTTCCTCCAGGCTGCTCATGAGGTTGGATGGAGCTTTGGGCCTCCCTCCTCCTGGCTTAGCTCCCATCTGTCTGTTCATTACTTACCCATCCATCCTCCATCTAACTCCATCCATCCATCCATTCATCCATTCATCCATCTCTCCATCTCTCCATCCACCTACCTACCTTATCCACTCATCAGCCATCCACCCACCCACCTTATCCACCCATCAACCATTTACCCATTCACCTTATGCACCCATCAGCCATCCACCCACCCACTTTATCCACCCATCAACCATCCACCCACCCATCTTATCCACCGATCATCAACGGACCACCCACCTACCTTATCCACCGATCAACCATCCACCCACCCATCAACTATCCACCGACCCATCAACCATCCACCCACCCATCAACCATCCACCCACCCATCAACCATCCACCCACCCATCTTCCACCAGCCCATCCATCTACCGATCCTGTCAGTTGTCTGCATCACTAGGCAGGTCAGAGACAGGAGACAACACAAAAGTTCTTTCCCTGAGAAGCAGTTGTTGGTCAGGGGGACCAACAGTGAGAGTGACAAAGTCTAAGGTTGAAGGAATATGTTTTCCATTTTTTTCTCACCCTGAACCTTTTGCCATTTGCAGAATAAAGCTATTGCGACCCCTGTCCAGGGCGTCTGGGACATGCGGAACAAGCAGTTCCACACGGGCATCGAGATCAAGGTGTGGGCCATTGCGTGCTTCGCCCCCCAGCGCCAGTGCACGGAAGTCCATCTGAAGTAAGCCCCCCACAGGCAGAGGCTCCGGCCTGGGGGTGCTGCCCGATGGGCAGCTCAAGTGACCACTTGCAGGGCTGACTCTGGTTGGGGTGGGGGTGAGGGTGCTGGTATGGGTTTTGATGTCAGGGTTCATCAGCCTTTCCCTGTCACGTACCATTGGCCGGGCCAGGGCAAGACATGCTGGCCCCATTGGTGCCCCTCTCACTCCTGGGACCCACCCTCGCAGTGAGCATGGAGAAGTAACGCAGACCGTAGACAAAACCAAACAGGATCTGAAGGAAATTTATAAGTAGGGGCAAAAGAGAGAATTGGATTCAATGAACTACAGTTATTTTAAAAAATAATAATTTGGCTCCATATTTGTGTAAATTAGAAGGAGAAAATGAAGACAGAATCAGGAAGAGATGGGTCGGGCACAGTGGCTCATGCCTGTAATCCCCAGCACTTTGGGAGGCTGAGGCAGAAGGATCACTTGAGGTCAGGAGTTTGAGACCAGCCCATCTCTACGAAAAATAGAAAAATTAGCCAAGCGTGGTGGTGCACCTGTAGTCCCAGCTACTCAGGGCACTGAGGCTGGAGAATCGCTTGAACCCGGGAGGTGGAGGTTGCAGTGAGCCTAGATCACACCATTGCACTCCACCCTGGGTGAAAAAGCAAGACCCCATCTCAAGAAAAAAAATAGGAAGAGAAGGTGAAATAGAGAGGTGGAGAGGCTGGGAGTGTTATCTTCCTTCCCAGACAAGAGGAGTGATTAAGAGGAGAGAAGTGTTGGTTCAGGTCTCTGCCACCTGCCCAGGTGAGTACCAGGCCCTCTAGGAGGCCCAAGTGCTGTGGAAGGGCCTGCCCTCACCCAGGATGCTCGCCTCGGCCAGCACAGCCGTGCCAGGTACGGGCCCAGCGGGACTGTGTTGGGAGCACACAGCAGGGTGGCTCGTGCCTTTGTGCCAGACTTCAAAGGGAACATAAAGTCTTTGCTTCCCCGCTCTGTGGGGGCAGCAGGGGAGAACTCCAGCCTGTGAGGTGTAGCCGGTCCCTTAACAGTTCCAGCAAGGGCTGACTGCGAACCAGCATGGCCCTCAGAGCTGACGTCTTGCTGGCGAGTGGCCATCTGTCCTTCTGAGGCCACCTTGTGTCCACACTGCTGGCAGAGGAGGTGGAAGCCTAGAGAGGGGGTTTGGGAAGCAAGCTGAAGTAGGTTAGTTCTGAACACAGGGTCGCCTCCTGCCCCTTCTTTTGTCCTTGGCCCCTTCCTTCACTTTGGCCTGGAGCTGAAGATATGGGTGGACACACACGTGTTTCTTGACCTGATCTAATGTACAGGAAATTGGACACTGGCTGGGTTGGAGTGCCGTGTCCTCGCCCTTATTGTAGAAGGTGACATGATTCTTAGTCTTCGGCTTAAAATAGAAGCCGCTGCCCTGCCTCCCACCCCGCCCCAGCTTCACAAGGCTAGCCGTTGCCAGCTGCTGCCACTCCTCAGGCTGCGGGCTGCTGTTTTCTCTCGTGATGATGTCATACAGTCCAAGTTATGCCCATCAGAACTACTGGGGGAAAAGATCCAAAAGGACAGTGAGCTGAAAACCTCCCTCACTCTGACAGTGCCTGGCCTGCACGTGGGGAGAGCTTCACAAGAGCTCCAGGCGCTGCTCAGCAGCTTTACGGGGACAGCATCGCATCACTGCCCTGGGGCCGCCACAGCCGCGAGGCAGCGTGAGCGCGGTTTAAAGGCTGCTGTGTTACGGTGGCAAGTTAGCCGCATGTGACTTTTGAGTGCACTTACATGTTACATGTATGTTTAGCACACTTAACCTTTCTCATGAGTTAGTATGTGTTAGGAGATGTAGCTCTGAATTCTGGCCTCATTCAGGACTTTAAGAACAATTTTGACCTCAATGAAAGTGCTTTGGGCTTTGTAAAAATGACGCCCTTGTGTTAGAGCCTCTGGTCGGCCTGAGTTCTCTGCCATTCCCAGTGCCCGGTAGTGAACGGAGCCTTCTCCTGCAGGTCCTTCACAGAGCAGCTCAGAAAGATCTCGAGAGACGCCGGCATGCCCATCCAGGGCCAGCCGTGCTTCTGCAAATACGCGCAGGGGGCGGACAGCGTGGAGCCCATGTTCCGGCACCTGAAGAACACGTATGCGGGCCTGCAGCTGGTGGTGGTCATCCTGCCCGGCAAGACGCCCGTGTACGGTAGGTGTGGGCGCTCCCGCTGGCTGTGGGGAGCCGTCGTGGTCTCCGTGGGTGTTTGTTCCTGCCTAAGCCCCTCTGTGTTTCTGCTGCACTGAGAAAGGTGCTCCTTTTGGGCCTTTCAGGAGGCTGAGGAAGAAGAGGTGGCTTGTCATCACTGCCACTTCTGATCACTGTGTTCAGGGCCTCCCCGTCGTCCTGTATGATGCCATGGTCCTGGGCAGTCAGCACCCTCGGGTGGCACAGGCCTTGGCACATGGGTGGGCACCCCGCCCATCATACAGCATGCGTGTTGGCTGGATGGGGGAACGTTTGTTTAACGCACAGAGCGTTGCACCAGGGTCACCTCCTGCCCGGGACTCAGCCTATGTGTAACCACTCTGTGCCCACCTCAGAATTTTGTGGAGTTTCGCCAAAGTCCATGCCAGGGGGTCACCCACAGGGCCCCACGCTGAGCCACAGACAGATTATTGACATGTAAAAACCACACTTCTCTCAGTTCAACATCCCAAAAAAAGAAGGGAAGAAAAAGCTGTTGGTGTTGACATCCTGCTAACACTGTCCCAGGGTCACCATTTCCCCACACCTGCCCAGGGAGCAGCTGACCAGTTGCTTCATGAAAGAGACCAGGAATAGCGGGGGGTGGGTCCGTGGAGCTCTTTGATGTCAGGTCTACATCTGCCAAGGATTTGGAGGGTGCCAGTGTTTTTATTTTTAACCACCCAAGCATTTGCTTACAGCCAGGGCGCCGTGGTGTGAGTGACCCTCCTTTTTTTCTTTTCCTTTTTTTTTTTTTTTTTTTAGACAAGGGCTGGCTCTGTCTCCTAGCCTGGAGTGCAGTGGTGTGATTTTGGCTCACTGCAATCTCTGCCTCCTGAGTTCAAGCAATTCTCCTGCCTCAGCCTCCCGAGTAGCTGGGATTACAGGCACACACTGCCATGCCCGGCTAATTTTTATATTATTAGTAGAGACAGGGTTTTGCCATGTTGGCCAGGCTGGTCTTGAACTCCTGACCTCAGCTGATCCGCCCGCCATGGCCTCCCAGAGTCCTGGGATTACAGGTGTGAGCCACCGCGCCCGGCCAGTGTAAGTGGCCTTCCTAAGCAGGGAGCCAAGTCCTTTCTTTTAGTTGGGCTCTTTCTCTCCTGCCCTGGGGCCCTAGGTGAGGCATTTAAATCGTTTTGTTGATAAATTGGAGGGATGAGATAGACTCACTCAACTTCCCTTCCTGAGGGAGGGAAAGCCTGGCCTGGGCGAGGCGGGCACAGCCGTGCTGGAGTCTGGACTCCAAGGAGCTTGGCGTCCCCCTCGGGACCAGGGACCCTCTTCTATCACCGACCTCGGACAGAGGGGGACACGCAAAGCTCAGCACAGCTGCCATGGCTGCACTTGCCAGATGGGGGCAAGAGGGCTGGTGGCAGCTGCTGCTCTCGGGGCCAGCTGAGGAAGGGGCGCCGGCAGAGCTGTGTGTGCCTCTCATGTCCCTTAGCCGAGGTCAAGCGCGTGGGAGACACGGTGCTGGGGATGGCCACGCAGTGCGTGCAGATGAAGAACGTGCAGAGGACCACGCCACAGACCCTGTCCAACCTCTGCCTGAAGATCAACGTCAAGCTGGGAGGCGTGAACAACATCCTGCTGCCCCAGGGCAG